>NC_000011.10:112020909-112323939 GCF_000001405.40 Homo sapiens
CTCACAGTTTTTCCCCAGGAAGTCTGGAGAAAAAGTCCTCATGTCACCAATTTCTCTGTTGCATGAATTTTAGTGTTTTGCTATAAGACAGCATGAGGGCTATCAGGCCAAAATTCATTATTGTATTTCCAATACAGTTTGTCTTGAATGTCTGTCTCTTAAACCAGTTTTTACTTGTCAGTTTTCTCTCAGCAAACAGTCTTACTATTATGTGGAATTTAACTTTTCAGAGAAAATTTCCAAAGTCCTCTACCTTATTTGGCTTTTATCTGTGTCTTTTGGAAAAGGAGCTGCATGGCCTCAGTGCCTCCATAAAAAGCTTAAGTTGAGTTCATGGGAGAACATTAAGATCGTTTTTTTTCCCTTTTAGCTCGGTAATCTCATGTACCACAGGTAATGACCAAGCATCTCTGCTAGAGGATGTAACTCTCATAACTCCTGTGTAAAATGAGGATCCTGTTGGTGATCCTCATTCCAGTTTCCAAAGCGAGAGGAGCCTTCTGAGCAGAAGTATGCAAGACTGATTCTGTTTGGAACAGTTTCCTATTTGGCTGCATTCTAGGAGGCCTCCTGACTTATTCATAGTATTGTCGCCTGGTGGCATTGGTGTGGGGTAGCTTGTCCTGCTACTTGCTAAAGTTCTCTTTCTTTGAGAAAACTGAGGAACCAGAATGCTTAGAGTTCATAAAATAATCTCTAAACCATGTTAGGTTAAAACAAAATGACCATCTCACAAAAACGAGTTTAGTTGAATGCTCAATTCCTTACAAAATCTTCATTTAAGGCTGAGTGTGGTGGCTCATGCCTGTAATTCCAGCACTTTGGGAGGCCGAGGCAGGAAGACTGCTTGAGCCCAGGAGTTCAAGACCAGCCTGGGCAACGTAGGAAGACTCCGTCTCTACATAGAAATTTTATTATAAAAGTAGCTGGGGATGGTGGCACACACCTGTAGTCCCAGCTACTCAGGAGGTTGAGGTGGGAAGATTGCTTGAGCCCAGGAGTTTGAGGTTGCAGTGAGCTGATCATGCCACTGCACTCTAGCCTAGGCTACAGAGCAGGACCCCATCTCCAAAAAAAAAAAAAAAAAAGTCATTTAAAAACTGAAGAATGTTCTCTTCTTGCTCAGTTCCCTAAATTAGCTGGGGGGATTGGGATACTTTACAATTTTTACATTTTTAAATTTGAAGAATTTGTTTTAAACTTACTTGGTAATGGCACTTCTACTTACTGACCAACTTTTCAGCTCTTTTTGACCAGGATGGTTGCAAATTAGGGAAAATATCTTTATACTATACATCCAATTCAAGAGGACTTTAATTACTTAAAAGCATTTAGGTCATAATTAAAATTATTTTCACTGTTTCCATAAAATAAGCATTATGATTGCACACTCCTTCTACTGTCTGAATTTATGTAAGAGGTATAGCTTGCTTAAAATACATATATATGTAAAGTTATATTTTCTTAGAAACATGGATGTTTACAGCCATTGCTTTCAAAGAGATTATTACTGTGTATTCTCCCTGTTTTACAATATGTTTTCATGAAGACTATGTTACACCAGAGGCTTCTGATTATCAAAGTGATAACCAGTTTTAACTGCCGGTATGTACCAGATTTGTGAACTAATTTAAAAAACCACAAACTATGAATAAAATGGGGTTTGCAAACTAAATATCATTAATGATTTTCACTTGCGTTTACTGATGAGATTAATCAATAAAGCCATTTACATTTAGTGAAAGCAAATTTCCTCAAGTGATCTCCCTGGTAGCATGTTTACTCACTATGTGGAGTGGAGATAAGAATTACTTTATTGCTACAGATATTTTACAATTAGTATTTCTATGTAAGCACATAGGCTATTATCAAGGACAATTTATTTAGCACTTATTTTGAAATTATATGTAAACATGCAAACAAATAAGAACCCAAGAGTATAAACTCTATGACAAAAGTCAGTATGCAAGCATTAAGAACTCTTTCAGAAATGTGTATTTAAAATGACCAGAATTCCCAGATCATTTGAAAGCTGCCTCTTAAATGCCTCTTATCAATTCATCTTAAATGTTTGCTATATTAAATTCTTTATCCCTGAGTGCCTTCATTTGACTTCCAATTACGTATTTTCAACTATTAATTGGCTATCCCATTATGTTAAAATTAAATATGTACATAACTCAAAATCTTTCACTACCAACTAATTTCTGTTTCTCTCAATATCAGTGATATCACCATTCTCTTAAGTATCTCTATTTCAAACCTTTGAGTCTTGAGTCTCCTTTTCCATAATTTCCTTTATCCAGTCTGTTTAGTGGAATTCAAGCTTGTTCTCTCAGGACTGATTTGAGAAACCTAAGCATTCCTAGCCCACCTCTGGGGTAAGCTCGCCATCTCTGGACTGTTTGAGCTATGCATTCCTATAATTTAACTACACTTAAGTCAAAAGTATATTCAAGACACAAACTCGCTATTCTTTGAAAAATGCAAAACAGGGTTTAAGCAAGCATACCTAAGTGCACAACAGATCCGGAAGATCACCTCATACTTTATACCAAAGTCTAATTTAGATCCAGTTATTAAGTTCAAATGCAGCAAAAGCAGCAAGATATTTTAGCCAACTCAAAAACATTTTTATAATAATTTATAAGTCCTGGGCGGGCATGGTGGCTCGCGCCTGTAATCTCAGCACTTTGGGAGGCCGAGGCAGGTGGATCACCTGAAGTCAGGAGTTTGAGACCAGCATGACTAACATGGTGAAACCCCGTATCTACTAAAAACACAAAATTAGCTGGGCATGGTGGCACGTGCCTGTAATCCCAGCACTCGGGAGGCTGAGGCAGGAGAATCGCTTGAACCTGGGAGGTGGAGGTTGCAGTGAGCCGGGATCATGCCACTGCACTCCAGCCTGGGCGACAGAGTGAGACTCCATCCCCAAATAATAGTAATAAGTCCTTTCAGTAATTACAATTATTCTTTCATTGCTTCTTCCAATTGTTAATTCATAAGTTGTACATAATTGTAACAATATAATTGCTCTCTTCATATTATTTAAAATATGCCTTTTCATTCAATCTAGAAATTTTATATTTCTCAATTATATTGCTTACATATTATTCTGATAGACAGCTGTACCTGCTTAAACATTCCAATTTAAGTAGGCATGAAATAGTACATCCAATCTGTTTTAGTTTTCCAAATTAATTGTTAGCAAGATTAGCCCCCATTTTTTTTTTTTTTTAACAGATGGGAGTCTCATTATGTTGCCCAGGCTGGTCTCAAACTCTTGGGCTCAAGTGATTCCCCCACCTCAGCCTCTCAAGCATTGCTGGGACTACAGGCATGCACCACCGCTCCTGGCTAAAATCTTGTTTTAAGTTTCTTCCCTCCAACTTCCTCTTGCGTTCTTGGTGTTCTCTAACCATCTCTACAGGGGGGAGGTGGTGATACACAGCACATGCTTCCTCCTTATCTAATGTCACCTTCAGTTCAGAAACGATATGTTTTCTAATTAAAAGACAACTTTACAAGAGAAGCGTGCCTAACAAAATGTGTAGATGACTTTTTATTCATTGATTCAAAAGACATACATTCAGCCCCCGCTATTTACTGGATATTAAGCTCTGGGGCTACATGGAAGGACCACGCAGACACTCTTCATGCCTTCAACGGCTTACAGTTAAGTTTTTCAAACATTTGAAACATAACGAAGCTTTTGGTTACTTAAAAGAATTCTATGGTATTAGGGAGCAACACCTGTTTTGTAAACCTATATCTTCATACAGGGAATATGCTTAATCTTGCTACAGTATACATGAATGCGGGAATGTATCTTCCTCTGGGCTGCCTTTCGTTACCACTTGGCTGGGTGGAACACCTGTTCACTCCACTTTCCACTTGGGCTACAAACCTGAAACGAAATCTTTGCAACCAGTACAGCCTGCGCGGGGCGCGGCCCAGTCCATCCCCCTTCGGATGCGCAGAAGCAGAGGTCACCACGCCGGACCCCTCGATTCCCTCGCGGGCGATTCCTGGCTCCTTCACCACCCCAGCACTCCAAGACCCCCGCCCTTTGGCCTGAGGCTCCCACTGCCCTAGCCAGTTCCCGGGCTCACTTCCAGCTTTTCCAGAAAGCTTGGCCACGCCCCTCGGCCCAGACTCTCAGGCCACTCGGCCGCAATTAACCCGCGTCTCTGCGCCTTTTTAGGCCCCTCCCCCTCGGTCGTGCCCTTGTCATCTCTTAGGCCCCGTCTCACCCTTTCGGATGCCTCCCCTAGAACCCTACCACTTTCCACCCCTTTCCGTCTGTTATTTCTCCCAAACTTGCGCCCGCACAGGCCCCTCTGGAACACTCCTGCCCCGTAGTGCCCCTCGTCCCCGCTCCGTAGAGAAAGAGCGTGCGTGCCGCGCATTTCTGGCCTGGGGAGCGGGTGGAGTAAACCTGCGGGAACCATTTTACGACAACGTGCGGCTGTGCGGTGTGGCTGACGGCAACGCCGCTGCTCTTGGAGAGGTCACTCCGGAGACGGCGTTGGTTTTGGGGTGTGGGGGGTTGGTGGCACTATGTGGCGCGTCTGTGCGCGACGGGCTCAGAATGTAGCCCCATGGGCGGGACTCGAGGCTCGGTGGACGGCCTTGCAGGAGGTACCCGGAACTCCACGAGTGACCTCGCGATCTGGCCCGGCTCCCGCTCGTCGCAACAGCGTGACTACAGGGTATGGCGGGGTCCGGGCACTGTGCGGCTGGACCCCCAGTTCTGGGGCCACGCCGCGGAACCGCTTACTGCTGCAGCTTTTGGGGTCGCCCGGCCGCCGCTATTACAGTCTTCCCCCGCATCAGAAGGTGAGCCCTAGACCCCCCTTCTCGGGACCCCGTTGTCCTTCAGAGCTGACTGGATGCCTGCAAGATCCTCCTTGAGAGGCCTCACTGATCCTCCACCCATTCCCAGTATCTGCTTTGGCCCTTTGTCCAATAGTTGGCTTTGCTGTAGCTCCTTAGTGTCCCTCTCATGATCTATTTCATTGAAAGGAGAGCTTCAAGACTGGGGCTGTATGCAGAATATCTGCCGAGGTTCATGCTTTGTCAGACCCACAGGACTGTGGAGGAGAAAGCCTGTCACTGGAAATTACTAACTTCTCATGGACAGGAACTCCCTTGGCATCCCTAGTTCCCAATGTGCAATGGAACTGTATACACTTTGCATGAAATTGAATTGAATGAAATCTTAAGCCAGACTGAGAGTTAGGTAGTCCTTAAAAATTTTAATGTTTCTTCTTTTCCTTTTCCAGGTTCCATTGCCTTCTCTTTCCCCCACAATGCAGGCAGGCACCATAGCCCGTTGGGAAAAAAAAGAGGGGGACAAAATCAATGAAGGTGACCTAATTGCAGAGGTAAGTTTTTTTTTTTTTTTTTAATTAATTTATTTATTTTTTTTATTGATCATTCTTGGGTGTTTCTCGCAGAGGGGGATTTGGCAGGGTCATAGGACAATAGTGGAGGGAAGGTCAGCAGATAAACAAGTGAACAAAGGTCTCTGGTTTTCCTAGGCAGAGGATCCTGCGGCCTTCCGCAGTGTTTGTGTCCCTGGGTACTTGAGATTAGGGAGTGGTGATGACTCTTAAGGAGCATGCTGCCTTCAAGCATCTGTTTAACAAAGCACATCTTGCACTGCCCTTAATCCATTTAACCCTGAGTGGACACAGCACATGTTTCAGAGAGCACAGGGTTGGGGGTAAGGTCACAGATCAACAGGATAAGAATTTTTCTTAGTACCGAGCAAAATGAAAAGTCTCCCATGTCTACCTCTTTCTACACAGACACGGCAACCATCCGATTTCTCAATCTTTTCCCCACCTTTCCCCCCTTTCTATTCCACAAAACCGCCATTGTCATCATGGCCCGTTCTCAATGAGCTGTTGGGTACACCTCCCAGACAGGGTGGTGGCCGGGCAGAGGGGCTCCTCACTTCCCAGTAGGGGCGGCTGGGCAGAGGCGCCCCTCACCTCCCGGGCGGGGCAGCTGGCCAGGCGGGGGCTGACCCCCCCACTTCCCTCCCGGACGGGGCGGCTGGCTGGGCGGGGGGCTGGCCCCACCACCTCCCTCCCAGACGGGGCGGCTGGCCTGGCGGGGGCTGACCCCCACCTCCCTCCCGGACGGGGTGGCTGCCGGGCGGAGACGCTCCTCACTTCCCAGACGGGGTGGCTGCCGGGCGGAGGGGCTCCTCACTTCTCAGACGGGGTGGCTGCCGGGCGGAGGGGCTCCTCACTTCTCAGACGGGGCGGTTGCCAGGCGGAGGGTCTCTTCACTTCTCAGACGGGGCGGCCGGGAAGAGACGCTCCTCACCTCCCGGACGGGGTCGCGGCCGGGTAGAGGCGCTCCTCACATCCCAGACGGGGCGGCGGGGCAGAGGCGCTCCCCACATCTCAGACGATGGGCGGCCGGGCAGAGGCGCTCCTCACTTCCTAGATGGGATGGCAGCCGGGCAGAGACGCTCCTCACTTTCCAGACTGGGCAGCCAGGCAGTGGGGCTCCTCACGTCCCAGACGATGGGCGGCCAGGCAGAGACGCTCCTCACTTCCCAGACGGGGTGGCAGCCGGGCAGAGGCTGCAATCTCGGCACTTTGGGAGGCCAAGGCAGGCGGCTGGGAGGTGGAGGTTGTAGCGAGCCGAGATCACGCCACTGCACTCCAGCCTGGGCACCATTGAGCACTGAGTGAACCAGACTCCGTCTGCAATCCCGGCACCTCGGGAGGCCAAGGCTGGCGGATCACTCGCGGTTAGGAGCTGGAGACCAGCCCGGCCAACACAGCGAAACCCCGTCTCCACCAAAAAAATACGAAAACCAGTCAGGCGTGGCGGCGCGTGCCTGCAATCGCAGGCACTCAGCAGGCTGAGGCAGGAGAATCAGGCAGGGAGGTTGCAGTGAGCCGAGAAGGCAGCAGTACAGTCCAGCTTCGGCTCAGCATCAGAGGGAGACCGTGGAAAGAGAGGGAGAGGGAGACCGTGGGGAGAGGGAGAGGGAGACGGAGAGGGAGAGGGAGAGGGTAAGTTGTTTTAAAGTAACGGAGATGAGTTCGAAGAGACTGGCTTTGCCTAATTGACTGAACATTGACTTTCTGGATGTGTAGCTACCCCTTTGTTTAAGAAACTGAAGTGTTTTTCACAACTTGATGTTAGACAAGATTGGTTGGATAAGTTGTCAGCAGCTGGCCAAACTGATTTTAACCAAGGCGTTTCTAAAGTAATTTCTTCTTTGAAATCTGTCGTAGTGGCCTTATCTTCACATGAACTGTATAATTCTAGACACAAAGGCCAGGCTGGCCAACATGGTGAAACCCCGTCTCTGCTAAAAATACAAAAATCAGCCGGGCATGGCAGCCTGTTCCTGTAATCCCAGCTACTCGGGAGGCTGAGGCAGGATAATCGCTTGAACCTGGGAGGGGGAGGTTGCAATGAGCCGAGATTGCACCACTGCACTCCAGCCTTGGTGACAGAATGAGACTCTGTGTCTCAAAAAAAAAAAAAAAAAAAAAAAAATTCTAGACACAAGCTAATAAATTACATACCAACAGTACAAACCTGAGCTACTGCTTTTTGTGTTAAAAGGTTGAAACTGATAAAGCCACTGTTGGATTTGAGAGCCTGGAGGAGTGTTATATGGCAAAGATACTTGTTGCTGAAGGTACCAGGGATGTTCCCATCGGAGCGATCATCTGTATCACAGTTGGCAAGTGAGTAGTGCGCTCATAATTTGTGGAACTTCATTGCTTGGTGGAGTATTTTACCCAGAATTGAGAATTAGGAGTTAAAGACTATTTTTTAAGACTACTTTTGTGAAAGCTGAATCTGCCCATTATATTTATGCATTCTTTCTCTTCCTTAGGCCTGAGGATATTGAGGCCTTTAAAAATTATACACTGGATTCCTCAGCAGCACCTACCCCACAAGCGGCCCCAGCACCAACCCCTGCTGCCACTGCTTCGCCACCTACACCTTCTGCTCAGGCTCCTGGTAGCTCATATCCCCCTCACATGCAGGTGAGGCTCAGCCTCTGAGTTTTTGCTCTAGGTGATTACTTACTTACTCACTTTTTTTCATAGATGGCTACTACATCTTGGAAACTGACATTAAATGTGGTTAGGTCTTGTCATTTGGGAGTATATAGGTTTAAACATGAAGATTGACAACTATTCTTCCTGGTTGTTATTTCCAGTTATAAGAACTTGAACAGTTCCTGTAACCTTTCTCAGCCTCAGTGTAGTACACAGGGTAATGCGTGGCACTTTTCATTCAAGAACATTACATTACAGATTTTGAGGATGATTTTTACTAACATCTATTCCCTGTATAATTAGAGTTTATAGCAGGCTGTGTTAGTCTGTTTTACTTTGGCATGAAGAAATACCTAGGGCTGGGTAATTTATAAAGAAAAAAGGTTCATTTGGCTCAAGGTTCTGCAGGCTGTACAAGAAGCAGGGCGCCAGCATCTGTTTCTCTTGTGGCCACAGGAAGCTTACAATCATGGTGGAAGTTGGAAGGGAAAGGGGAAGGGTGGTGTGTCCCATGAGAGAGGGAACAAGAGACAGAGGGGAGTGGGTAACCAGGCTCTTTATAGCAATCAGATTTCCCCTTAACTCATTACCATGGGGCATGCAGCAAGCCATTCACGAGGGATCCTCCTCCAATACCCAGACACCTGCCACCAGACCCCATCTCTAACATTGGGGATCATATTTCTTTTTTTTTTTTTCCACATACAAAAAAACTTTATTTACACAGTCTTGGATTCTGAATCTCCAGTACTTCCAGGGTCTCTTGATCAAATGGGGCAGCAGCAGGCAGGGAAGCAAACACAGGGGCCAGTCCAGATTATCTTACTCAAGAACACCACCAAGAAGGGAAGGCCTAATTCAGTCTTGGTCTGGACTACATCTCCCCGCACTTTGAGATCACCACAGTAGTTTGGGCTTATTGTTGGGGCCTGTGGGAACATTCTGAATCTTTCTCATCACTAGAAGTCCATCAGTGATTTTTCCAAACATTACATGCTTCCCATCCAGCCAATCACACTTAGAGCAGGTGATAAAGAACTGACAGCCATTTGTACTGGGACCGCTGTTTGCCGTGGAAAGCAGGCCTGGAGCTGAGTGTCTAAGTTTAAAATTTTCGTCTGCGAATGTCTCCTGGTAAATACTGGCGACTCCAGTACCATCTCCATTAACAAAATCTCCACCCTAAATCATGAAATCCTTTATGACCCTGTGGAAAGTGCTTCCTTTGTATCCTATTGGAACCCCATCTTTTCTGAATTCTCTAGTGCAGAACTACCCAAAGTTCTCGGTCGTCTTAGGCACAACGTCTGCAGAGAGCTCGATCTTTGTGCGGCCAACTTCCTGACTGCCATTGCTGACATCAAAGAACACCATGGGGTTAGCAGGGCTTGAAGTTGCCACCACCATGGCTCTGACCCGGAAACGGAAGTCGGGGGATCATATTTCAGCATGAGATTTGGAGGGGACAGACATCCAAGCTGTATCATAGGTGTCAAGTGCTGTCTGTTGAATGAAAGTCCCCAGTTGGTGTTCTTTTGACATGTGGTGATCTATTTTCCAAGAGTGGGTGAAGTAGTCCAATAGTATTAATAAATGAGAAAACTGACAAAAGTTAAGTGTAAGATACACATATGTAATAGTGTTGCATCAAAGTTGAAGGCAGTGAATGTAATCACTGTTGATTGTGCTAACTAAATCAGTTTCTAAGAAACTAAGTCAGTTTATTAGGTATTAGGGTTATCGTCTGTATATTTGTGTGCTTTAGATGTTAAAAGTGGATAAAAATCCAGCCGTCCTTTTCTAAATAATTCTGACTGGCATTTCTCCTTAATCTAGTTTATTTGTAGAAATTTTTGTATAGGAATCTTTTTCTCCTTTGGAAATAATGTTCTACTCCATGGTCTGTTAGTAACAATCATTTAGGATTTTTTGCCAGGTGTTCAGTTCACACATGTATTACATGCTGTTCGGCAAATTCTATCTCATGATGTAAGACTGACTTAATTTTCCTCTACTTTGTGTCTGTAGCTTTGTGTGCATGTGTTAGGGTTTTACCTTAATTATTCTTTAAGATACTGAATTGGATTCTGAATCTCTGATAGTATTCTTTAAGATACTGTATAGAGATTATTGGCTTCACTGTTTCTTAAGAAGCAGATGAAGATGGCAAATTCTGCACAAAAAAAGCACTTACAATTTTTTTTCTAAGGCTTGTCTTACTTTCCCCTCTCTGGAAACATCTTCAATTGAAGTTATTTTCCTCTCCGCATAATCCTGTTGCTAATCAGATACAGAAGACAAAGAGGATAGCAAATGAAACCAAATTCAGTGGATACACAAGCCATATAAATAGTAAAGCAATTTTACATTTAGATAGGCATTCTGATGTTTGGATATTATTGGGGTGGAAATGGCTATTATAAAAACAGGGCTTTTTTTACCCCTGGTTTTTTATTTTTATTTATTTATTTTTTGAAACAGGGTCTCACTCCATCACCTAGGCTGGAGTGCAGTGGCATGATTTCGGCTCACTGCAACCTCTGCCTCCTGGGTTCAAGCGATTCTCCTGCCTCAGCCTCCCGACTAGCTGGGAATACATGCACATACCACCACACCTAGCTATTTTATTTTTTGAGATAGGGTCTCACTCTTCACCTAGGCTGGAGTGCAGTGGTGCAATCTTAGCTCACTGTAGCCTTGACCTCCTGGCTCAAGCCATCCTCCCACCTCAGCCTCCCAAGACGCTGTGACTACAGGCACGTGCCACCATGCCCAGCTAATTTTTTTTTTTTTTTTTTTTTAAGAGATGAGGTTACATCATGTTGCTCAGGCTGGTCGTGAACTCCTGGGCTCAAGTGATCCTCCTGCATCAGCCTACCAAAATGCTGAGATTATAGGCATGAGCCACCATGCTGGTCTTTCCTGTTTTTTTTTTTTTTTTTTTTTTTTTTTTTTGAGACAGTCTTGCTCTGTCACCATGGCTGGAGTGTAGTGGCACGATCTTGGCTCACGGCAACCTCTGCGATTCTCATGCCTCAGCCTCCTGAGTAGCTGGGACTACAGGTGGGTGTCACCATGCCCAGCTAATTTTGGTATTTTTAGCAGAGGAGGGGGTTTCGACATGATGGCCCGGCTGGTCTTGAACTCCTGGCCTCAAGTGATCCGCCCCTCCCAAGTGATCCTTGGCCTCCCAAAGTGCTGGGATTACAGATGTGAACAGCTGTGCCTGGCCTCCTGTTTTATTTTTTTGAATGATCATCATGCCACTGCACTCCAGGCTGGGCAACAGAGTAAGACTCCATCTCAAAAAAAAAAAAAATTATCAAATAAAATTCTGTGTAAGAATTCTGTGTACATATATTATATACAACAAGTTGTTTTGAAATATGTATATATTGTGGAATGGCTAGATTGAGCTAATTTATATATGCATTACTTTATAGACTTATCTTTTAGGCCACTTAAAAATCTACTGTCAGGAATTTACAAGAATACAATACATTGTTATTAACTATTGTCACCAAATAATGTTTTTTTTTTTAATATGGAATGCTTCACGAATTTGTTGTCCTTGCGCAGGGGCCATGCTAATCTCTATATCGTTCCAATTTTAGTATATGTGTTGCTGAAGCGAGCACAGAACAGTTCTTAATATTACGTTTTTATCTTGGAAAGATATCTGGTAAGGTTGGGACAAATGCAGTTTCCTGTGGGTAAAAAATAGGTAGATGCTAAGTACAGAGCGCAGTAAAATTTTAACAGAATGGTTTGGACCAAGGTCATTTTGTGAAAATGAAAAACTTCTTGGTTAAAAAAAAATGAAGTCTGGGCGCGGTGGCTCACGCCTGTAATCCCAGCACTTTGGGAGGCCAGGGCGGGCGGATTACTTGTGGATGGGCGTTCAGAGACCAGCCTGGCCAACATGGTAAAACCCCATCTCTACAAAAATACAAAAATTAGTGGGCATGATGGCACCCGCCTGTAATCCAGCTACTCGGGAGGCTGAGGCAGGAGAATCACTTGAAACCAGGAGGTGGAGGTTGCAGTGAGCCGAGATTGCGCCATTGCTCTCCAGCCTGGGGGACAGAGCAAGACTCTGTCTCAAAATAAAAATAAAAATAAAAATAGATGAAAAGATGCTCCATACTTAGATGTTGAGAAATTAATTTTGACTGTCTGAAAGAAATCTTTCCCATGTGCTTGTTGCATTTAACTTGGAGTGTGTGTTAGAGTGTGGGCGAGAGTATAAGAGTATGGGTCAGAGTATGAGATTTGAAGGATGATTTACCTGGTGGGAAGCTATTGAGGTGTGAAGCTTTTGCTGTGGTGAGTATTTGGATTATCATAGTCACCATCATTCTATGAAACCACATAAGTCTGCCAGACTTTTATTATGTAGAAGTCTTCCTGGTATTAAGCAATAATATGTGTTTGTTTCTGCAGGTACTTCTTCCTGCCCTCTCTCCCACCATGACCATGGGCACAGTTCAGAGATGGGAAAAAAAAGTGGGTGAGAAGCTAAGTGAAGGAGACTTACTGGCAGAGATAGAAACTGACAAAGCCACTATAGGTGAGATTTCTTCAGCTCTTAATGGTTGAGGCACTGAGTTTCCCAATGAGGAAGAGGATTGCCATTCTTTCCTATAATGAGTGAGTGATAATATGAAAACTTTATAATTCTTAGGATTCATTTTCTGGGACAGAATATTTTATTTTTATTTAGTTATATGTATTCTTTAGTTTTTATTTATTTATTTGTTTATTTGCTTATTTTTCAGACAGGGTCTTAATCTGTTGCCCAGGCTGGAGTGCGGTGGCAAGATCATAGCTCATTGTAGCCTTGAACTCCTGGGCTTATGCCCAAATGATCCTCCTGCTTTAGCCTCACAAGTAGGTAGGACTACAGGCCTGAACCACCACACCTAGCTGATTTTTTAAATTTTTTGTAGAGATGGGGTCTCACTTTATTGCCCAGGCTGGTTTTGAACTCCTGGCTCAAGCGATCCTCCTGCCTTGGCCTCTCAAAGTGCTGGGACTCCAAGCGTGAGCCCCTGTTCCTGGCCCAGCATAATTTATAACAAAAATAATGCGTAGTCAGATTTGTCAGTTCCATCCTGTGCTCACTGAATCAAAGGCAATCAATCTGTCAATTCACAGATTATTTTTAGGCCCAAGTTTGCTTCTTGGCCTTATTATGTTACTGAGAAGCTATATCAGAATTGCTGCTGTCTAAACTAGGCAAAGGAAGTCAAGAAGAAACAGGAGAAAATCACTTCCATGGCAGGATAATAGCAAAGAATTTAAGATGACTTTGAGGGAAAACTGAAACCAGGGTTGAGATTGTTTTCATAGTTTGAGAATGACTGATAGAATGTATGTGTGTAATATATATATGTTCAGATATGTCATATGTCCACATATCTCCTTCTTAATTCATTTTTAGGCTAAAAAAACCCATATAGACAATAATATATTTATTATTATTATTTTTTTTTTTTTTGAGACGGAGTCTCGCTGTGTTGCCCAGGCTGGAGTGCAGTGGCGCAGTCTCAGCTCACTGCAAGCTCCACCTCCTGGGTTCACGCCATTCTCCTGCCTCAGCCTCCCGAGTAGCTGGGACTACAGGTGCCCGCTGCCACGCCTGGCTAATTTTTTGTATTTTTAGTAGAGATGGGGTTTCACTGTGTTAGCCAGGATGGCCTTGATCTCCTGACCTCGTGATCCACCTGTCTTGGCCTCCCAAAGCGCTGGGATTACAGGCGTGAGCCATGGCGATTTGTAGTATTATGAATTTCTTCTCTCTGCACCCCCGCTTTTTCTTTTTTTTTTTTGAGACAGAGTTTTGCTCTGTCACCCAGGCTTGAGTACAGTGGTGCGATCTTGGCTTACTGCAGCCTCCGCCTCCTGGGTTCAAGCAATTCTCCTGCCTCAGCCTCCCGAGTAGCTGGGACTACAGGCATGCACCACCATGCCTGGCTAATTTTTTGCATTTTTAGTAGAGATGGAGTTTCACCATGTTGGCCAGGCTGGTCTCGAGCTCTTTAACCTCAGGTGATCTGCCTGCCTCGGCCTCCCAAAGTGCTGGGATTACAGGCATAAGCCACCGCACCCAGCCTCTCTGCTTCATAATCACCACCAAAGGGAAGCCTTTCCCAAAGATGTAATGGGAGGTACTGGGCATCCTCTGCCTTGGTTGTTTTCAGATTGTGTTCTTCAAATCCCATCATTCCTTTAAGGCACCTTGAGGCAAAGGGGGAATTAAAGAGCAGGACCTTACAGCCCTGCCTCCCTGCCTTACTTCCAGCAGAGCAGTTCTTTTCTATCTTTTTGTATTTTGTGCTTCCCCATAAATTTTATTTGAAGAAAGGATTCTGTTTCTTAAAAACACAGAAACTTTGGAAACAGTAGTTCTGCTTCACCATTTAACTTGAATACCAGTGTCACTATAGAGACTAGTCACTAGAGAAGTGTTACCTTGGTTGAACTTTGAAGTCTATTGTGGCCCAGGAGCCTTTTCATTTTAAACACTTCTTTTTTTTTTTTTTGGAAACAGAGTCTGGCTCTGTTGTCCAGGCTGGAGTGCGGTGGCGTGATCTCGGCCCACCACAACCTCTGCCTCCTGGGTTCAAGCGATTCTCCTGCCTGAGCCTCCTGAGTAGCTGGGACTACAGGTGCATGCCACTACGCCCGGCTAATTTTTGTATTTTTAGTAGAAATGTGGTTTCACTATGTGGGCCAGGCTGGTCTTGAACTCCTGACCTCGTGATCTGACTGCCTTGTGCCTCCCAAAGTGCTGGGATTACAGGCGTGAGCCACCACCGCACCCAGCCTTTTTTTTTTTTTTTTTTGAGATAGAGTCTTGCTTTGTCGCCCAGGCTGGAGTGCAATGGCATGATCTTGGCTCACTGCAATTTCCACCTCCCGGGTTCAAGCAATTCTCCTGCCTCAGCTGCCCAAGTAGCTGGGATTACAGGCGCCTGCCACCATGCCTGGCTAATTTTTGTATTTTTAGTGGAGATGGGGTTTCACCATGTTGGCCAGGCTGGTCTTGAACTCCTGACCTCAGGTAATCCACCTACCTTGGCCTCCCAAAGTGCTGGGATAACAGGCGTGAGCCACCGTGCCCAGCCTTAAACATATATATATATATCTCCAGACTTAAACATATATATATGTGTGTGTATATATATATATGTGTGTGTATATATGTGTGTGTGTGTGTGTGTGTGTGTGTGTGTGTGTTTTTTTTTTTTTTTTTTTTTTTTTTTTTGAGACGGAGTTTCGCTCTTGTTGCCCAGGCTGGAGTGCAATGGCACGATCTCGGCTCACCACAACCTCCACCTCCTGGGTTCAAGTGATTTTCTTGCCTCAGCCTCCCGAGTAGCTGGGATTACAGGCATGCGCCACCATGCCTGGCTAATTTTGTATTTTTAGTAGAGACGGGGTTTCTCCACGTTGGTCAGGCTGGTCTCGAACTCCCGACCTCAGGTGATCCACCCGCCTCGGTCTCCCAAAGTGCTGGGATTACAGGCATGAGCCGCCGCGCCCAGCCTAAACATATTTTTTATTGGGTATTCTCAGCTGGGAAATGGAAGGATTCATCAAAGATGTGTTCATCAAGGAGAGGCACAACAGTACAGAAAGCCAATGGCTTCTTTTAGTTTTACTTTTGCAATCCTAAATGTTTAAGTTCTTTGCAAGGAAGGCAGTAGTTGAATAAAATATAAGTTGTCAACACCATAGAAATCCCAGTAAAGCTGTAATTCTTTACATTGAAATACTTGGTATAATATCAAGTATAACCTCTTTGAAAAGTTCCAAAGATGCTTTTAGGGCTGAAATCCAACATTAGTATCTAGGTTGGTAGCTCCCTTAATTAGGCATGTATGTGGTTCTTATCTTTAGCAGCATAGCTGACACCATCTTAGAGTCCTGTGAGTCTGCATGGGGACTGTCCTTGGAGATTTTTTAATAACTTTGAGAACTAACCACTGTCTGTAATCTTTCATAGTTTTATTGAACAGATTTTTATTTGGCATTTACTTTGTACCAGGTTGTATTATTTCTAAGAACTTGAAAAATATTAATCTGTTTAAATGTATAACATCCCAGTACCAATCCAGTGAGATTGGTACTATTATTATCCCCGTATTGTAGGTAAAGAAACCAAGACACAGAAGGTTAAATAGGTTGCAAAAAAGGCTATATAGCTAGCTTGAATGAGAAAAATCACTTTACTTAAAACTGTGCTGTGAGTTTGGAGGGATAGTGGAATCTCTTAAGTCCCATAATGTTTTTTCTTTCTATTTAAGGTTTTGAAGTACAGGAAGAAGGTTATCTGGCAAAAATCCTGGTCCCTGAAGGCACAAGAGATGTCCCTCTAGGAACCCCACTCTGTATCATTGTAGAAAAAGAGGCAGATATATCAGCATTTGCTGACTATAGGCCAACCGAAGTAACAGATTTAAAACCACAAGTGCCACCACCTACCCCACCCCCGGTAGGTATGCTTCTAGAATTCAGGAAACACTTACCTTGTTCATCTCTAAATTAAGGAGTTTTGATTAGATGATATCCTAGGTTCCTTCCACCTCCAAGATTCTATGACTGAGGAGGGAGATAGTTTATTAACATTTGTGGAGACCTATAGTGTTTGTTGTACTGCACTGTTCACCTAATGGTTGATAGTTTGGGCCTTGTAGCTTTTTTCTTCCTGCTATCTAGAGTCCTGCTGAGAACAAAGCTGAGTGACATGTTCTCTTTCTGCTTTAGATACAGATACCATGCTTGTGGAAAGTAAGGCTTCATTGCCCCACCCTTTTTTTTTTTTTTTAAGAGACAAGGTCTCACCCTGTTGCTGAGGCTGGAGTGCAGTGGTGCAATCATAGCTCACTTCATTGCCCATTTATTATTAAATATACTGAATAATCTCTGTCACTTGAAATCCTCTTGTTATTGACTTAGTAGGTCAAGCATATATTTGTGATACAGTGGAACCTTGACATGACTTGTTTTGCCTAGAATTTATTATATCACCAAATACTTGATACACTATATAACTATAACCTGAACTTGTATAACTCCAACCAGAGATAACACTGACAGTGAAGCTTCAGTGATTCTCACAGATGCTAGAATCATGTGAGTTTAAACTAGGTAAACATTTCTATAAGAGAAAAGTTGATTTCTGACTACTGTACATTTGTGGGAAGCTGGCAAGTAGCATTGTTGTTGGATTTCTTTTGTTGTTGTTGTTGAGACGGAGTCTTGCTCCGTCACCCAGGCTGGCGTGCAGTGGCGTGATCTTGGCTCACTGCAGCCTATGCCTCCCGGGTTCAAGCAATTCTCCTGCCTCGACCTCCCGAGTAGCTGGGATTACAGGTGTTAGCCACCATGCCCGGCTAATTTTTTTATTTTTAGTAGAGAAGGGGTTTCACCGTGTTGGCCAGGCTGGTCACGAACTCCTGACCTCAGGTGATCCACCCACCTCGGCCTCCCAAAGTGCTGGGATTACAGGTGTGAGCCACCACACCTGGCCGTATTTCTTAAGATACTTTTCAACATGGGGCCTTACAGCATAATTTTATATTTTGAAATTAGCTGGCTGGGTGTGGTGGCTCATGCCAGTAATCCCAGCACTTTGGGAGGCTGAGGCAGGTGGATCGCTTGAGGTCAGGAGTTCAAGACCAGCCTGGCCAACATGGTGAAACCCCATCTCTACTGAAAATACAAAAAATTAGCTGGGCGTGGTGGTGCGTGCCTTTAATCCCAGCTACTTGGGAGGCTGAGGCAGGAGAATTGCTTGAACCCAGGAGGCGGAGGTTGCAGTGAGCCAAGTTTGCGCCACTGCACTCCAGCCTGGGTGACAGAGCAAGACTCTGTCTCAAATAAAAAGAAAAAAAAAAAAGAAGTTAGGATAATTAAAAATAAAAATCATGTTGGTGATGTAAAAGAATGCGAATAAAGAAGTGGTAAGAGATTAAAGTGAAGAAAGGCTGTAGAATACTATACACTGATTGGCAATATTCAATTCTGTGCTTCATGTTGTTATGGAATAAGGTAACTGTTCTGTCTTTGATATAGAAGTATATTGTTCTCGCTGTTCGTATTACTACATTATGTTGGTTAAGCTGGCGAAAAGTACATTATGATCTTTGGAAAAATGAAAGTTATTAATATTTAATTAAAATAGTTTTAATTTATTAATAAGATGTAAACTTTTAATCTTTCAGACCAGTCTTTGAAGTGGTGAATTAAAACAATTTGTAATTTTTTTTCAAAAGGTGGCCGCTGTTCCTCCAACTCCCCAGCCTTTAGCTCCTACACCTTCAGCACCCTGCCCAGCTACTCCTGCTGGACCAAAGGGAAGGGTGTTTGTTAGCCCTCTTGCAAAGAAGTTGGCAGTAGAGAAAGGGATTGATCTTACACAAGTAAAAGGTAAATCTGTTTCTATAGAATGGACTTTATAAAGTTAAAATTTAGTTGAATTTCCTCCTTAAGACTTGCAAGTACAACTATGTATAGCCGTACTTATAATTGGGATAGTAGGGACAATCATTAATAATTCCTTCAGAAGGGAGAAATAGTTCTTTTGTTGCCACCACAGAGTAGGGAAACTTTTACTGAGCTTTATTTACTCTGCCTAGAATCTACCCATACACTTTAGATACCTTTTTTTTTCCTCTTCTATTCATGGAAACTGCTTGTTTGGTGAAAGTATATGTAAAATTTGGTTATGGGACTTGATTATGTAATAAGAAACCTCTGTTAGTGCTTGGTTGACTGTAGCAATAAGCAAAGCAAAATAAAATTTGAAGTTGGGGTGATTTGGAATGACTTAATAAAATTCATATAAAACAGAACTAGAGCTCCCTGAAGGCAAGGGAAAACGCCTTACTTGTCTGTCTGCCGCCAAAGAAAAAATATAGCTTTGTGATAAGAGCATGGGGCCTGGAATCAGACCACCTAGCATTTAATCCTGGCTTTATAATTTTCTATGTAATATGTTTTCCAGTGAATTACTTAGATTGTATGTCCTTATGTCAATTACTTTTCTATCTGTAAAACTGAGGTACTGTACATCGTATAGATTGTGAGAGTTAAATGAGCTATAACAGGTGAAGTGCTTAGAACTGTATCTAGCATATAAGTACTCAATACATGTTAGTTGTCATTCATATTGATATTACTGCCTGGTGCTTAAATAAGTTTTTTTGAATTAAACTTAAGCTAAAATTTAGTGTAGGATAACTAAGGTACTTATTTGGAATGGGGGGAAGTTATTATGCTTGGAACTTGGTTTGATGGCTTGTACTATGTGTCAGTCATTTAACTTACCATACTTAATGTACACAACACTTCTTGAAGTAAGAATTATCATTCCTTATTTTCTGGATAAGAAAACAGACTCTCAGACTCTTCAGGGTTCTTCCTTCCTGTTAAATAGTAAAGTTGCAGTGTAACTCTAGATTTGTTTAACTCTAAAGCCTGTTTCTTCACACTACCCTATCCTGCCTTCTGTTTTGATGCTCTGCCATCCATAATTACTAAAGAAAAATATGCTTATTTCCCCAATTTTCTAGTTATGGGTACTCAATGGTGGTTATCCCGTATCTGCAATTTGCTATCTTGTAGTTAGAAGTCAAGCCAATCCCAAGACACAAGAGTAGAATGTTGTAAATTTTTTGGACCTCAGAGATTCTTGTAATATTGGAAGATTCTTTTTTTTCCATCTTAATGCCATTTCAGTAGTATATTGCTATCATATATGTATATATGATTAGAATCAGGGACAGCAGTGTAAGTTGGAGTAACTTTTAAAGGGAGAAAGGACTGGGTTAATAATTATATCTAAAGAATTTAGACAAGCAAAGAAGGACCATTTATTAGATATTCAGCAATACTCGTTACCTTACTAAAGATATAAGTGGAAAATCCCTTAGGTATGAGCTGAGAGGAGTGTTAAAAAAAAAAAAGAAAGAAAGAAAATCCCACTGTTCTTACTATGCAGGCAGAGTTAGGTGATAAATATCATCGACTGCTATCTACACATCAGACACTTGTTCATCAGATGGATAAGATTTCAGTTTCAGTTGCTTATATGACCAACAATAAAGAATTAAATGAACAGAAAGGGAGTATAGCATAGTAGTTAAGAGTGTGAGCTCTGTAGCTGGAATGCTTGGGTATGAACCTCAGCTCTTTATACTAGCTGTGTGACCTTTTGTGTCACAATTTCTTTGTATATAAAAACATTAGGTTTAATGGTTGTGAGGTTTAAATAAGTTAACCAGTGCCTGTACAGAGAAAGCATATCTAGGTATTAGCTATAATGATAATAATATTTTTGTTATTAAATAAGATGATTTGAGTGCTAAGAAAGAAAGAAACTCAGTGATATACTAGTGAGTGAAAGGGTGAATGGATATATGTGCAGTCATGACTACTTTTAGACAGGTTGGTTGGGAGATCTTTTTGATGAGGTGACATTTGATTTGTTTTGAAAGATAAGAAGGAGGCAGCTTGAGCCAACCATGTGAAGAACTGGGGAAAGATCATTTTGGATAGAGAGACTAGCTGTACACAGTCTGAAATGGGAAAGAGTTTAGCATGTCTGAGGAACATAAAAGAGGCCAGTGTTGGCCAGGCGCAATGGCTCACGCCTGTAATCCCAGCACTTTGGGAGGCCGAGGCAGGTGGATCACAGGTCAGGAGATGGAGACCATCCTGGCTAACACGGTGAAACCTCGTCTCTACTAAAAATACAAAAAAATTAGCTGGGCATGGTGGCAGGCGCCTGTGGTCCCAGCTACTCGGGAGGCTGAGGCAGGAGAATGGCGTGAACCTGGGAGGCCAAACTTGCAGTGAGCCGAGATAGTGCCACTGCACTCCAGCCTGGGCGACAGAGCAAGACTCCGTCTCAAAGAAAAAAAAAAAAGGCCAGTGTTAATGAAGCATAATGAGCAAAGGGTCTAGTAGGAGATGAGATTGGAAAAAAACAGGGATGAGAACATAAATGACCTTATAGATTATGGTAAAGAGTTTGAATTTTATTTAAAGTACTTGAGGAAGCCATTGAGAAATTTAAGCAAAGAAGTGAAATAAAATGATTATGTTTTGAAAAGATCATTTTGGTTGCTCCATGGAAATGGATGAAACGTTTATATAGTTTATGTTTGACAAGATCCCTACTTTTTGTTACCCATAGTCCAGTGTTGTTCCCTTTATACCATATTGCTTTATGATGGCCTGTTGTGCCGCCCAAGAGAGATAGGGAAAAGGGTTTACAAGGTTTCAACTAACTCCTAAGTCAGGAAATTCTTGTGGGTGGCTGAAGCTTAGCATAAGGCAGGTGGTACTATGGATTTCCTCCTCTTGAGGGACTGTGGTGTCTAGATCAGCCTTGGTTGTAAGGGGAGGTTATGGTTTCTGTCTTTTACAAAGGAGAGAAATCTAATAGGGGTACTACCACCTCTGTTCTAGAGCTCCTAGTGAGGATAAATACAATCCTAGCCAACTCAGTTTTCGTAATGAAGGAAAGGAATTGGGAAGAACTACACACAACAAGAGTCCTTTTTAAAGTCTGCCTTGGGGGAAGATGAATCAGTTTGACCAAATTTTTCCTAGAAGTGGGCCAGTGTAAAAGGTATTCTATAATAATAACTAAATTCTGAATCTCCGTAGAATTAAAGGTCAAGATTATCTACTTGGGTCCAAAATTAAACCTAAGAGGCTGTAGGTGGGAGGAGGGAGGAAATTGAATATAAGTAAAATTAAACCTACTGAGAGAACTTTGAAGATCCTTCCTCATGTGTGACATTGCACCTTTTTCCTTCATTTCCTTTAACACGGGCCAGTTTAGAGCCTTGGCTACTGTGAAAAAGCTATGAGTCATAGAGACCACATAAGGAATGAATGATTCTAAAGATAAGATAATTGCAGTAAAGAGTTATTCGTGCTATTTTGGGGTGAAAAAATCGACTTGATTTGTCAAAACAATTATTGTTATACCTGTAAATTCTGTATAAAAGGAATTCTTTATGGTCACATAAATCCAGAACCCAAATGAAATCTATTTCACGGCTTAGGAATGGTTTTTTGGAGCTAACCAGGAGGAGGCAGCTAGTTTCCCTTTTGGAGATATAAACTGTGCTCGGCATTATCCTTATGCCACATTTCCCAATTTAAAAGTAAGGAAGATGAAAAAAATTAAGTACAACTTGGATAAAACTCTAAAAGAGAAATACATAAAGGAATATTTGCAGTAGTTAAAAAGAAAAGACCCACTCCAGATCACACACTGGTACTCTGTGTGGATTAAAATTAATAGTTGACAAAAGCTGGTATTTGTAGGTAGCACCTTAAGGGGTAGGGTTAAGGCTGTGAACCTTTCAGAATGTTTTTGGTAGTAAACCCTTAGGAGCTTGCAGTTTAGGATCACAGCGTTGATCTCCTTGGGGAACCAATGGTATGTCATCATGTATGTGATATTTATGTCTCTTACAGGGACAGGACCAGATGGTAGAATCACCAAGAAGGATATCGACTCTTTTGTGCCTAGTAAAGTTGCTCCTGTGAGTTATGTGTAGCTCTTACTTTTTTTGCAGTTTGTCTCTACAGCCTGTTAGACCATTTCATACATTATTTATGAACGAAATAGCTCAACCAAGATTGTTTTCTTCTAATTTCAGTGGTTTAATAATACAGTCATCCCTCGGTACCCATGAGAGGTTGGTTCCAGGAGCCCCCTTGTATACCAAAATTCGCAAATGCTTAAGTCTCTTATATAAAATAGTGTAGTATTTGTATATAACTTACCCACATCCTCTCAAATACTTTAAATCATCTCTAGATTACTTATAATATTAAATACAAGGTAAATACTATGTAAATAGTTGTTATATTTTATTGCTTAGGAAATAATAATAAGGACAAAAAGTCTGTACTTGTGCAGTTCAGATGCAACCATCTGTTTTTTTCTGGAATATTTTTGATTTGCCTTTGGTTGAATCCAGTGATGCAGAACTTATGGATATGGAGGGCCAAGTGTATTTAGATATTTGTGTGCTATCATTTATATACAAGATCAAAGATGATATACTACATTGACATGTATTCCACATTATGTTTTGAGCTAGTTAATCGGTTTTTGCTTTGAAATAAAAGATTTGTTCTTTTTTTCTTTTTCAAAATATTTTAAAGTACAGTTGAATGAGTTGTTTTTGGTGTTTGGTTTTTTTTGTTTGTTTGTTTTTGAGACAGTCTCACTCTGTCGCCCAGGCTGGAGTGCAGTGGCGCGATCTTGGCTCATTGCAACCTCTGCCTCCTGGATTCAGGCGATTCTCATGCCCCAGCCTCCCAGGTGGCTGGGACTACAGGTGCATGCCATCACACCTGGCTAATTTTCGTATGTTTAGTAGAGACAGGGTTTCGCCATGTTGGCCAGCCTGGTCACGAACTCCTGGCCTCAAGTGAGTCATTGTGAGGCTCAAGTGAGCCTCCCAACCCCCTTTTCTTAACATTGTTTAGGATAATGGATTAGCTTGTTTATACTTATTTATTATTCCTTGCAACTTAAGAATGCTTCCATTGCTTTTCTTGAACATAATTTTGCAAAAACAAAATTATTTTGACACAAACTGGTCATTGAACATACTCTGATACAAAGAAAAATGACACTTAAAACATGACTTCAGAATTCTAAGTAAAAAAATTAAAACTCTTAAAACAAGCAGAAGTCTCTTTTGCTCACTGGGGACAGAAATAGGTATTCTATAAAGCTTAGTTTTTAGACTGGACATGGTGGCTCATGCTTGTAACCCCAGCACTTTGGGAAGCCAAGGTGGGTGGATCACTTGAGCCCAGGCATTTGAGACCAGCCAGGGCAACGTGGCTAATTTCCGTCTCTACTAGAAATCCAAAAAAATTAGCTGGGCATGTTGGCGTGCACCTGTAGTCCCAGCTACTCTAGGGGCTGAGATGGGAGGATTGCTTGAGCCCAGGAGGTTGAGGCTGCAGTGAACCATGATTGAGCCACTGCATTCTAGCCTGGGTGACAGAGCAAGACTCTGTCTCAAAAGACAAAAAAAAAAAACTGCATAGTCACTGGCAGTCTTTCCCAGGTACTTACGCTAAGATTGAATCACAGTTACTAAGAGCTTTTTCTTTCCTCCCATAGGCTCCGGCAGCTGTTGTGCCTCCCACAGGTCCTGGAATGGCACCAGTTCCTACAGGTGTCTTCACAGATATCCCAATCAGCAACATTCGTCGGGTAAGAGAATTACCATCATCTGGAATCAGCTGTTAGGGGCATCTTTAGGTTGTTTAGTTGCTTCCATAGTTTTTAACACATTAACAGAGGCTTTTTAAGTTGGGAATATTGGATGATTACTTTAAGGGAAGTTTTGGCCAACTGAATACTTGAATCACTTTGTTCCTATTAGAAGGGCCAGGCGCAGTAGCTCATGCCTGTAATCCCAGCACTTTGGGAGGCCAAAGCGGGCAGATCACAAGGTCCAGACTTCGAGACCAGCCTGGCCAACATAGTGAAACACCCCGTCTCTACTAAAGATACAAAAATTAGCCGGGCATGGTGGCACATGCCTGTAGTCCCAAGTACTCGGGACGCTGAGGCAGGAGAATTGCTTGAACTTGGGAAATGGAGGTTGTGGTGAGCCGAGATCGCACCACCGCACTCCAGCCTGGGCAACATAGCGAGACTCCATCTCAAAAAAAAAAAAAAATCTAGGAGGTGTTATATTATGGCGGAGTCCTCCATCTTTCAATTATAATAATGCTTGAGGTAAGTATTAGCAGAGAGTAAGGTGAAGAGACAAACAGAGCCCTAAATTAGTTAAGGTCTTAACTCAAGATAATTGATTTTTTAAATCTCTTTGGTTTCAGGTTATTGCACAGCGATTAATGCAATCAAAGCAAACCATACCTCATTATTACCTTTCTATCGATGTAAATATGGGAGAAGTTTTGTTGGTACGGAAAGAACTTAATAAGGTAAAAGTTCTGAAAATTCCAACTTTCTAAGTTATAAAAATTTTGTCTTTCCCCACCAAACATTTATATTTTTGTCCATATATTTTGTTACAATATATCAGTTGGTGGTTACTTTCTTGATCTTGTCCTTTGAAGCACAAGATTTTAAATATTGGTTATGTCCACTTTTATCAATTTTTTTCTTCTGTGCTTTTGGTATTATATCTAAGAAACTATTACCTAGTCTAAGGTCATGAAGATTTATACTTTTGTTTCCTTGTAACAGTTTTATACTTTTAGTTCTTATATTCAGGTCTTTGCTCTATTTTGAGTTAATTTTTTATAGGTGGTGTGAGATAGGAATCCAACCATTGTTTTGCATGTGGACATTTATTCTTTCATCCCAGCACCATCTTTCCCCATCGAATTGTCTTGGTATCCTTGTCAAAATTAATCATATATGTGAGAATTTTATTTCCAGATTTTTTTTTTTTTGTAGATCTTGTTATTTTTTGTTTTGTTTTGTTTTATTATACTTTAAGTTCTGGGATACATGTGCAGAACGTGCAGGTTTGTTACATAGGTATACACGTGCCATGGTGGTTTGCTGCACCCACCAACCCATCATCTACATTAGGTATTTCTCCTAATGCTATCCCTCCCCTTAGCCCCCCACCCCCCTACAGGTCCTGGTGTGTGATGTTTCCCTCCCTGTGTCCATGTGTTCTCATTGTTCAACTCCCACTTACAAGTGAGAACATGCGGTGTTTGGTTTTCTGTTCCTGTGTTAGTTTGCTGAGAATGATGGTTTCCAGCTTCATCCATGTCCCTGCAAAGGACACAAACTCATCCTTTTTTTTATGGCTGCATAGTATTCCATGGTGTGTATGTGCCACATTTTCTTTATCCAGTCTATCATTGATGGGCATTTGGCTTGGTTCCAAGTCTTTGCTATTGGGAACAGTGCTGCAGTAAACATATGTGTGCATGTGTCTTTATAGTAGAATGGTTTATAATCCTTTGGGTCTATACCCAGTAATGGGATTTCTGGGTCAAATGGTATTTCTGGTTCTAGATCCTTGAGGAACCGCCACACTGTCTTCCACAATGGGTTGAACTAATTTACACTCCTACCAACAGTGTAAAAGCGTTCCTATTTCTCCACATTCCAGCATCTGTTGTTTCCTGACTTTTTAGTGATCGCCATTGTAACTGGCGTGAGATGGTAACTCACTGTGGTTTTGATTTGCATTTCTTTAATGACCAGTGATGATGAGCTTTTTTTCATGTTTGTTGGCCACATAAATGTCTTCTTTTGAGAAGTGTCTGTTCATATCCTTTGCCCACTTTTTGATGGGGTCATTTGTTTTTTTCTTGTAAATTTGTTTAAGTTCCTTATAGATTCTGGATATTAGCCCTTTGTTAGATGGATAGATTTCAAAAATTTTCTCCCATTCTGTAGGTTGCCTGTTCACTCTGATGATAGTTTCTTTTGCTGTGCAGAAGCTCTTTAGTTTAATTCGACCCCATTTGTCTATTTTGGCTTTTGTTGCCATTGCTTTTGTTGTTTTAGTCATGAAGTCTTTGCCCATGCCTGTGTCCTGAATGGTATTGCCTAGGTTTTCTTCTAGGGTTTTTATGGTTTTAGGTCTTACGTTTAAGTCTTTAATCCATCTTCAGTTATTTTTTGTATAAGGTGTAAGGAAGGAGTCCAGTTTCAGTTTTCTACATATGGCTAGCCAGTTTTCCCAACATCATTGATTAAATAGGGAATCCTTTCCCCATTGCTTGTTGTTGTCAGGTTTGTCAAAAATCAGATGGTTGTAAATGTGTGGCATTATGTCTGAGGCTTCTGTTCTGTTCCATTGGTCTATATATCTGTTTTGGTACCAGTACCATGCTGTTTTGGTTACTGTAGCCTTATAGTATAGTTTGAAGTCAGGTAGCATGATGCCTCCAGCTTTGTTCTTTTTGCTTAGGATTGTCTTGGCTATACGGGCCCTTTTTTGGTTCCATATGAAATTTAAAGTAGTTTTTTTCTAATTCTGTGAAGAAAGTCAATGGTTGCTTGATGAAGATAGCATTGAATTTATAAATTACTTTGGGCAGTATGTCCATTTTCACGATATTGATTCTTCCTATGCATGAGCATGGAATGCTTTTCCATTTGTTTTTGTGTCCTCTCTTATTTCCTTGAGCAGTGGTTTGTAGTTCTCCTTGAAGAGGTCCTTCACATCCCTTGTAAGTTGTATTCCTAGGTATTCTATTCTTTTTATAGCAATTGTGAATAGGAATTCACTCACAATTTGGCTCTCTGTTTGTCTGTTATTGGCGTGTAGGAATGCTTGTGATTTTTGCACATTGATTTTGTATCCTGAGACTTCACTGAAGTTGCTTATCAGCTTAAGGAGATTTTGGACTGAGATGATGGGGTTTTCTAACTATACAATCATGTCATCTACAAACAGACAATTTGACTTCCTCTTTTTCTATTTGAATACTCTTTATTTCTTTCTCTTGCCTGATTGCCCTGGCCAGAACTTCCAATACTATGCTGAATAGGAGTGGTGAGAGAGAGCATCCTTGTCATGTGCCAATTTTTGAGACTGAGTCTCACTCTGTTGCCCAGACTGGGGTGCAGTGGCGTGATCTTGGCTTACTGCAACCTCCACCTTCCAGGTTCAAGCAATTCTCGTCCCTCAGCCTCCCGAGTAGCTGGGATTACAGGTATGAGCCACCAGGCATGGCTAATTTTTGTATTTTTAGTAGGGACAGGATTTCACCATGTTGGCCAGGCTGGTCTCGAACTCTTGACCTCAAATGATCCACCCACCTTGGCCTCCCAAAGTGCTGGAATTACAGCCATGAGCCCCCATGCCTGGCCTATTTCCAGGTTCTTAATTCCATTCCATTAATCTCTGTATACCCTTAATGTCAGTACCACAGTCTTGATTACTTTAGCTTTGTAATAAGTTGTAAAATCAGGAAACGTGAGTCATCTTTGTTCTTTTTTCTCAAGATTTTTTTTTTTTTTTTTTTTTTTTTTTAAAGACAGAGTCTTGCTCTGTCACCCAGGCTAGAGTGCAGTGGCGTGATCTTGGCTCACTGCCAGCTCTGCCTCCCGGGTTCATGCCATTCTCCTGCCTCAGCCTCCCAAGTAGCTGGGACTACAGACGCCCACCACCATGCCCGGCTAATTTTTTGTATTTTTAGTAGAGACGGGGTTTCACCGTGTTAGCCAGAATCAAGATTGTTTTGTCTGAGTCCCTTGCAATTCTAAGTGAATTTTAGGATTAGCTTGTAAATTTCTGCATTGAAGCCAGTTGACATTTTGATAAGGATTGATTGGATGTATCTGCTGATCAGTTTGGCAAGTGTTGCCATCCGAAGAATATAGTCTTTTCATCCATGAACATGTAGATGCCCCTGTATTAGTTAGGTGTTCTTCAGTCTCTTTCAACAGTTTTTTTATAGTTTTTCAGAGTGTAAGTTTTGCACTCTAAATTTGCATTTGTTAAACTTATTTCTAGGTATTTTATTCTTTTTGATACTACTCTAAGTGGAATTGTTTTCTAGATTTCATTTTCAGATTGTTCATTGCTACTATATAAAGGTATGATTGATTTTTTTTTTTTTTTAAGACTAGTCAGGTATACTAGTGAGAAGGGCGGAAGAGTAGAAAAGAAGTTAGATTTATAATGGACTCTGAGCAATCAATTGAGATAACAATTCATTTTTCTATATTGATCTTTTTTTTCATATACCTGCTGAAATGGGATCTATATTGACCTTGTATCCTGCAAACTTGCTGAAGTCATTTATTAGTTCTTACAGTTTTTTAGTGTATTTCTTAGGTTTTTCTGTAAACAAGATAATGTTATCTGCAAATAGAGATAATTTTACTTTTTTCATTTTGACCTGTATGCCTTTTATTTCCTTTCTTGCCTAATTGCTCTGGCTGGCGCCTCTAGGCAATGTTGAATAGGTGTAGCAGAAGTGAACATCTTGTCTTGTTCTCGATCTTTGGGAGAATAAGTCTTTGGTCATTAAATAGTTGTGAGGTTTCCATAGATCAGGTTGAGCAAGTTCCCTCCTGTTCCCAGTTAGTAAGAGTGTTTTGATCATGAAAAGGGGTATTGAATTTTATCAAATGCTCTTTCTGTGTCTGTTGAGATGATTATGTGTTTTTTGTCCTGTATTCTGTTAGGACATTATTACATTAATGGATTTTCAGATGTTAATGGAAATTTGCATTCTTGGGATAAATCAGATTTGATCATGGTGAATGATCCTTTTTATATATTGCTGGATTTTATTTGCTAGCGTTTTGTTGAAGATTTTTACATCTATATTCATAAGATATTAGTGTGTACTTTTTTTTTTTTTTCTTCTAATGTCGTCTTTGGTTTTGGTATCAGGCTAATCCCGGCCTTACAGAATGTGTGGGGAAGTGTTTCTTGCTCTTCTTTGATTTTTCTTTGAAAGAATTTGTGAGGAATTGATATTAATTCTTCTTTAATATTTGGTAGAATACTGACGAAGCCATTTGGGTCTAAGCTTTTCTACATGGGTAGTTTTTAAATTACCAGTTCAATCTCTTTGTTAGTTATAGGTCTATTCAGAGTTTTTGTTTCTCCTTGGTTCAGTTTTGGTAGCTTGTGTCTGTATGGTTGTTCATAGTATTCCCTATAATTCTTTTTACTTCTGTAAGGTAGATAGTAATGTCCCCTATTTCACTCCTAATTTTAGAAATTCTAGTCTTCTCTCCTCTTCTTGGTCAGTCTAACTAAACATTTATCATTGTGGTTGTCATTTGATTGATCTTTTCAAAGAACCAAATTTTGTTATTGTTGAGATGAATGAAAATGATGACATAACATACTGTAACTTATGGGATTATGCTAAAGCAGTGCTTAGCAGGAAACAGCTGTAAGAGTCCGCATTTAAAAAGATGAAAGAACCAATGTTTGGTTTCATTTCTTTCTTTCCACCTCAGGATATTTGTATATTCTCTTTCTCTTCCTCCTTTTCTCACGATTATACAGTTTTACTCTTTGGTGAGAGAATTTAGAAACTACAGTTGTCCGGGGAGGGAAAGCATTAGGAAAAATAGCTGATGCATGTGAGGCCTAATACCTGGGTGATGGGTTGACAGGTGCAGCAAACCACCATGGCACATGTTTACCTATATAATAAACCTGGACATTCTGCACATGCACCCTGAAACTTAAAATTAAAATTAAAATTAAAAAAGAAGAAACTACAGTTCTTCTTGTCTTTCCAGATATTAGAAGGGAGAAGCAAAATTTCTGTCAATGACTTCATCATAAAAGCTTCAGCTTTGGCATGTTTAAAAGTTCCCGAAGCAAATTCTTCTTGGATGGACACAGTTATAAGACAGTAAGTATAACTGGGGAAGATATATATCCATCGGTAGTTTTCTTGTATTATTTAATGTGTGAGTGGAGTTGAGGGGATAAGGAGAAATGGAATACAGAGAGGCAGATGACTTACATAGGTCAAACAACTTGAAAACAACACAAAAATGTTTATGAGTTACTGCTTTTTACTTTTTTTTCTTACTGGCCCCAATTTTCAACCTTGTTTTTGTTTTTGTTTTTGTTGTTGTTGTTGATTTATTTTTTAAAGAGATAGGGTCTTGCTCTGTTGTCCAGGCTGGTCTTGAACTCTTGGGCTCAAGCAATTCTACAGCCTCGGCCTCCCAAAGTTCTGGGATTTCAGGTGTGAGCCACAGTGTCCAGCCTGCGATATTGCTGGATTTAGCTAGTAAAGGCTATAGATTCTTTGTATGAGTTCAGCAAAGGGAGATTAGTGAACAAATATGTGTAATTAAGTTGATAATGACTGTCACAAAGCAGGGTTAAACAGATGATTTTCATTCTCCTGAACTTTACGGGCAAAATTAGAACAGTAATTGTTAATAATACAATGGTATAGAGTAGTATGGTACTCAGTGTGTCTCTTTTATCTCATTCAATTCTCATGACTATCTTATGATTTAAGTGCTTTCACTTCCATTTCTAGATAAAGAAACAGACTCCGTGAGTTAAGTAACTTGCCCTGAGTTAATAAATTAGTGTTAGGACTGTGATTAGAACCAAGATTCTGACTCCTAAGCCTATTCGTTTCTTGCTGTGTAGATGCTTCTATGTTATTCTTATTCTGAAAGGAAAAAAACAAACTTTTTTCCTTTGTACTTTGCTGTCACACAGTCACAGCACCGCTTCTGTGACCAGATGAGTAGAGGCAGGGGTGGGGAGGGTTTCCCCACACACCAACCAAACAATTAATTCTGCAGTGATTTCCTCTAATTCAATTCAATTCAATTCTGGTGCTGTCTACCTGTAGATAGTGTCAGATCCCAAAGATTGAGGGCTCAGTCCTACAAGACTGCCCTCACTTCAGATGCCAGTCAAAAGTGTAGGCCACTCATACTTGTAACTGACTGGCTACAAACTTGTTGCTGTGACCTCTTCCTTGGGTTTGATTAACTTGCTAGGACAATTCACAGAACTTGGGGAAACACTTTATGTTTATTATAAAGGATATTACAAAGGATATGGATGAACACCAGATGAAGAGATGGCTAGGGCGAGGTTTGAGGTGGGGTGGTGCAGAGCTTCCATGTCCTTTCTGGGCATACCACCCTTCCAGCACTTCCACAGTTCAGCAACTGGAAGCTCATTAAATCTTGTTGAAGGGTCTTAATAGAGGGGGCTGGGGAGAAAAAGGAAAGGAAGAAAAAAGTCTTTGTAGAGTTTGATCTCCAGGATCTCCAGCCTACATCTCCCTCCCCTTTCCCTTAGGTCAGTGGGTAGAGCTAAAAGTTCCAACTCTCTAATCCTCTAGTCATTTTGACCCTTCCAGTGACTGGCGCCATCCCGAGGTTACTTAGGGATCCCACCCTAAGTATCCGTCATGGAGCTTATTATATAAGGGCTCATTATAAATAACAAAACATACTCCTATCACTCAGGAAATTCCGGTTCTAGGGGCTCTATGACAGGAACTGGCAACATGGGGACAAAGACCAAGTATATATTATACCACACTTACTAATATTTATTAATATTTTAGGGCCGGGCTCACACCTGTAATCTCAGCACTTTGAGAGGCCGAGGCAGGTGGATCACTTGAGGTCAGGAGTTCGAGACCAGCCTGGCCAACATGGTGAAACCCCATCTCTACTAAAAATACAAAAATTAGCTGAGCGTGGTGGTGCATGCCTGTAATCTCAGCTACTTGGGAAGCTGAGGCAGGAGAATTGCTTGAACCCAGGAGGTGGAGGTTGCAGTGAACTGAGATTGTGCCATTGCAGTCCAGCCTGGGTGATAAGAGCAAAACTCTGTCTCAAAAAAATATTTTCCTAATAAATATTAAATTTAGGTTAGAATACTGCTCCATGGCTTAGAGTGACTTGTTCTAACCCTTAATCTGAGGTCAGTTCCCAGGAGGCAAACACAACTGTTTGTTTTTTTTTGTTTTTTGTGTTTTGTTTTTGTGACAGAGTCTCTTTCTGTCGCCTAGGCTAGAGTGCAGTGGCGTGATCTTGGCTCACTGCAACCTCCGCCTCCCGAGTTCAAGCAATTTTCCTACCTCAGCCTCCTGAGTAGCTGGGATTACAGGCATGCGCCACCACTCCCAGGTAATTTTTTTGTAGTTTTAGTAGATATGGGGTTTCACCATATTGGCCAGACTGGTCTTGAACTCTTGACCTTGTGAGCCGCCCACCTTGGCCTCCCAAAGTGCTGGGATCACAGGTGTGAGCTACCACGCCCAGCCCTTAAACACAGCTTTTAAACTATTGTTTCTTCTGGTATTTATTTACCTGCAGATTTCCAAATAACATTTTTCTGTTGCCTTTTATGAGTTTTTCATTTATTTTACTTTATTGACTGACTCCCCGTTAAAGAACATTAATATTTAGCTTTAGCTCCAGTCTTGGGACTAGAGAGAAAAAAAAAGGTAGGTTTGTTATGCCCTTCCTACATACACACACATAACACCATCTTCCCAAATTGATTGTAGCACAAATTTGGATTAAATCTATATTTGGGGCCAGGTATGGTGGCTCACACCTGTAATCCCAGCACTTTGGGAGGCCAAGGCAGGTGGATCGCCTGAGGTCAAGCGTTCGAGATCAGCCTGGCCAACATGGTGAAACCCTGTCTCTGCTAAAAATACAAAAAAAAAAAAATAGCTAGGTATGGTGGTGCGCGCCTGTAGTCCCAGCTAATCAGGAGGCTGAGGCAGGAGAATTGCTTGAACCTGGGAGGCGGAGGTTGCAGTGAGCTGGGATTGCACGCGCCACTGCACTCCAGCCTGAGCAACAGAGCAAGACTGCATTTCAAATAATAATAATAATAAATAAATATAAATCTATATTTGGTTAATTTTTTTAGAGTATGTGTGTGTGTCCAGTGTTAATATTTGAATGCCTGTGACAGTGATTGTGTATGACTAAGACATGTATGATACCATGAATGCTAACCTAATTGATTTTAATAATTGCTTTAGGGAAGGCTAGTTTTCTACGTATATGTGAATTCTTTCTGAAACTCCACAAGCGAGGAGAGGAGATTCAGAAACCATTAAACCATTTCTCAATCTGATCAAACCTATTGGGTAAACTCTTTGTTCTAACTTTTCCTTGGTCATTCTTCATTTGGAGAACATCTGGACATCTAATATTCTTTATAAACTGTATAGTTTTCCAGGGCTGCCATTATTAATGACCACAAAGTTGATGGATTAAAACAAATTTATTCTCTCACAGTTCGGGAAACAAGTCTGAAATCAGGGTTTCAGCAGGGGCAATGCGTTCCCTCCAAAGACTATAGAGAAGAATCCTTCCTTGCCTTTTCCAGTTCTGGTGGCTTTAGGCATTTAGTGGTTTGTGATTGCATAACTCCAGTCTCTTCTTCCATCTTTACATGGCCTTCTCCTCTGTGTCTGTATTTTCTCTTCTCTTAAGAGGACAGTTGGTATTGGATTTAGGGCCACTCAGATAATATAGGATGATCTTATCTCAGGATCCTAATTATACCTTCAGAGACCTTTTTCCAAATAAGGTCACATTGATAGGTTCCAGGGATTAGGACAAAGACTTATCTTTTGGAGGGCCACCATTCATCCCACTAAACAGACTTTAGTCTTCCTGTTTTCAGCATTATTCATACTACTGACTCGTGGAGAGTTTTCTGGAGCCTGGCAGAAATGGCTTGCTTAAGGCATTGACAGTCTTCCGTAATTCAGTCAAGGCCTATTTTTTTTTTTTTTTTTTTTTTTTTTGAGATGGAGTCCTGCTCTGTCGCCCAGGCTGGAGTGCAGTGGCGCAATCTCGGCTCACTGCAACCTCCGCCTCGTGGGTTCATGCCGTTCTCCTGCCTCAGCCTCCCGAGTAGCTGGGACTACAGGTGTGCACCACCACGCCCGGCTAATTTTTTTGTATTTTTAGTAGAGATGGGGTTTCACCATGTTAGCCAGGATGGTCTCGATCTCCTGACATTGTGATCTGCCTGCCTTGGCCTCCCAAAGTGCTGGGATTACAGGCGTGAGCCACCGCGCCCGGCCAAGGCCTATATTCAACTATTGCTCCTCTCTAAACCCCTCTTCTTGTGCCATTCTGAGTTAGCCACTGTTACTGAACATACCTTTCAGTTCTCTCCTTCTAGGATGCTGTTTGGGCTTTCCTGTTCCTTGCTTTTAGATGCATTCCTTTTCCGTGCTATGGCCACCGTGATGATCGTCACAGCAGCAAACATTCAAGGAATTTATATTCCTTAAATATAAATACAGGATACTTAAAATCTAGATAAGAGGCAGGAATTTTTTTTTTAATATTCCTTTAATTCTCCTCTGTGCCAGCATATAGACACTTTTTTTTTTTTTTTTTTTTTTTTTTTTTTTTTTTTTTGAGGTGGAGTCTCGCTCTTTTGCCAGGCTGGAGTGCAATGGTGCTATCTCCGCTCATTGCAACCTCCGCCTCCCGGGTTCAAGCGATTCTCCTGCCTCAGCCTCCCGAGTAGCTGGGACTACAGGCACATGCCACCACACCCAGCTAATTTTTGTATTTTTAGTAGAGATGGGATTTCACCATGTTGGCCAGAATGGTCTCAATCTCTTGACTTTGTGATCTGCCTGCCTCGGCCTCCCAAAGTGCTGGGATTACAGCATGAGCCACCGTGCCTGGCCGCATGTAGACACTTTTTAACATTTAATTTGCCATTTTACGTATCATAAAATGTACCTGCTCTAAGTGTACAATTTCTTGATTTTTGTTAAAGGTGCAGAATTACGCAGTCTTTACCACAATCTAATTTTAGAAATTTTCATCACCCCCAAAAGATCACTCATGCTCATTTATAGTAAATTCTTATTTTCACCTTCAGCCCCTGGGCAATTTGTTATAGTGCTTGAGTCTATAGATTTGTATTTTCTAGACCTTTTATAGAAATGGAGTCATAAAATATGTGGTCTTTTGCATCTACTTTCTTTCACTTAACGAAATGTTTTTGAGACTCATCCATGTTGTAGCATGTATCTGTAGTTTATTCTTTTTTATTGCTGTATAGTGTTTAATCGTATCAATATACCTCTTTATCATTCACCAGTTAACATGTTTTCCAGTTTTTTGCTATTATGAATGATGCTACTATGAGTATTTACATACAGTTATTTGTGTGGACATATATTTTTATTTCTCTTCAGTAGATTCCTAGGAGTGGAATACCTGAGTCATAGGGTAAAATTATGTTTAATTTTTAGAGAAACTTCTACATTATTTTTCAAAGTGGTTGCACCATTTTACCTTCCCACCAATAGTGGATAAGTGTTCCAGTTTCTCTATGTCCTCATCAATATTTGTTACCGTGTGGGTGTGAAGTGAGAACCATCTACTTGTGAGAGTATCTCGCTTTATTGCACTTTGATTTATTGTGCTTTTTTATAAATTGAAGGCTTGTGGCAACCCTCTGTCAAGCAAGTTGATGGCACCATTTTTCCAACAGCATGTGCTCACTTCCTGTCTCTGTGTCACATTTTGGCAATTCCTAGAGTATTTCAAACTTTATTATTGTATCTGTTATGGTGACCTGTGATCAAGGATCTTTGATGTTACCATTGTAATTGTTTCAATGCCCCATGAACCATGCCCATATAAGATGGCAAACTTCATTGATAAATTTTGCATGTGTTCTGACTGGTTGATAGAATTGATAGAATTATCAACCAGCTGTTCCTCTGTCTCTCTCCCTCTCCTTGGGCCTCCCTATTCCATGAGACACAATAAAACTGAAATCAGGCCAATTAGTAACTCTACAATGGCCTCTGAGTGTTTCAGTGAAAGGAAGACTTTCACGTCTCTTACTTTAAATCAAAAGCTAGAAATGATTAAGCTCAATGAGTAAGGCATGTCAAAAGCCAAGATCGGTTGAAAGCTAGGCCTCTTGTGCCAAACAGCCAACTTGTGAATACAAAGAAAAAGCTCTTGAAAGAAATGAAAAGTACTATCCTGGTGAACACACGAATGATAAGAAAGTGAAACAGCCTTGTTGCTGATACGGAGAAAGTTTTGAGTGGTCTAGATAAAAGATTAAACCAGGTACAGCATTCCCTTAAGCCAAAGCTTAATTCAGAGCAAGGCCCTAACTCTCTTCAATTCTTTGAAGGCTGATAGAGGTGAGGAAGCCGCGTAACAGAAGTTTGAGGCTAGCAGAGGTTGGCTCATGAGGTTGAAGGAAAGGAGGCCATAATAACATAAAAGTACAGGGTGAAGCAGCAAATTATTCAGAAGATACAGCTAAGATAATTGATATCCCTCATCAGTCGGCAGCCATCAACATCAAGGCAAGATCTACCAGCAAAAAATTACAATTCACTAAAAGTTCAGGTGATTTTTAGCATATTTTAGCAATAAAGTATTTTTAAATTAAGGTGTATACATTGGTTTTTTGTTAGTCACGATGCTATTGCACTCTTAGTAGACAACAGTGTAGTGTTAAGCATAACTTTTGTATGTACTAGGAGATCAGAAAATTCATGTGACTCGCTTTATTGCAATATTATTTTGGTGGTCTGGAACTGAACCTGGAATATCAAGATATTTCTATACTTAGATGAAGAAATTGAGGTTGTCTGTTAATTCTAACCAAACACCATTCATTTACTTGTTCATACACCCATTCAACATTTATTTAACATGTACTGTTTACTGGATTCAGTGGTGAACAATATAGGGAATACTGTCCTTACTGTCTCAAAGGGAAGATGATTGAACAAGCAATATTGTAATAATTTATTCAAGAAAGCAGTATTTGCTGTGTGATACCTTGGCTACAGTTCTGTGGTAATTAATGAGTCATACACGGTATTTTTATTAGAGCAGGTTCCTGTGTTTGTTTGCAAGTGACAAAATCCTGCTCTAGCCAACTTAGGCAAATTGGGGGATTTGGTACCCACTGATCTTTTTGGAGCTTGTGCCTAGAAAGAGCTGGAGTTCTTTGGAGGCAGAGCTGTGCCTTTGTTTGAAGTCTTAACTTTTTCTCGATTGCAGAACACTAGCAGGGGCCCTTAGGCAGACCCCAAGGAGACCACGGATAAAATCCATGAATCCATGAGCTTGTGAACTTCAGTTGGGGTGGGGGAAGGGGGGGGTGGGGGGGGGGAATCACCTTTTTTTTTTTCTACTAACATTTAGCATTTCTTCCTTTTATAAATGTAGAGAACAGATCAAATGTTAACAGTACTTGTGTCTGGTGACCAATAAAAATCAGTTATTTTCATATCACATTGTAGTTGTATATATCTCAAAATGTTATTTTGTTCATCCCTGCTTCAAAATGATAGCCATTATTAGACCTGCAACAAGATCTTATTATTGAGTGAATACAGAAGCACATTTGTCATAATTTTGCTTTTGAACCGTTTGATAACTGAATTTCAGTATAGTTTCTCTCTTTTTTCTAGTAATTTGAGTATTTTCAGTGTTAAAAAGGTATTCTGAGATAAGATCCAGATGCATAGGGACACATTCTGTAGAAAAGATTGGGACTCCTTGATAACAGAAGATCTGATATTGTGTAAAAAAAAAAAAAAGATTGGGACCCCTTACTTTTACGTTCTTCTGAGGTACCACCACCCATGTATCCTGAGCACTCCTATTTCTTGCTACAATGCAGTTCTTTCCCTTCACTCTTCCTTTCATCTGCTCAAACTACTTGCAGAGACTCAACTGCAGCCAATGTACGTCCACTCAAAATCCAAGGAGTTCTGATTGGTGGGGTTTTCTTTCAGCTGCATTCACGTGTCGGTCAAGGCAGACGGCAGGGGATGTTAGACGATATGTGCGAAACCAACCTACTGCTGCTGACACATTTCTCATTCTTTTTTTTTTTTTTTTTTCTTGGCAGGCGGTGGGGTCAGGGGCAGGGGCAGCGTTGGGGGATGGAGTCTCGCTCTGCTGCCCAGGCTGGAGTGCAGTGGTGTGATCTCAGCTCACTGCAACCTCCACCTCCCAGGTTCAAGTGGTTCTCCTGCCTCAGCCTCCTGAGTAGCTGGCACTACAGCTGTGCACCACCATGCCCAGCTAACTTTTGTATTTTTGGTAGAGACAGAGTTTCGCCATGTTGGCCAGGCTGGTCTCAAACTACTGACTTCAAGTGATCCGCCCACCTCAGCCTCCCAAAGTGTTGGGATTACAGGCATGAGCCACCGTTCCCGGACCTCTCTTTGATTTTTAATAACTACAAGTCAAGGAGAGGGCACAGCAAAATGTAAAAATTAGGATAGACATCTTAATTTTTGTCTTTGGCTGAACAATAACACACATTGGTTCAAAAAATTTTTGAAGTAAATATAAATATTCTTGCTTAACCTGGCACACAGGCTCTTAATAAACAGTTTTTTATTATATTTATTTTTCTTTTTAAACAGAAATCATGTTGTTGATGTCAGTGTTGCGGTCAGTACTCCTGCAGGACTCATCACACCTATTGTGTTTAATGCACATATAAAAGGAGTGGAAACCATTGCTAATGATGTTGTTTCTTTAGCAACCAAAGCAAGAGAGGGTAAACTACAGCCACATGAATTCCAGGTAGGGTATTAATTATTGCTTTCTAATTATGTTATTTTTAAGGTTTGCATAATGCATTTATTGCATTTTTCACCTTTTGATTCTGTCACGTAATTTTTTTTTTTTTTTTTTTTTTTGAGACGGAGTCTCTCTGTCACCCAGGCTGGAGTGCAGTGGCATGATCTCGGCTCACTGCAAGCTCCGCCTCCTGGGTTACGCCATTCTCCTGCCTCAGCCTCCCAAGTAGCTGGGACTACAGGCACCTGCCACCACGCCCGGCTAGTTTTTTGTATTTTTAGTAGAGACTGGTTTTCACCATGTTGGCCAGGATGGTCTTGATCTCCTGACCTTGTGATCCGCCTGCCTCAGCCTCCCAAAGTGCTGGGATTACAGGCATGAGCCACCACGCCCAGCGTAATTCTTTTTTGAAACAGAGTCTCACTCTTGTCACCCAGGTTGGAGTACAATGGTGCAATCTTGGCTCACTGCAACCTCCGCCTCCCAGGTTCAAGCAATTCTCCTACCTCTGCCTCCTGAGTAGCTGGTATTACAGGCATGCACCACTGCACCTGACTAATTTTGTGTGTGTGTGTATGTTTTTAGTAGTGTCGGGGTTTCACCATGTTGGCCAGGCTGGTTTCAAACTCCTGACCTCAAATGATCCACCCGCCTCACCCTCTCGAAGTGCTGGGATTACAGGTGTGAGCCACTGTGCCTGGCCTGCCACGTAACTCTTATTGACACACCGTTCTGAAAATAAAGTAAAATTCAATCATATATCCAAAAGAAGATATTGTTTGAAAATAAGACATTTTCCGGCTGACATTTTTGTTCATATTGTAATGGTTGTATATCTTCAGTAATGTGTATTCCATTCAGGCCTTTCTTAAGACCTTGCACCTTTTTAGCTTAAGGTCTTTTCACAGAACATTTGTCAAGTTTTCTGATTTATGTTGACAAACTATAATTTATTTTTAATTTTTTTTCCTCTAGGGTGGCACTTTTACGATCTCCAATTTAGGAATGTTTGGAATTAAGAATTTCTCTGCTATTATTAACCCACCTCAAGCATGTATTTTGGCAATTGGTGCTTCAGAGGATAAACTGGTCCCTGCAGATAATGAAAAAGGGTAAGTGCCAAAATGGAGGGGAAGTCGTAAGCTAATTTTTATTACACTGTACACTTGTCCTGTGGTATCCTCAGGGGATTGGCTCCAGGAACCCCCTCAAATATCGTGATCCACAATGCTCAAGTCCCTGATATGATATGATGTAATATTTGCATATAACCTACACACATTATTCTGTATACTTTATTCTTGACTTATAATAATACAATACCTAAACAGCACTTCATTCACATGGATCCAGTGTAGTGCCCGGTGTGCAGCAAATTCAAGTTGTGCTTACTGGAAATTTGTGGAATTGTTTACTTTCTGGATATTTTGATCCATGGTTGGTTGAATCTATGGATTCGGAACCCATGGATATATGGAGGGTCAACCATACCTGTTTTTGAGTATCAGTGTTTTTTTTGTTTGTTTGTTTGAGATGGAGTCTCACTCACCCTGTCACCCAGGCAGAAGTGCAGTGGTGCCATCTCGGCTCACTGCAATCCCCGCCTCCCAGGTTCAAATAATTCTCCTGCCTCAGCCTCCCAAGTAGCTATAGCTGGGATTACAGGCATGTACTACCACACTTGGCTAATTTTTGTATTTTTAGTAGACATGTTGTTTCACCATGTAGGCCAGGCTGGTCTTGATCCTGACCTCAAATGATCTGCTCACCTCAGCCTTCCAAAGTGCTGGGATTACAGGAATGAGCCAGTGTGCCTGGCCAGAGTCTCAGTTTTATATATAGTTATTGGCATGCTATATTGTATCTTCAAATAAAATTATATATATATAAAAAATACGAAATTCTTCAAGGCAGCAACTTTACTAAATGCAGTTAGTCCTATTTGAGGTGGAAAGCCTTATTTATTCTAGGTGAGGAGTCAGCATGCTTTTTTTTAGTTGTATAGTAAGTATTTTAGGCTTTCTGGGACATATGGCTGCTGTTGCAAATAATCTGCCATTGTAGTATGAAGGGAGGCATAAACAAGACAAATGAATTGCAGTAAATCTTTACCTAATAAAAACAGGCAGAGGACAGGATTTGGCCCATTGCCCACCCATACTCCAGGTATCTGGTCTGTTTCTTCAAGCTATAAATTTGAGCTAAAGGTATAGGAGACTGGAAGAGTAGATAGGAAGTATTACCTGGTTGGGATTATAGGGTAGGAGTGAGCATTTGGGTGGTTACTGGCTGAAATGCAGTATTTTCTTTCAGAATATCTAAAATGTCTTTATCTTTTTCTAGGTTTGATGTGGCTAGCATGATGTCTGTTACACTCAGTTGTGATCACCGGGTGGTGGATGGAGCAGTTGGAGCCCAGTGGCTTGCTGAGTTTAGAAAGTACCTTGAAAAACCTATCACTATGTTGTTGTAACTAACTCAAGAATTTCTAAACTCTCCCAGGTCACACTGATTCATTCTTAACAAGATATTTATATGTTATTAAACAGGTGGTTCTTTTTATTTTAACCAGTTATTTTTATTATTGAGTCTGTCCAGATAAGTTATTTATAATGGGCATTACTGAATTTTTAAAATGCCGATTACACCCAAATATTGTGCACATTTAATAATCAGACACCAGATTTTTAGCTCTGTACTCCTAATTAAGGGACATGTATGTGGCCTTGCCTAGCCCTTTGGTGATAAGTACTTCCTCTAGGAAATGTACGATAGGTAGAATTGTGGTTCCCTAAAGACAAGTACATAAAGGTGACCCTGATGAAACCTTGAAGTTCTGAAATTTAACTGCCTAAAATGTTCTCCTTAGATGTGAGAGAAAGAGAAATCAGAAAAATTAATTCTCTTGGGGGAAGGGCTTGAATTGAAGCTTTACTTTAGAATTTAGCCCTGGTTTGAAATTTTCCATTACATGATCTTGGTTTATCATCGATGGGAAGGGTAGAAAACTTCAAGGAAAATAAGTGAAATTTTAAAAGTCAGCATTTTCTTAGACCTCTTCAGCTGATTGTTTATTTTTCTATGAATTCCTACACATGGTTATTCCCCCCTACTTGAGATAATCTAAATATAAACCAGCTACTTGATGTAACTGAGAATTTGTGTGGATATTTATTTAAACAAATGTGTAATTTTGAGTACAGAATTCAACAGTTACCTCCAAAAAAGAAACATTGTTAATATAATTTAACAGAAGTTGTGAAACTAAAATTTTCTAAGATTAACTGGTAGTTCATTGTAAATGAACATAATGAACAGAATTTATGACTCCACTGTGGAAAATGCTATCAAATAACTAAGGAATATATATGGAATAAGTGTACATATGTAAAATATTGTTACTAGAGTTAGATATGTGCCAAAGTCCATTTATCCCAAATCCTGTCTGAAAAGGAGGGGTACATTGGTAAACATTTTGGAGTGCTTAAAAATGCCAAAAACAAAATGGTAATTTCTACTTTGATAAAGTAAAAAAGTTAAATGTGTGTAAAAAAGTGTTCTGTGTCCTTCTACTCCAGCATCGTCTCATGTAAAATAAGAAAGCCCTAAAATACTATTGGAGAGAAAAAATTAACTAGGTTGCTACTTTATTTGCCTAAATACTTTTTTCTATTTTGTTAGATTTTGCCTTTCTTTTGGAAGGAAGGAGGCGATATTCTGGATTATAAAAATGAATTGGGAACATTATCACAATTCCAGACTTTCTATTAATATTTATGTGTTTTAATAAACGTTTGAAATTATTTATGACTACTTAAAATGAATCTGACCAGTGCTTCCTGGTATATGTAATATGTGGAGTTAGCCCCTGAAATTTGCTTTAAGTGTTTCAGTGTTGAATCTGTTTCTAAATATTCATTATTACATGGTACACAAGTGACACTCCATATATTCCACACAGACTTTTACCTTGCTGTATTATTATGAAAACAATACATTAATTTGATTTTTCAGTAATTAGTAATTTTAGGTTGAAGATTATCCAAAAGAAACAAGCTTATCACAAGGGACCATCATCAATATGATCCAAATCTGGTTCAAACATTCAAAACTTCAAAGATAATTCATCTTTCGCTAATGCTTGTGGTTCTGTTGTTCCCTTGAAAAAAAATAAAAACAGTTGCCTTCTAATAAACATTGTTGAGTTAAAAATTAATCTGAGCTATAATCTAAATCGATTCAGTCTCTTACCAGAACTGAAAGAAAAAAGTTAGAAATAGTGTTTTTGGTTCATATGATTATTTAAAAATTAAAGTATAAATCTTCAATATGTCTGGTTTAATTTTTGGTCTGTTGGTAATTATTTTCACATTTAAATTATTTAGATCTAGGGACAGCCATGTATGTATAAGCTCTCAATACAGATAAATTTTGAGTTTATATAATTGGCAAAATATGGACTACATTTAGGAGAATATAATCTAACACTTTTAAGCTCAAAGAGTTCCTGAAGCACCCCATGTTGGGGTGTGGCACTTATTATCAAGATGGAAAGTGTGGTCTGGTTCTGTTAGGTGATTTATTCCCAATTCTGAAGCTTGTGATTGTGAAGTTAGGGTATCCCAAGGCATGGTCTAGAAAGGAGTAAACCAGCACATTAGAGAGATAGGAGGAATGTTCATCATGTGTAATGCACAAGTCCTGGAATACATGGGGAAATCATCATCACTACTGGTAAGTGATCTAAAAATGAAGTCTGTAGAAAAATCTGGTCTCCAAATTTTTTTTTTTTTTTTTTTTGAGATGGAGTCTGTGTCGCCCAGGCTGGAGTCCAGTGGCACAATATCAGCTCACTGCAACCTCTGCCTTCTGGGTACAAGTGATTCTCCTGCCTCAGTCTCCTGAGTAGCTGAGATTACAGGTGCCTGCCACCACGCCCAGCTAATTTTTTGTATTTTTATTAGAGACAGGGTTTCACCGTGTTAGCCAGGATGGTCTCTATCTCCTGACCTTGTGATCTGCCCACCTCAGCCTCCCAAAGGGCTGGGATTACAGCTGAGCCACCACGCCCAGCCTCCAAATTTCTAATTTTGAGAAAAAGAAATCTCAGTAAGATTCCAATTTAAACCAGTCCATAGTTCATTATTAGTTAATGCCCTTACTGGGCCCCATTTTGTTTTTTGTAGGGAGGGGAAGATAGAGCTGTTTTTATTAATACAAAATGAGTGAGAATATTTTGGAAAATAACTAGAATGTAAATTTTACCACTTTAAGTATATTAGGTCTTGATGTGCATTTTAATGAGTATACAAACACAGATACTGATGAAAATAGCATCTAAGTGCTGAGTGCAAGGGTAGAGATTCAATTCTATGTGGTTAGGAGTTTTTAGGAAATACATTTTGGTAGTGATTTTGTAGGAGTAAAGATAAGGTGAAGGCACTCAGTTTTTTTGAGGGGTGAGAATAGGTTTGTTAATTTTAGGACATGATACAGTTCCAGAAATTTTTCAGGAGATAAATTATCCTGTTGCTAGTAGAATTTAAATCCAGGCCAGGCCTTCAAAAAGGAGATTTGAGGCAAGGAAAAAAAAACAAAAATCCAGACCAGGCTTAAGAAAATTATATTTGCTTTTAGGCTAGGCCCAGTGGCTCACGCCTGTAATCCCAACACGTTGGGAGGCCGAGGCGGGCAGATCACTTGAGGTCAGGAGTTTAAGACCAGCCTGGCCAACATGATGAGACCCAGTCTCTACTGAAAATGCAAAATTTAGCTGGGTGTGGTGGCAGTCGCCTGTAATCCCAGCTACTGGGGAGGCTGAGGCAGGAGAATCACTTGAACCTCGGGATGGGGCAGGGGTAGGGGGCAGAGGTTGCAGTGAGCCAAGATCGCGCCACTGCACTCCAGCCTGGGTGACCGAGCGAGACTCTGTCAAAAAAAAAAAAATTATATTTGCTTTTAAATGTCATGTATCAGTTATTTCTGTTATACAACATTAGTTTCTATAGTTAAAAAGTTTTAAAAGTAGTAAGAACTTTGGCCTGCATGTTGAACTAGAAACTTTATTACAAGGATAATTAAAGGAAACTTGTATCTAGAAAAGATAATTAAGGGATGTTTAAAGTCTGCATATAGCTTACTTGATGTATAAATTGGATAGTTGGTACCTTTGTATTTCAGAGCTTAGAAGAGATGAATGTACATCACTTTTGTACTTCTGATCATTTCTTTAGGGGAAAAGCACTTGTCCCAATGTCAACTACTTTTTTTGTTCAAATATGAGATATATTTTTGCAGGCCGGGCGTGGTGGCTTACGTCTGTAATGTCAGCACTTTGGGAGGCCAAGGCAGGCGGATCACCTGAGGTCAGTTCGAAACCAGCCTGGCCAACATGGAGAAACCCTGTCTTTACTAAGTATACAAAAATTAGCTAGGGGCGGTTGCGGGCGCCTGTAATCCCAGCTACTCGGGAGGCTGAGGCAGGAGAAACGCTTGAACCCAGGAGGTGGAGGTTTCAGTGAGCTGAGATTGCGCCACTGCATTCCAGCTTGGGCAACAAAGCAAGATTCCGTCTCAAAAAAAAAAAAAGATATATTTTGTTTGCTGTTACTATGTCATTGTATCCAATCTATCGACAAGTCTATATATGATACTAAAATGTCTGGCTGGGTAGCTGGGTCTCCTGGCAGAGTTGTTTAACTGAAGTACAGAGGTTAGGGGCTGAGTGCCATGGCTCACGTCTGTAATCCCAGCACTTTGCGAGGCTGAGGCAGATGGATCACTTGAGGTCAGGAGTTCAAGACCAGCCTGGCCAACATGGTGAAACCCTTTCTCTACTAAAAATGCAAAAACTAGCCAGGCGTGGTGGCACATGCCTGTGATCCCAGCTACTAAGGAGGATGAGACGGGAGGATCGCTTGAACCTGGGAGGCGAAGGTTGCAGTGAGCCGAGATTGTGCCACTGCACTCCAGCCTGGGCAACACAGCGAGACTCAGTCTCAGTGAAGTACAGAGGTTAAATAGGCTTGAATATTATATTTGACCCTGTATTTTTATTGTTGGAGGAGACTCACTGATATGGCCCATCCTGATAATAAAAAACTTCTTGCACAGTCTGGAATTTCTTCCTGATAGAAAAATTTACTAGAGACTTTTTCAAGCAGTAAACCAAGAGTTCTCACTTGTTACTTGGAAACAATTAGAATTTTCCCAAATTATAAGTTACTTAAGATATTTTTAAAACAAGTGTGTCATAGCAATAGTTTTTAATTCTGGTTGATGTTTATTTGAGAAGAAGTGAGTTAAAAAATATAAGACATGGCCAGGCATGGTGTCTCATGCCTGTAATCCCAGCACTTTGGGAGGCCGAGGCAGGTGGATCACCTGAGGTCAGGAGTCCAAGACCAGCCTAGTCAACATGGTGAAACCCCGTCTCTACTAAAAATACAAAAAAATAGCTGGGCGTGGTGGTGCATGCCTGTAATCCCAGCTACTCGGGAGGCTGAGGCAGAATCGCTTGAGCCCATGAGGCGGAGGTTGCAGTGAGCTGAGATCGTGCCACTGCACTCCAGCCTGGGCAACAAGAGCGAAACTCCGTCTCAAAAAAAAAAAAAAAAAAAAAAAATATATATATATATATATATATATATATTTGACATAACAGGTGAAGAGAAAATCTCAGTCAAAATGAACTTAGAAAATAATGGAATTGGTGTTTAAGATAAACTACTACCTCTTTAGCCAAAATGAAGGTCCTTTAATTCACATGACTTTAGCACTGAAAACCCAAAACATATGATGCTCTTCTTTCACACCAAAGGCATTGTGATGATTAGCGTGGATTTTTCTTTGATAAATTTTGCTGTGGTCATTTCAGTATCAATAAGTTTTGGAAGATTCAGATGTAATCTGTACTTCTCAGATACTTCAATCAATAAATCATCCTAAGAATAATAAACCAAGAGATTTATTTCCTGCTTAAAATTTGGGATACTAACTTATTGTTCCCAGTTATTCACTCCTTTGCCATAAAAAGATCCCATTTGTTGCCATGTGACTTGGAATGAGCAAAAAATTACTGTTGTAAATCCCTTAGATTTTAAGGTGGTTACTGCTGCTCACTACATCACACGTTAACTGATACAGTACCACAGTAGAGTGTTGCCATCCTAAATTATGTGGCTGACCAGCAAACAGCAAGGAAACTTATTGGAGCCTGGAAAGGTAGTGATCCATGTTTCATAATGATGAAGCCTTTAGTGAAACTATCACAGTAATTTGGATGATAAATACTCTGTGCCTAGTTGATTTGTGGCTTTAGGTGAAGAAGTGGGAAAATAGATGGTAATGTGTTGGTTCTGTTCACTACATTTAACAGGATATTACAAGAAAGATGAGCTTAGAATGGACCATTTTGCAAGTCAAATTAAAAGGGAATTGGCTGAGTGCGGTGGCTCACACCTGTAATCCCAGCACTTTGGGAGGCTGAGGGCAGGTGGATCACTTGAGGCCAGGAGTTCGAGACCAACATGGGCAACATGGCAAAACCCCGTCTCTACTAAAAATACAAAAATTAGCCAGGCTTGGTGGCACATGCCTGTAATCCCAGCTACTCAGGAGGCTGAGGCAGGAGAATCGCTTTAACCTGGGAGGCAGAGGTTGCAGTAAGCTGAGATGGTGCCACTGCACTCCAGCCTGGGCAATAGAGTGAGACTGTCTCAAAATAAATAAATAAATAAAAAGGACTTTATAGAGCCCCAAGATTCCAAGACTCAATGACTGAAAAGTGGAACTAATTTTTATTTTCAGCAAGTAAGGGATAAAATTGAGAAATTACTTTTATCAACCAAGCTGATTAAGGCAATATAGAGGCAAAGATTAAATCTTTATGCTCTTTGTTAAAACCTCTGAATTTTTTTTGTTTTTTTTTTTTTTTGTTTTTTTTTTTTTGAGGGGAGACAGAGTCTCGCTCTGTTGCCCAGGCTGGAGTGCAGTGGCTCGATCTTGGCTCACTGCAACTTCCGCCTCCCGGGTTCAAGCAGTTCTCCTGCCTCAGCCTCCTGAATAGCTGGGACTACAGGTGCCCACCACCACGCCCGGCTGATGTTTTTTTTGTATTTTAGTAGAGATAGGGTTTCACCATGTTGCCCAGGCTGGTCTCGAACCCCTGAGCTCAGGCAATCCACCCCCCTTCGGCCTCCCAAAATCCTAGGATTACAGGCATGAGTCACCGTACCCAGCCAAAACCTCTGACTGTACTAAGGTGGACTTCAGTAAATCCTTACATTTGGCTAAAATGACAGCAATTAAGTCTAAAGAGACAGGTAAGTCTTGAAATATGGGCAATGTCTAAAAAGGAATTATGGGTATCACTGACTGGAATCAAAATGCTACCAGCCTGGACTAAAAGAAACTGCCTTCAAAATTTAAAACAATCCTTTGAGCCCCAAGATTCCATGAGCAGGAACCAGGCTGAAGAGGCTACTTAGCATATAAGAATGGCACATTCTCCGATACTCTTCAGATGTGGCCAAGGTGGATAGTGGGAAAGGGAAAAAAAAAGAAAACATCTTCCTGAAGACTGAAGCTAAAGGTCGTGGAAAAAAATGGAACTGGGGAGCTAGGTAATTACAGAACTTTCTCAAGGAACCTAAGTAAGAACATCCTCTACCTCCAGAAAAGGAGCCCTCACAATGTCTGCCTACTAGGATTTCAGAATTGCTGTGCACCAGTAACTGCAGTGTGCCTCTTATTTTTCCCATTTCTGAATTGAGATGGTTAATTACGGTTATCTTCTCCCCATTCCACATTGCATGACAGATGGGACTGAGGGAGTACATAACTTTTTTTACATGTCTTAGTCCATGGTTCAAGAGGAAGAGAAAGCAAAATTCTGTCCTTTGGAGTCTGATACTGGGATTGGAGGTGTTTTCCTTCCAGAAAGAAGCAAATATTTGCAACCAAGAGTGTAGACTGGTAGACTGTAGGACTGACTCTAACTATTTGCTCTTCTGTAAGAGGATAGTACGTTTACCCTGCCATATGACTTCCTGTGACTGTGAGAATACACTTCTCAGTCCTACTGATGTAGAACTGGCCTTGTGACTTACTTTGGCCAGTGGAGCGTGAGTAGAAGTGATATCATGAAGTGTCATGTCTGAGTAGAAGTATTACGATCCACTGCATGGTTTGATCATTCTATTTTCCCTTTGCTGAGATGTGAATGGCACATCTCAGAAGGGAATTGCTCCTTCACCGGGTAACCTGAGCAAATCATTGTAAGCCCCTGAAATTATGTAGTTTGTTACTGTGGCATAATATATGTTAGTGAATGCTGGCCAATACAAATTTACAGTGTTATCTATTCAACTTACCTCAGAAACACTAAGGTCACAGAGAGAGACAGAATTAATACCAGGTAATTCAACTTTCAACTCAATTTTCAGAGGTTTCTCACTGTGATCATGCACAATTTTTAGTTCATAGGCTGGCATCTTCATCTCCACCTGGATTTCAGTACTGGAAATCTCTTCTATCAGACACACTGCTTTGCCTGAAACTTGGTCTTTTGGCAGTAACAGTTGAGGAAAGTGATCTGGATTGCTCATAGTACTGCTTCGTATCTGTCCAAGAGTTAGTTCTTTATGAAAAAAAGGGTGGAGGGGAGATAAAAAATAAATCTACAACATAAAATACTATGAGCTATAATATATGTGGTGTTAGTAGAGATGGTAGATAAAGCTGCAGTTAAATTAGTTTGGGAATCAAGCCAAAAGAATCTTAAACCAAAGAATTTGATTGAAAATTTTTCAGGATTTAAAAATCAAGGATATGATATTTCTAATATTTAATATTTGCATTTTTCTATCTTAAGTTTTTCACCTTTTAAAATAGAGATTTCTAGTTTGCAAAATGTATACAGGATCCAAAAACATCTTAAAGCAGTTTAATTTTCCATTTACAATCATCAACTTACCCCTTCTCATTTTTTCTCTTAAATCTATGGAATCAGTTTGGATTCCCATCAGATTTTGTTTCATTCTTTGAATGCTTCCTTTTATTCTAAATTTGGTAATATGGTAAGAGTGTGAGAGGGTGAACTGGAATTTCTCCTCAATGCATTTCATGGCCATCTGAATTAACTGATTTTTTTTCACTTGGTCCTTTTCTGCTGCATGAAGAACATCAGGATTGTAGGCAACATCAATGACTGTGTAAGCATCTGTGTGTGTAATTGAAAGGGTATGAAATGAAGAAAAATTGTTGCACTAATGATACTGTCAGGCAATATATTAAACCATATTCCTGATAAAGCTAGAGAATATTCCTGTATTTTTCAGAGGTAATCACAGTAGTGCTACAGCAATTATGACATTTCTTGGCACTTTTGCATGGATTAAAACAGCTCACCTTATTACAAAAGTTAAACAGTATTAAATTTGCATAAAGATACACTAATTGTAATTATATTATCAACAAATAAAGAGTTTTACTTGAAATGCTCTCAACCAAGTAAGATCTTGTCCATTCCTAATAAAATTTTTACAATGTGCTTTCTCTCAATTATTTGTACCTGATATCTCAGTTGTATCTTCTGGTTTGCCAACAGTTAGAGGTACTGGATGAGTGGTTGATTGGGGAGCTGGGATCCTTGTCCACTGACACAGGTTGATAAAAAGTATTTTTTCTTTTGGTTTCTGGAAAGCAAATAATTTTGCACATCTCAAAACCTAGTTTAAAACCATTTAAGGCCAGGCATGGTGGCTCCCGCCTGTAATCCGAGCACTTTGGGGGTCCAAGGCGGCCGGATCACCTGAGGTCAGGAATTTGAGACCAGCCTGGCCAACATGGTGAAACTCCGTTTCTACTAAAAATACAAAAATTAGCCAGGTGTGGTGGTGGATACCTGTAATCCCAGCTACTCGGGAGGCTGAGGCAGGAGAATCGCTTGAACCCAGGAGGCGGAGGTTGCAGTGAGCCAAGATTGTGCCATTGCACTCCTGCCCGGGTGACGAGAGTGAAACTCCATCTCAAAAAAAACAAAAACAAAAACATTTAAAAAATAATATCCTAAAAGCCACTCACCACAGGAATGAAAGAATTTTAGGCTCCAAGTAAGTCATTTCATGTATTAAAACTGCGTTTGATTATACTGTTGTTATTTGATTTCCCCAAGGCTGCTGGCTTTTAATTAGGAATCCAGACTGGGGTGGTGGCTCACGTATGTTACCCTAGTACTTTGAGAGGCTGAGGTAGGAGGGTTGCTTGAGGCCTAGGAGTTCGAGATTAGCCTGTGAAACATAGGGAGACCCTGTCTCTACAAAAATCATTTAAAAATTAGCCGGGTGTGGTGATGCCCACCTGTGATCCCAGCTACTTGGGAGGCTGAGGTGGGAGGATCGCTTGGGCTGCAATGAGCTGTGATTGTGAGCTGTGATTGTGCCACTGCACTCCAGCTTGAGCGACAGAGCCAGCAAGACCCTATCTCAAAAAAAAAAAAAAAAAAAAAAAAAAAAAGTCTGCCAGGCGCAGTGGCTCATGCCTGTAATCCCAGCACTTTGGGAGGCTGAGTCAGGTGGATCACCTGAAGTCAGGAGTTCAAGACCAGCCTGGCCAACATGGTGAAACCCCGCCTCTACTAATAATACAAAAATTAGCCGGGCATGGTAGTACACACCTGTAATCCCAGCTACTTGGGAGGCTGAGGCAGGAGAATCGCTTAAACCCGGGAGGCAGAGGTTGCAGCGAGCCAAGACCACACCATTGCACTCCAGCCTGGTGACAAAGTAAGACTCTGTCTCAAAAAACAAAACAAAACAAAACAAAACAAAAAAAAAACAAAAAAAATTAGCAATACCTAAGTGTAAAGTATTCTCTGGTTATTCTGGGATCATTTCATTCAAGACCTCCCCATCCCTGGCACCAACTCGACATACCAGAATCCTGGTCTGTAGACAAAGCTGTGGTTCTGGGGCAGCACAGAGCTGTTTCCCTTCTTTCAGCTGCTGCTGAATAAACTTCTCATAGCCCTCAGGGTCACTCTGAGCTAGATCATCTAGGAGGTTCCAAAACTGAGTAACTTGGGTAAGCAGACCTTTTGAGGATGTCTCCATGACTTATGAGTGGTGAATAATTTTCTTAAGCCTGTGGAAAAACACGACTTCAGGAAGAAAACTGTCTGTGTAATTATTGATTCATTTCTGCTTTGGGGAGGTGGAATGGGTCAGGAATTGTTTTGGTGAAGTTAGGACAGCATTTGTGTCTAAAAGGTTGTGGATCAGCACCACTTTATGTTTTCCTTATTCTTTAATTATCTAGTACCTCTTCCTAAATTCTCACATTGTCCTCTCAGATAAGGCCTTACTTCTATTTGGACCCTGACAAGTCAGAGTAATCATTTTAAGTCTGGGTTTCCTGATCTTCTTGTTCCAACACCTGACTGGTGGCTCCCCAGTTCTGAAATTGCCAGAGGTGTGGTGTGGGGTGAGGGCCACATAAGACTTCCTTAATCCTCAGTATAGTTTAGTATTTCAAAGCATGGACTTGTGAGCCAGAATGCCTAGATTCCGGTCTTAGTTCTATCTCTCACTAGCTCTGTGACCTTGAGCAATTAATGTTCTGTTCAAAATGAAGACGATAATACCTCTACCATAGGATTATTGCGAGATTAAGTAAGCTAATAGAGAGGCTGGGACACTTCTCTACGTCTTCAGATAAATCTCCTTAGCCTCTTCTCCCATTGGAGAGGTGTCCCACAGCATCTTTAGAATGAGGAAAAGAGGTTTAGATTCTTCAATTACTGTGTAAGGGTTATGCTAAACGGGAAACTTAACTAACGGATAATCATTCCATAGGTCTGCAAACCCACCTCTTCTCTCAGTTCTAACGGGTAATCATTCTATAGGTTGGCAAACCCACCTCTTCTCTCAGTTCCTTGACAAACCGCGACGCCTGTTACCAGGGTAACCAGCCTGGGTACAACATCTAATTGGGTCCGGGGAACTTCAGGGAGAAAAGTCTCTTCATATCTAGTTCCGGAATGTCCCCCTTCTGGTGCCAGGCTTGCTTTTCAGTTGGGCCTGACCCACTTCTCTTCCAGGAAAGCGCCCGCCTTCCTTCTGCACCCGTCAACCTCTGGAGTGTCCTGAAAACCCTCCCTTGTGGGAGTCTCTGGGCTGCCTGTTGGTGGGACGATTTCTCAGGAGCACGACTTCCGGCCTGAAAAGGAAGTCTCCTCCTTTTTCTCCCAAACCACTTCTTCCCCCCTACCCCCCGCCACGCGAGGCTGCGGCGCACGGTATGGGTGTGTTTGTGTGTATTTGTGTGGGGAGGGCGTTTGGAGGGAAGGTTACCGGGAGCTCCGAGGCCGCTGGGGAACAGGGATCCCGGTGACAAAGATGGGGATATTTCCTCTGTCTTCCACTTGGAAACCTCAACCCCCGCTTCAGGCTCCCTAGATACTTTCTGGGGCCCAACCGAAGGCCGTAGCCATCCAAAGCGTTCCCAGCCTTTCTGGGGAGTGAAACTTACCCCCGGGGTTCGTCCTAGAGGAGCGTGAGCGGGGAATGCCCAGGTCAACCGGGCTGTCCGAATTCCGCCCCGGCTCAGCCTCCGGCCTCAGTCCGGGAGAGAGATCTGCCTGTCGGTCTGGGCTGGGGGAAACGCGGCAGTGGCCTGGGCCACAGGTGAGGGCAGAGTAACCAGTGGGAAGGCTGCGTTTTCACGAAGGACTCGGGTGAAGCTGCAGAGCTGCCTTTGAGCCCTGACTCCTTGGCTTCCTGGGTCGGAGGAGATCTTGTAATGGAGTGGTTCTTCGTCTCACTAGCAAGATGCCTGATTTCCTCAGGATCAAGGGGTGAGTGAGCGTTGGGGTGGTTGCACAAAGCTCCTGCTAGCTACACACGAAAATATTCTTGTCATCTAGTTTTTGGAAGCTTCCGTAGCAAGTAGGAAATAAAATGCCCCCAAATGGAGAAATTTAGGACATCTTTGCATTTGATGTTTTGAGTAATCAGTTTCTGTTACTGTTGACACCCGTGGTTCCTGACACTCTCAAATCTACGTATTTGCTTCAGTGCAAACTATATTGGGATTGGAGGTTTGATTTTTAATTTAGACAGTGACATACATCATTTGCCTGGGACTATGTGGCTTGGGACGTTACAGCTTTAAGGGAACTTCATCTACAAAATAGGGATGGAGATACTTGCCTCATATAAAAAGTAGTTATGAGGATTAAATAAAATGGTGCTCATGAAAGCACTTAATTTTATGTAGTCTTGTGCATTTTCAAAGAACTTTAATGTACATTATCTCCTTTCATCTCACATTAGTGTGTTTAGGCATTTCCCTCTTTTAATGGTAAAGGGAAAACTATTCTTTAGAATCTCTGACTTCTAGTTCAGTGATCTTTCCTGTACCTCATATGCTTCTTTATAAAACTTCAAGAAAAGATAAAGTAATAACAGAAATTATTACTAAACGTTATTTGTTGATTCATTTCAGATTGAAGAATGTCCCGGATTCCACTGGGGAAGGTCCTCCTGAGGAATGTCATCCGGCACACAGATGCTCACAATAAGGTGGGAGGTACAACCTAGTTACTCCTCAACGCTTACTGAAGGCAAGCAGTGTGCCAAGCATTATTTTGGAACAACTGGGAGATACAAAGAATATTCTTGTCATCTAGTTTTTGGAAGCTTCCGTACACAGTAGGAAATAAAATGATGAATAAAATAGATAATTATAATACAGTTTGATAAGTACTGTATAACAGAGATATTTGCAAAGTGCTTTGGAGCACTAAGGAGGAAATAATAAAATCTACACTGGGGAATTAGAAAAGATTTTACAGAATTAGTGGTATTTCAGCTGCTGATCTTTGAACTGGTTCTTGAATAGGTATACGTTTACCAGGTATGAAATATCATTCTGGATAGACAGCATCATGCATTAATATGGCAACGAGAAAGAGCATTAATCACTTGGGGCATGGCAAGAAATTTATCCAGAAAGCAGGGAAGGTAGGGGATAGTGGCAGAAGATAAGGCCTCAGTGGTAATTAGAGTTGGATTGTGATGTTTGGAGCTGAGACTTCTTCCTCTAGGCAATAAAGAAGCCATCAAATGTTTTTAAACAGGGTGTGGCATGATCATAGTTATATTTTAGAAAGATGGTTTGTCAGCTGGGTAGGGAATGAATCAGATGGGGAGATACAGAAGGGAGAGTAATTAGGAGGCAATTGCAGTATTACAGGTGAGAGATGATGAGGGTTCGCATGAAATTAGTGACAGCAGGGATGAAGAAGAGGAATTTAGGAGATAGAATCCAAAGAAGTTGGTGGCTAATTAGATTATAATGATAAGAATGGAATCTAATTCAGTTGACCCTTGAACAATGCAGGGGCTAGGGGCATCAACCCCCTGCATAGTCGAAAATCCATGTATAACTTTTTACTCCCTCAAAATGTAAGTGCCAATAGCCTACTACTGACTGAAAGCCATAGCGATACCATAAACAGTGGATTAACACATATTTTTTATGTTACATGTATTATATACTGTATTCTTATAGTAAAGTAGCTAGAGAAAACAACATTTCATTAAGAAAATCACATTGAGTAGGCTGAGGAGGAAGAAGAGGGACTTGTTTTGCTATCTTACAGGTGGCAGAGGTGGAAGAAAATCTGAGGATAAGTGGACCTGCACAGTTGAGATTCCTGTTGTTCAAGGTCAACTGTGTAACCACCTATGTGACTGGGTAGATGATGACAATTCTGTTAATTGAGATAAAGAACAAAAAATGGGACAATTATGATAGGAAAGGTAATTAGTTTGGTTTTCAACATGTTGATGGTGAGGTGCTTATAGGATGTCCAAGCAGTTGAAAATTCAGACTTGGAGTAGAGGAGAAAAGTTGGGGCTGGACATAAAGGTTTCGGGATTATTGATGTATAGGTTGATGATAAGAGGTCATGAGAGTAGATGAGGTCACCTAGGAGAGCACATATAATGAAAAGAGGGCCAAGGCCCCTGGTTTAGTTTTCTTCAGTAAACTGTACTACTTTTGGTTTGATCATATTATTATTATCATATCACCTGATTTTTAAAATTATGGGCGAGGGTAAAACTGTTACCCGAGCTGCCTATGCAATTATGTTAACCTGCCCCTAGTTATATAGTAAGCTTAGATTTAAAATGGTAGCTAGAAAAAGATAAATCTAGCACAGATCTAATGAAATTATGCAGGAAGACTTAGAAATAAAATGTGTTCTTTGGGTAATCACATTCTGCTTTTCAAGAAATTCCCTAGCAGCCATACTGATTATTTTATTTTATTTTATTTTTGACAAAAATTATAATATTACCAGAAGAGATTTAGCTTAGGGAGTTTAAAGACCTGTCCTTACTAGTTTTTTGACTTTGTTAAAATCTCTGAGCTTTTGTTTCTTTACAGTAAAATGTAATAATGGTAGCTGCTATATTTTCCTCATGAGATTGCTTAAGGTTCAATTGAGATGATATAATTAAAATCATATTGCATTTTGGAAATGTGGCATTATCATTTGCTAATCGCAGCATAATTGCAAGATTGATAAGGTGATGTTTGTCTGTGCAGCGGTTTAAAAATTCTATTGGGGAAGATTTCCACATATTTGAGATTTACTGGATTGGACTGTTCAGCCACTTTCTAGAGAAACCAATTTGTTTTCCAGGTTCCTGATCATAGCCCAGTCTGTAGCCCAATAATTAGTCAGATTGTATTTTCAGTTAGTTGCTTTTTTTTTTTTTTCTTTTTTTGTTGATACAGAGTCTCACTCCATCGCCCAGGCTGGAGTGCAGTGGTGCAATCTCGGCTCACTGCAACCTCTGCCTCCAGGGTTCAAGCGATTCTCCTGCCTCAGCCTCCTGAGTAGCTGGGATTACAGGTGCATGCTACCACGCCCGGCTAATTTTTGTATTTTTATTAGAGACGGGGTTTCACCATGTTGGTCAGGCTGGTGTCAAACTCTTGACCTCATGATCTGCCTGCTTTGGCCTCCCAAAGTGCTGGGATTACAGGTGTGAGCCACTGTGCCCGGCCAGTTAGTTACTTTTCTGTAATGTAAAGTTATTTTTAGTAACTTATTTTTATTTCCTTTTTAAAAATTCTAGATTCAGGAGGAATCAGATATGTGGAAAATAAGAGAACTGGAAAAACAGATGGAAGATGCTTACCGGGGGACCAAAAGGAAAATGCTACCCAGCAGTTCAAGGTGAAGTTGCAGCTCTGAGAACTAAAATAATTCTCATCTTTTTCAGAATCATCAACTTTTGTTTAAAAATACTTTGGTATATTAAGGATAAATTCAGTTCTGTGAGTCCTTAAGCCTTCCTTCTTTCGTAAATCTAGACCCAGGCATAAAGATAATGGCTGTGACGCATATGGCCCTGCTCTTTGTACTTATTTACAATGGAGAGTTAAAAAATTCTACCTGAACAATTATGAATGTGTAGGGTTCTGTGGATTCTAACCTTACCTGATAGCTTTTAACTGAAGATTTTATACTGGAATCTTGTGGTCACTAAGCTGATCAGTCATTCTATTCTCTATTAATCTTTCATTCTTTCAGGCTTTTCTTTTTGTAGCTGGAACTGCAGGTGCATGCCACTATGCCTAGCTACTTTTTTTTTGTAGAGGTGGTGTCTTGCTGTGTTCCCCAGGCTGGTATAGAATCCTGGGCTCACGCAGTCCTCCCACCTCAACCTCCCAGTGTTGGGATTATAAGCATGAGCCACTTGCCTGGCCTCAGACTTTTCTTCACCCTGTCTATTCACCCTCTTCACCAGATCAACAGCCTTTTCACATTACCTTAATAGCTTGAGTGTAAATATGAAGGATTATGCAGGCTTAGTTATCTTCCTTGTGGAGAGGCCTAGGAATGCTTGAATAATTGGGAAGATCCTTACACGCTTGTAAGTGTAAGAGCTACATATATAAGAAATACTTAAACTCTTTAGGAGCAGGGCTTGTGATTTTCTCATTTGCTGCTATATTCCTGCCAGCTAGACCAGTACCTGGTACATAGGAGGCCCTTACAATTTTTTTTTTTTTTTTTTTTTGAGATGGAGTTTCGCTTTTGTTACCCAGGCTGGAGTGCAATGGTGTGGTCTTGGCTCACTGCAACCTCCGCCTCCTGGATTCAGCCAATTCTTCTGCCTCAGCCTCCCAATCAGCTGGGATTACAGGCACCTGCCACCACGCCTGGCTAATTTTTGTATTTTTAGTAGAGACAGGGTTTCACCATGTTGGCCAGGCTGGTCTTGAACTCCTGAGCTCAAAGTGATCCACCCACCTCGGCCTCCCAAAGTGCTGGGATTACAGGCGTGAGCCACTGGACCTGGCCCCTTAAAAATTTTTGATAACCGATTAGCAGCTTACTGGCTAGTTAGTAGAAATGGTAAACAGAAGCTGGATCAGTGGTTCTCAACTTTTTTCCTACTCCAGTATTCCCATGGGTTAGACCTTGTTCCCACTGTTATTGGGACCTCTCTATAGTAAGTTGCTGGTTTGCACAGAGGGAAGTGTATTTCAGAATCTCTAGGGTAGTTTGAAGTGTCCCTTGCTATGATTATGTTCTGCTTCCCTCTTTGCATGCCCTCCTAGTTGAGAATCAGCGAGTGAACTATCACATGACATAGTCCAGAGTTGATTTCATCTCTCTATGCTTTGCAATAGGATGGGTACTAATGGTCAGATTTTTTTCTTTTTTTCTTTTTTTTTTTTCCTGAGACGGAGTCTCACTCTGTTGCCCAGGCTGGAGTACAATGGCATGATCTGGGCTCACTGCAACCTCTGCCTCCCCGGGTTCAGGCAATTTTCCTGCCTCAGCCTTCCAAGTAGCTGGGACTATAGGCGTGTGCCACCACACCTAACTACTTTTTTTGTATTTTTAGCAGAGACAGGGTTTCACCATGTCCCCCAGGCTGGTCTTGAACTCCTGACCCCAAGTGATCCACTCGCCCCGGCCTCCCAAAGTGCTGGGATTACAGGCATGAGCCACTGCACCTGGCCTGGTCAGATTTTTTTCCACTGGACTTTACAAATGTACAGAGGAACAGATAATCAAAGTGCTGGGATTACAGGCATGAGCTACTGCACTAGGCCTGGTCAGATTTCTTCCACTGGACTTCACAAATGTATAGAGAGGAGCAGATAATGTCTTTGCCTTTTTTTTTTTTTTTTTTAAACAGTATCATGTTGTTTCCTTCCCCCTCAGCTTGTTCCATGAGTTTTGTGCATGATGTTCCATAAAGTAAACTCACAGATTGCTTTTACATCTAAAAGTTCTTCTGCTTTCTCTTTTAGCCGGATGCGCAGTGATGGTTTTGATGAAGAAAGTCAAAGATACTATTGGAGGCCAAAGAATGAAATTTCTGGGACACTGGAAGATGATTTTCTTAAGGCTAAATCCTGGAATAAAAAGTTCTATGATTATGAAGCAAACATGCCAGACAGGTTTGTGATTAATTCCTGTGAGCATTAATATTTGGCCTGAGAACGTGTACTTATCAAAATTAATTGTCCCCACAAAAAACTTGTGTACAAAAGTTCATACCAGCATTATTAATAATGGCCCCAAAAAATAATGGCCAAGTAATCCAAATGTCTGTCAACTGATGAATGGGTAAACAAAATGCGATATATCCATACAATGGAATATTATTTGGCAGTAAAAGAAATGAAGTACAGATACATGTTACAACGTGGCCTTGAAAACATCATGCTAAGTGAGAAGGAAGAAGCCAAGTCACGAAAGACCGCATATTGTATGATTCTATTTATGTACTATGTCCATACATAACTGTATGATTCCATTTATGTGGTAGGCAATTCCATAGAGACAGAAGGCAGATTAGTGATTGCCCTGGGCTGGAGGCACTACACTTTGAATGCCATGATATGTGAATTATACTTCAATAAAGTTGTTATTTAAAAAAAATAGGCCAGGTGCTGTGGCTCATGCCTGTAATCCCAGTACTTTGGGAGGCCGAGGCGGGCGGATCACGAGGTCAAGAGATTGAGACCATCCTAGCCAACATGGTGAAACCCCAGCTCTACTAAAAATACAAAAATTAGCCGGGCGTGGTGGCATGCGCCTGTAGTCCCAGCTACTCGGGAGGCTGAGGCAGGAGAATCACTTGAACCCAGGAGGTGGAGGTTGCAGTTGAGCCGAGATTGCACCACTGCACTCCAGCCTGGCAACTGAGTGAGACTCTGTCTCAAGAAAAAAAGAAAAAAATAATAATAAGGCTGGGCGCGGTGGCTCATGCTTGTAATCCCAGCACTTTGGGAGGCCAAAGCGGGCAGATCCATGAGGTCAGGAGTTTGAGACCAGCCTGGCCAACATAATGAAACCCCATCTCTACTAAAAATACAAAAATTAGCCAGGCATGGTAGCATGTGCCTGTAGTCCCAGCTACTCGGGAGGCTAAGGCAGGAGAATCACTTGAAATCGGGAGGCGGAGGTTGCAGTGAGCTGAGATCACGCCACTGCACTCCAGCCTGGGCAAGAGTGAGACTCCATCTCAAAAAAAAAAAAAAAAATTGTCCCCATGTAGACAGCATGATATTATGAAGTGTTTTTGGAAAAGTGCTTCATAGCTAAAGAGCAGAGTGTAAGAGTTCGTTAGTGTTTCTTAAGGAAAGCAATGGCAAGTTCTCTTACAAATGGACAAAATAATCTTGTATGTCTGAAGTGATAGTGTACAGTACAGGAAATGTAGCTGTTACTGAGCTATAATGGGGGCTTGGTTCTACCATATCTCTACTTTGTGTTTATGTTTGTGTATGCATGTACTCCAAAGTCTTTCTAATGTTGCTTTAATTTCCAAAAATGTATGCATTGCTTTAACAATACATGTGATGTGTCATATTACAGATGGGGTCACAGTGGTTATAAAGAGTTATACCCTGAAGAATTTGAAACAGACAGGTAAGGAAAATAGGCTTACTGAAAGAAACTAAGATGGTACAAAATCTGTATTATAAATTGATTTCTTAACTTTTACGAAGAATATACTTGCCATCAAAAATGTAGCTAGAGAAACAATAGGTGATTTAGTTAGGAGGTGATCCCTGTTTTCCCATTCTCTGGTTGATGTTTGGCATGTCTGTAAGCATTTTGGTTTTTATATATAGTATTCCATACAGTAACTCAGTATGGCAGCTTAGAATTTTTACCTTCATTTTAAAGATGAGGAAACAAAAACTCAATGAGAATATTAAAGTGTTAAAGTATACATTAAAGTGCTTATTTAAAATTCAGATGTTAACCTCAATTTTTTAATCTAGAATGCAAAATATTAAAATAATACGCTTTTTTTTTACATAAAAGCTTCTATTTTTTAACTTTTCTTATTAGTAGTGATCAGCAAGATATTACCAACGGGAAGAAAACATCTCCCCAGGTAAAGTCATCTACCCATGAATCCCGCAAACACAAGAAGTCAAAGAAATCCCACAAAAAAAAGCAGAAAAAAAGGTCACACAAAAAACAGAAGAAAAGCAAAAAGGAAGCCACAGATATAACAGCAGATTCCTCGAGTGAGTTCTCAGAAGAAACTGGGGCTTCTGGTACAAGGAAAGGGAAACAACCACATAAACGCAAGAAAAAATCCAGGAAAAAGTCTCTCAAAAAACCTGCTTTATTCTTAGAGGCAGAAAGTAACACTTCACATTCAGATGATTCAGCATCCAGCAGTTCTGAGGAAAGTGAGGAAAGAGACACTAAGAAAACCAAAAGGAAAAAGAGAGAGAAAAAAGCCCATACCTCTGTAGCCAACAATGAAATACAGGAGAGGACAAACAAACGCACAAATTGGAAAGTAGCTACAGATGAAAGGTCTGCTGAGAGCTCAGAGGATGACTAAATGGGAAACACTTTTGTTTTCCACATGACTGTGGATATTTACAGTTCTTACTCCTTGTGGTTTTGCCAGTGACTCTTGTTCAGCACGGGGCCTGAGGTCAGAGCTGTCTTGTGCCATCTGTATGTTCTGACAGACGTCTTGTCTTCTATTTTGGCGTTAAGCTTGATCCCCTTTTCTTGTTAAAAGGGAATCTGGTATTTTGTTATGAAGGTTTCTTGAAGAGATTATTTTTTTTTGCAATTAATTACGTTTAGTGTAGAGTGCATATACAGCAAATTAAAGGACCCAGAAAGCTGGATCCAATAGTGACCTGGGTACACCAATCGGAATATTGAATTTGGGGAAGTCAAGGGCTGGGATCAAGAGGTGGATTGGAACTAATGCCATGTAGGATGGTATGACAAGGCAACACTGTATTGCTCTCTGTTTATATAGCAGGTGTCACAACTAACTTGTCTTTAGCCTTGGTGCTTTGATCCTTCTATATTTTGACCCCACAGGTGTGGTCCGGTTTACTTAATCAGGACATGGGCCTAAGAACAAACCTTTTCCCTTCATGATAACATCCATAGACAACTTATTAGAAGGGACTAGAGTTTTTGCAAATTTCCCTGCTGGATGGGGCCTATAGCTATACTTAGTATATGCCTAAACATGGTAATTGGATAGTAAATGGTTTTCTAGTTCCATTGCTGTATATTTGCCTAAATGGACTTGTGTTCAAATTATTTCTTCAATTGTCATAGATAATCCTGTACCAAATGGGGAAGAATTAGGAAATAATCATGTTGTCTAATGGTACTCTGGATTCAGGGCAGCAACTGCCATTTAAATGTTGTCTTGTTCATTTCTAAATCTGTTCATGAAGTTTAGGTTTTCCCTGAAACTAAGTTGAATTATTTCCAAAATGAAACAGGCTTCTCAGGGACATATCCACTTCTTCCCAGTCTGCCTTTGGATTAAAGCACCAAGCAGAGACCACATTAATTCCCTTTGCTATACTGTGATCCTTAGTATGTTAATTCTTAAGAAACCAACATATCACTGAAAGAAGGCTGGCAGAACGCAAGTGCATTTTTTCACTGTGGGAAGAAAGATCAAGTGACGTATTATTTTTTCCTGGTTGTCACTTAATGGGCTGAGTAAAAAGCTTGAAAACTCAGACTTTCGGTCTTGGTTCTGCCACTCATTGGTTATGAGGAGGCCCAGAGCAGGTAAGTTCACCTTCCTGGCCTTACTTTCCTGATGTGTAATACGGAATTACTTCACAGTAGCATGACAGTATAAGACACCAGCAGTAGATACAACTATGATGACATTCCATGAGTTGGTATTTTTAGTTCTAACTGCTAAATTTGTTCTCTTTACGGGACAGATTTCTAATAAAGTGCTTGGTCTTAAAATACATGGTTGGACAGAGGTGCCCTATCCCTTAACTATGAGCAGGTGCTACCTTTTGGGATATTTATTTTAAATTTTAATACTTTGGTACTCAATTGTCAGTGTTCCATGGTGTGTATTTTTATTTTTGGGATTAGTGGGGGTCTAAAGGGAGAAGAATAGTCTCTAATTACTACCTCTTAACCTAAAGCAATTATTTTGTTCCTGGAGCAAGTTAAATCTTTGTTGGAAGGAGCTTTGGCCATATATTTTTTAGCATGCATTGTTTCTGTGCCCTGAAAGTACCTGAAAGGTTTTAAGCACAGACTCAGGAAAATGTGCCAGTAGAACAGGCCATCTCCAGGAAATTGGCTCTATTTGGGTCCTGACCTTCCCTTCCTCCCAAGTTAGCAGGCTTGTTCTTTCGCAAGGAATACACATCTTGCCTTTTTTTTTTTTTTTTTGCCATGTTTTCCTTTTCTTGGTCATGTATAAGCAATAAAGCTGTTTTTTGTTCTTCATCTTTCTTAACCCCAAATTTTCTTCTATGCCTTAGGCTTCGATGGTTCTTCCAACCCCCTTAATATGGCTTAGGGTGGTTTTTCAAAACCTACAATCCCCCATTTGCACTACTGGCCATGGAACATTTATTTCTAGTGTTCCTGCCAATCAGAGATCTCTATATTAAATTCTAAAATGGGATTAAAAGAAGAGTTGGAGAATTCACACTTATTGAGTAACTGATGTCATACAACCTGGAATTTCTGAATTCCAAATAAATAAATTTCACTCTTTGAACATTTCATCTTTTACTTTTTAGCACCAACAGACTTGATAACAGCCTGATGCTGATCTGACAATGGGTTGATAGCCTTCCCCCACTGACCCTTAAATCTGCTTAGTAACAAGTCCTTTGCTTCTGTCATTCTCCTGGGGGATGGCCTACTGCCCTCCTTTCTGTACAATCTGGGCAAACCGACTGGTGATGGCAAGAGTGGTGTCAATGAAGCGGTCTACACAGCTGGAGAGACAATTTTCAGTGCGAGAGTCTAGGCGATTCCCTGGCTTCTCCACACATTTATCCCAACATAACTCCATGAAGTGATGCACCTAAAAGGAAAGAAAAATAGTAACCATTGGGGTCTGCAGATAGGCCTAACTCTTGTTTATTAACTTCTCACTTTTTGACACCTGACAAAACCATTCTTTAAATCAACCACGGAGTCACTTTGGGCTCTTCTCTTTCTTCATTTCCTAATTAGTCACCAATATTGATCCAGATCCTCGTCCCTACAGATTGTACATTCTCAGGTAGGACTAATAACCTTTTATATTCCCCAAAGTAGCTAGCACCATTGTGAACCAACTAGGGAACCAATTAATTTTCCCAAACTATTGCACTCATTTTATTCCAAACCTATCCCCTAGACAAGGTAATTCTTCCATTAACCTTTTGGGGGTTATGGATCCACTCCCCAGAAAAATGCACATACAGGCACAGAAATTATGTGCACTGTCATTAGAATGTTCAGGGCCCAAAGATTTCTAGCCAGGGTTCTTGCTGGTCATCCGAGCACCCTCTTCCTCCCACCCAAAAGGAAAAAACCATTTTACCAAGAGCTTACTATTTGTGAGGCTGGGTACTAAGAAATCAGTTCTCTCTAAGGTCCTCAAGGATAGCTGTCATCACCTCCCATTTAAGAGGCGTGATTATGTAGTCCAAGGTCATGTAGCCAGCAAGAAGTCAGGCCGCGTTAGAACCATGTCCGAAGGGCTCCAAACCCTTGTTCTACATCCATAGTCTACAGCGACTACTTCAGAGTCCACCTTCCTCCGATAATGTTCTAGTCGTTTTCAAATACATTGTCGCATATGATCCTCACAATCCAGTGAGGCAGTGGGGTGACGGCGACACCAAAACCCACAGTGGATGAGTATCTTTTCTACGGGCACGTGGCCTGCAAGGAGCAGAGGGAGGATGAGAACCCAGATCTTTCGAATGCCAGCCCAGTCATGTCGCCGGCTAACTAGTCTCCCGTACCCTTGCGTCGCCCAAATCTTCCCTGTTTTACACCTTTTCTTTTCTCCACGCTACGCTTATATACCTGGCACCTGAGCACTACCGGTCACCAGGGACAGGAGAGCCATAACTTTGTCTTTCGTGAGGGGAATGGGATGCAGCCGGGATCGAGCACCAGTGAGCCGCCAGTGTACAGACCTCCGAGCGTGCCCAGGACCACCAAGGAAGGTGAAACTTCCTTTCCCTTCACCCTCCCCGTCCCCGCACCTGTGCAGTAAACTGCGCCTTCTGCTGCTCGGCGGCCACCAGGCGCTGCAACTCCGCTTCATCGGCTTCGCCCAGCTCCGCCATTGTTCGCCTCAGGCTCGCCACCTTCCGACAGCTGTGTTTGCGCATGCGCGACGGGTGTGCACCGCCTCTCGACTTCCGGTTCACCCAGCATTTCCTCTTCCCTGTTTTCTTTCGTCGTCGTGGGTGGGAATTGTCGCCTAAGTGGTTCCGGGTTGGTGGATGACCTTGAGCCCTCAGGAACGAGATGGCGGTTCTCTGGAGGCTGAGTGCCGTTTGCGGTGCCCTAGGAGGCCGAGGTGAGGGGTCTTCCCACCCTGAGGTGCTTAGCGTAGCCTCCAGCCAGGGAAGGGGATGGAAGTGAGGACTCATCTGCCGGGTGGGAGATCTCTTGAGGAGAAGAAAATACCGAAATCACAGCAATGACCACTGTAGTCTAGGGGTCCAGATGTTTACCCGAAGGTATATTTCACTTGCTGTGAGCTGACGAGTTGAGGGAATAATCAGAAAGAGAGCTCCCTCTGGAAGTCGCAGTCCTGATGAGGCTAATCCACATAGCAGTTCTGTTTTCTCCCCGTTCACTGTCCCTAGAATGCTCCCCACTCGCTCCCACCCTGAGTCGGGAAAGAGGGTTAGGAGCTTGCCCATTTCTTCTGGAGTTGGTGTGTTTGGATGTGGGAGTGGAGGGGGGATCAGTTCGAAAATCATTTAACCTGGGCATTTGTGTTACCTCAGGTACTGTAGTAATGCTAGGATACAAATGTGAAGAAAACGTAGTTCCCGCCCTCAACGAGCTTTCATTCTGATGAGGAAAACACTGTCATAGTAGTCCGGGCAAGATGAGGTCCTGAACTAGGAAAGTAGCACAAAGAAAAGAAGATTGTCTCAAGAACTGTTAAAGAGATACGCCAATAGGATTTGGCGATTGAATTTAGGGGAAAAGTCTCTCATGATTTCCAGATTACTGAGTTAGGTTAAAGAATGCCTGAGGTGTCATTAAATAAAGTAGGGAACATGCAGATGTTCCCTGGTCTTAACTTCACAGTAACCCCAGTGAAATAGATGCTATCTTCATTTTACAAATAAGATGTTATCCCCTATTTATTGTTAAGTAGCTTACCTATGGTCATTTAGAAAGTTTGTCAGTCCTGTTAAAGGAGAGGTTCTTATGATCATCCTAATGACTCTTTCCTCAGCTCTGTTGCTTCGAACTCCAGTGGTCAGACCTGCTCATATCTCAGCATTTCTTCAGGACCGACCTATCCCAGAATGGTGTGGAGTGCAGCACATACACTTGTCACCGAGCCACCATTGTATGTTCTCTCCATCGCTGCTGCTTTCTGGGCTCTAGCCATCTTTACCTTCACTAATGGTCATGCCTTTAGCAGGACTTCCTACCTGTAGGGGGGACTCTTGTGTCCAACTTTGTCAAATGAAGACCTAGTTTACACCTTTGGGCAGACAGTGCCATTATGGTTGAATGATGCCATTTATAATCATAGAAGACCTTCTAGCCTAAGTCTTTACAAATTTTTTTCTTTTGTTTTCTTTTTTTTTGAGACAGAGTCTCGCTCTGTTATGCAGGCTGGAGTGCAGTGGTGCGATCTCGGCTCACTGCAACCTCCACCTTCTGAGTTCAAGCAATTCTCCTGCCCCTGCCTCCCGACTAGCTGGGATTACAGGCGCCCACCACCATGCCCAGCTAAGTTTTGTACTTTTAGTAGAGACGGGTTTCACCGTGTTGGCCGGGCTGGTCTCAAACTCCTGACCTCCTCAAACTCCTGACCTCAGGTGATCTGCCCACCTCAGCCTCCCAAAGTGCTGGGATTGCAGGCGTGAGCCACCACGCCTGGACCACTAACTTACATTCATAAGGTGTCTGTTCACTTCACTGAACCAAGACTGGCTTAATTCTGTAGCAATACAGCAATTCTGTTTTTTATCCATCTTCTTGGATCTGTCTTCTAATCAATATGTAGGCATTGAGATACCCTTGTGCTAAAAGACTTCAAAAAACAGAGATAAAGCCTTCAAAAAACAGAGATAGCTTCTCTCAACTACTATTTTGATATTTTACTTCCTTTGTACTCAGAGTTATATCCTATATGTACACTGCCTGTCAGTTTGGGTTACTGTGTGGCATATGTTGAACATGAAAGATGTGTGTTTCTCACATCAACTTTTATGAATCTGGTCCTTTTTGTAGCTGGCTCCAAGGCTGCATCTCTCCACTGGACTAGCGAGAGGGTTGTCAGTGTTTTGCTCCTGGGTCTGCTTCCGGCTGCTTATTTGAATCCTTGCTCTGCGATGGACTATTCCCTGGCTGCAGCCCTCACTCTTCATGGTCACTGGCAAGTATAGCAATTCCAAATATAGTTGTCTGCTCAGTTTGTTTGCTGTGAGCTTGTCTTATGTATTATATATGAGGGAGAAGTTGATTGAAATGCCCTAAATTTGTTGAAAACTTTAAAATATATATAAAATATGTATATGCCTAGATTTATATATCTGCCTGCCTATTCAATGTCTTTCAATTCGATTTCCGTATCTAATAGCATTTTGAATGTAGCCTGTCAAACTGAATTTCTGATCTCCCCTAATCTGTTCCTCCTGCACTCTTGCCCCATCTGAATTAATGGCATTTCCAGTTTTCTCTTTGTTCAAGTCTAAACCTGGTAAGCTCCAAACTTGGTCATTATCCTTGACTCTAGTAGTAGTCTCCTAACTGGTTCCCATTTGTGTTCATTCCCAACACAGCATACCCAGTGATCCTGTTAAAATGTTAATTAGAATAAGACATTCCCCTTCTCAAAACCCTATTTTGTCTCTTCATGTTACTCAAAGTCAGAATTCTTAGGGTTGTCTGTAGACTCTACATGATTGAACCACCCTGTTTCTTCCCTCATTTTTAGCTGCTCTCTCTCTCATTCACACTGCCTTCCTTGAGATTCCTTGAACATGCCAGGGACATTCCAGGTCTCAGGGCTTCTCTTACTGCTTCTGCCTGAAACTCTTTTTCTAGCTATACACTTGGCTTGTTCCTTCATCTCCTTCAGGTCTTGAATGCCATTCTCTCAACAAAGCCTTCCCTAACCACTTATTCAAAATTGCAGTTTCTGTCCTGCCATTCCTTATCTCTCTTGCTTGTTTTATTTTTCTCAATAGTACTTACTGCCTTCTAATATACTACATCATCTGTTCATTATTTTATATAGTAATTGCTTCCTTGCATTTTATCACCCAAATGTATATCCCTAAATAGTATAGTTTATTCTTGCCTCTTAAAAAAAAAAAAGAGATGTATGTGGGTGGATTATTTTGTTATTTTTACTGTATTTGTTTGCTGTTGTGCCTCTAGAGCCTAGAACTACTCTCTGGTACGTGACATATAGCACTCAGTAAATACTTGCTGAATGAATGAGCATCCAGCGCCTGTTTGTTTGTTTGTTTGTTTGTTTATTTTTTGAGACAGAGTCTCGCTCTGTTGCCCAGGCTGGAGTGCAATGGTGTGATCTCAGCTCACCACAACCTCCGCCTCCCAGGTACAAGCGATTCTCCCTGCCTCAGCCTCCCAAGTAGCTGGGATTACAGGCGTGCACCACCACATCCGGCTAATTTTTTTGTATTTTTAGTAGAGACGGGGTTTCGCCATTTTGGCCAGGCTGGTCTGGAACTCCTGACCTCAGGTGATCTGCCCGCTTCAGCCTCCTAAAGTGCTGGGATTACAGGCGTGAGCCACCATGTCCGGCCCAGCTTTTGTTTATTTTATCTGGTATAGTTTGTATGACTTTCTACGTAATGAACCTTCTAAAATGAGGGTAAATGACAGGTTGGGTTCCTTGAGTTGTTCTTTTTAAGTTTTGCAAGGGACAATATGTTGTCATTGTGGGGGGTAGGGAGCCACTTTCGGATTGTTGAAACTGGAAGTACTTTGGAGAGTATCTTAACCAACTCTTTTATTTTACAGATTTGGAAACTAAGACCCAGGGAGGTTAAGTGACTTGTCAGAATCATTTTCTAGCTAGTGTTAAAGATTTTTTTTTTCTTTTTTTTTTGGGACGGAGTCTCACTCTCACCCAGGCTGGAGTGCAGTGGTGTGATCTTGGTTCACTGCAACCTCTGCCTCCTGGGTTCAAGCAATTCTCATGCCTCAGCCTCCCAAGCAGCTGGGATTACAGGCATGCGCCAGCACACCTGGCTCAGTTTTGTATTTTAAATCGAGACGGGGTTTCACCATGTTGTCCAGGCTGGTCTTGGACTCCTGACCTCAAGTGATCCTCCCACCTTGGCCTCCCAAAGTGCTGGGATTATAGGTGTGAACCACCGTGCCCAGCCTAAAGGGGTTTTAATTATCTGGTTTTGTAGGACTGGTTAGGAGAATGAGTTGTTGTTGTTGATGTTGTTTTTTAACCACACAGACCTTTCCAAATAAAAGATTCCAGTTGCATATGAAATATTAGATCACAAGTACAGTAAGTAATATTTCTCTAACATGTCATCCCTCTTGAAGGAGCTGTCTATAATGTGCTCCACTTCCTCAACACTGAGTCTCTTTTAGCCTGTATTAATTGGGGTCTTATCCCAACTATATAACTTAGGTTATTCTTACCAAGGGCACTGAAGGCCTTCATCTTTCCAAATCCGGTTGTCTATTTTCTGCCCTCCACTTGCTTGAAGTCTCAGCCGCCTTCAACTCAATTAACAATTCTCCCCATAAGTCACTTTTCTTTGGCTTTCCAGATGCATAGAAGTCTCCTCTGCCAGATCCTTCTCCTCTTGTCTGACCTCGAGATGACAAAATCTCCAGGGCTGAGTCATGGCCTTCTTAATTTCTCCATCTGTACCCTTTTTTAGGTGAGCTCAGATCTGACCTGTTTTTCTGAGCTGCAGACTTGTTTATCTAATTGTCTAATTGACATCCACTTGGATGTCTGATAGTTATCCCAGATCTAACATTGGCCAAATCGCTCTTTTTTCCCCCCAAATCTCCCTTGATTTCTCCTTTAAAACCCCCTTCTCAAAGCTATGCTCAAACTAAAATTCTTAGGAGTCATTCTAGATATTTCTTTTTGTTCTTACCCCACTTATTCCATCAGTTCTGTTCTTTCTTTAAAAAATAGTCTGAATCGGCCAGGCGTGGTCTCACGCCTGTAATCCTAGCACTTTGGGAGGCCGAGGCGGGCGGATCATGAGGTCAGGAGTTTGAGACCAGCCTGGCCAATATGGTGAAACCTTGTCTCTACTAATAATACAAAAATTAAGCTGGGCGTGGTGGCACACGCCTTTAGTCCCAGCTACTTGGGAGACTGAGGCAGAAGAACCGCTGGAACCCAGGAGGTGGAGGTTGTAGTGAGCCAAGATCGTGCCACTGCACTCCAGCCTGGGTGACAGAGTGAGACTCTGTCTCAAAAAAACAAAACTCTGAATCGGTCGAGGGGAAGGGGAGGGAGAGCACTAGGATAAATACCTAATGCACGCGGAGCTTAAACCCTAGATGACGGGTTGATAGGTGCAGCAAACCACCATGGCACATGTATACCTGTGTAACAAACCTGCACGTTCAGCACATGTATCCCAGAACTTAAAGTAAAAGAAGAAAAAAAAAAAGGAAAATGGACATTATTAGAAAAAAAAATAGTCTGAATTGTCACTTTGCACCCTGTCACCAGCCTAGGTTAAGACAACAGTCTCACGTAGGCTACTTCGGTTGCCTTCTAACTAGTTTCCTCTTCAGTTGTTGCTCTGTCCCCCACCCACTCTGTTCATTCATCACACTACAGCCATAGTGACCTTTTTAAAACGTAAAATTATATTCCTCCAAAGTAGATATACAAATGGCCAATAAGCACATCAGAAATTGCTCAGCATCATTTGTCATTAGAGAAATGCAAATCAACACCACAATGAGATGCCACCTCACACCCCATTAGGATGGCTGTAATAAAAGATGGGCAGTTTTAAGTGTTGCTGAGGACTTGGAGAAATTGGAACCCTCGTGGTTCTGCTGGGAATATAAAACGTTTCAATCACTTTGGAAAACATTCTGGCAGTTACAACAAAAAGTTAACCTTAGAGTTACCATCTGACTCGGCGATCTACTTTTAGGTGTATACCCAAGAGAACTGAAAACGTGTCCACGCAAAAAACTTGTACAGGAATGATCATAGCAGCATTATTTATAATAGCCAAAGAGTGGAAACAATCCAAATGGCTGTCAGTGGATGAATAGCTAAACAAAATATGGTGTATTCATACAATAGAATATTATTCAGCCATACAAAGGAATGATGTATTGATAAATGCTATGACATGGATGAACATTGAAAACATTATGCTAAGTTGACACAAAGGCCATATATTGTATGGCTTTTTTTTTTTTTTTTTTTTTTTTGAGACAGAGTTTTGCTCTTGTCGCTCAGGCTGGAGTGCAATGGTGCGATCTTGGCTCGGCACGATCTCGGCTCAGCACGATCTCAGCTTACTGCAACCTCCGCCTTTCGGGTTCAAGCGATTCTCCTGCCTCAGCCTCCCAAGTAGCTGGCATTACAGGCATGTGCCACCACGCCTGGCTAATTTTGTATTTTTTGTAGAGATGGGGTTTCTCCTTGTTGGTCAGGCTGGTCTTGAACTCCCAACATCAGGTGATCCGCCCACTTCACCCACCCAAAGTGCTGGGATTACAGGTGTGAGCCACCACGCCCAGTGGTGTATGGGTTCTTTTATATGAAATGTCTAGAACAGGCAAAGCCATAGAGACAGAAAGTAAATTTGTAGTTGGGTAGTGGGCTAAGAGGTAGAGGGTTTCTTTTTGGGGTAATGAGAATGTTCTGGAATTAAATGATGATTGCACAACTCAATATACTAAAAACCAGTGGATTATATACTAAAAAGCGTGAATTTTTTCTGGCGTTTGACTTACATTGCAATAAAACTGTTATAAAAATAGTAAAATTAGGTCACTCCTAATCTCAGGCACTCCCTGCTTAAAATGTATCAGTGGTTTCCTATTATATTTCATATAAAATTCAGATTCCTTATCATGACCTTCAAGACCCTATGCAACCGACCCCTGCCTTCCTCTGATCTCTGCTTCACCCATGTGCTCCAGCCACACAAATCTTACTATTCATTAGAGATGCCACTTTGGTTTGGATGTTCTCATTCATGTCTTCCTTTCTAAAGTGTTTCTTCTCAGTACATATATATTTACTTTTTCCTTCTCATTCACTAGTATATTCCATAAGGGTAGGGATGCTGTCTCACTTACTATACTCCCAACATTTATGACAGATTCTGGCACATGATATCTACTTAATAAATTCTTTTTGAATTAATTAAAAATACTGTAGAGTTTTAGTTATTTTTAGTTATTGGGGTGAAAGGATCACTTGCAGCCAAGAGTTCAAGACCAGCCTGGGCATCATGGTGAGACCGCATCTTTAAAGAAATAAAAAACAGGCCAGGCGCAGTAGCTCACGCCTGTAGTCCCAACACTTTGGGAGGCTGAGGTGGGCGGATCACAAGGTCAGGAGTTCGAGACCAGCCTGGCCAATATGGTGAAACCCTGTCTCTACTAAAAATACAAAAATTAGCTGGGTGTGGTGGTGGGCGCCTGTAGTCCCAGCTACTTGGGAGGCTGGGGCAGGAGAATCACTTGAACCCGGGAGGCGGAGGTTGTAGTGAGCCGAGATCGTGCCACTGCACTCCAGCCTGGGCAAAAGAGCGAGACTCTGTCTCAATAAATAAATAAATAAATAAATAAATAGAAGGAAATAAAAAACAATTAGCCGGGCATGGAGGCATGCTCCTATAGTCCCAGCTACTTGGGAGGCTGAGGCAGGAGGATCACTTGAGCTCAGGAGTTCGAGGCTGTAGTGAGCTATGATCAGGCCACTGCACTCCAGCGTGGGCAACAGAGTAAGACTTTGTCTCTAAAGAAAAGTCACTAGAAATAGACTTACTGACATACACACGCAAAAGGCTATACAGAATCCCCTAAAGAAGCAAACAGTGACAGTGGAGTGGCAAATGGAGACATTGCATTTGAACTTGACAGATTGTTTTTTTGCAGCCAAGTTATCTGTATAGTCTTCTAATTTCACTGTGGTTTTTTATTGATGTTATGATTTTTTCTTTTTCTTTAGGGGCCTTGGACAAGTTGTTACTGACTATGTTCATGGGGATGCCTTGCAGAAAGCTGCCAAGGCAGGGCTTTTGGCACTTTCAGCTTTAACCTTTGCTGGGCTTTGCTATTTCAACTATCACGATGTGGGCATCTGCAAAGCTGTTGCCATGCTGTGGAAGCTCTGACCTTTTTGACTTCATACTTTGAAGAATTGATGTATGCCTCTTTGCCTCTGCTTTGTCATGCCATTAAGCTCACAATAAGGAAGAAATAACAGATAAGTCCATTGGTGGACAGCCTTCTTCTCTTAATCACAAGATTATTTTCAGAATTTAATCTTTGAGGAAAAGGTTTGAGAGGAATTATATCTAAGTTGTGAGACTGAGTTCTATATTCTGGTGAGTTAATGGGGTTGCCTCCCAGCTTCTTATAAGACTCACAGTATAACTAAACATGATATATCAGCTTTTGCCTTTCAATTTATCAATCTCTTAAAGAGAATCCAACTTTATTACGATTAGTATATGATCAAACTTCCATATTTGCCTTGGGAATAATGGACAAAGGGAAATACTCTTAATTCATGAATAAAAACTTTGCAGAAAATTAGACAGTGTTTAATTTTCGAAAACTTCCCTCTCTAGACAGTAGATACCACCTACTGATGGTTACATATACTAGGGAAATTTTAAAATTAGGAAATGCTGATAGCTCATATTATAAATTTCTAAATCCTAGGAAGAAACGCTTGGAGTGCTTCTGAATATACAGAAGTTCCATTTAAGGGCAAGTTTCCCTGTAGATGTATCAAAATACTACCAACTGTAAATTGAGATTTAATTCCCAAATGTATTCTACTTGTTCTAAAACAATCTGTCCACAAATATAAAACTATAAGTAATAAATTGTTATTTTCGCACAATGGGAATCTCTAATGTGAAAATGTATTCTATGAAAATAATTTTTTTAAATAAAATGTTATATAATAAAAGTGTCTTCTATGCTTTTATATATTAGCTATCAGTAGTTTTATTCATTAGAATTAGGTGTCCATTGCATCCACAGCATGAAAACAAAATTGGGTTTTTTTTTTTTTTTGAGACGGAGTCGCACTCTGTCACCCAGGTTGGAGTGCAGTGGCGTGATCTCGGAGCACTGCAAGCTCCGCCTCCCAGGTTCATGTCATTCTCCTGCCTCAGCCCCCCGAGTAACTGGGATTACAGGCACCCACCACCACGCCCAGCTAATATTTTGTATTTTCAGTGGACATGGGGTTTCACCGTGTTAGCAAGGATGGTCTCGAACTGCTGACCTCGTGATCCACCCATCTTGGCCTCCCAGAGTGCTGGGATTACAGGCATGAGCCACCCCGCCCAGCCAAAATTGAGTGTTTAAATTTTCTTCTGGGGCTTAGCAGTTAGGTAAATCAGACACAAAGTACTGGAAAACAAAAAGGACTTGTAATAGGCAGAAAAATACCAAGTGTATAAGTAATTTGGTATAAACAGAGTATAAGGTTTAGTATTTAGGAATAAGAACTATGTCCAGATTATGGTGTTCTGTGAATACCAGCCTTTGGAATTCATATTATGTTCTATGTGTATTTAGTCTGGTCTAAGAGTTGAGTGTAAGGCATGATGCTGTCTTCTATCAATATAGAGTAACTGGGACTAAGCACATTTTACTCACCAAGGACCTTACTGGGAAGCTGAGGCAAAGGAAGAGTATGTGTTTATGAATGTGTACTAGGGGTTAAAGACATGCTCTCCTTGATGTGCCTGTGGTCTTGTAGAGACTCAAGTGTGCATTAGGGTTTAGGAAGAGGTGATTAATTCTGTTTTGGGGTGGGTAAAAGGTTTCAAAAGAGGGTGATGCCTGAATAGCAGTGGCACACCAACAGATAGTGGTGGTGGGACCAGTCCACCCTGGTGGGAGAGAATATATAAACAATATTCTGACATTGTTTAGAATTGCTGATGCTTGATGATGATAAAAAACAAATGGACTAAAAGTCAATTTTATTGTTTTAAAATTCTCTATAGACGATCCCCTCCCCACCTTGTAGTGTCATTCCTTCCCTTCCCTAGCTCTCAGTATACTGCTGCTGTAGAGTGGAGTGATGAAATGGAGTCTTCCATAAAGTCAAAATGGGGATGGCAGTGACTCTGGATAATATGGGAATCCATAGCTATCTCTAGTACCATCAGATCCTAGATATACAAGGCTGTCTAGTGCTAATAAGCTTCATTAGATGGTGAACGAAGTTGGAGTGGAGGCTGGTTGGGCACTGCCTGCCCCATGTCCCTGCTGGTTTGGTCATTAGGATGGAGCTGAGCTGTCTTTGGGAAGTCAGTAGGTTGCTGTGAGCTGCTGGAAAATGAGGCAAGATTCCGGAAGGGTGCTGTGGCTCATGCCTGTAATCCCAGCACTTTGGGAGGCTGAGGCAGTAGGATTGCTTGAGGCCAGGAGTTTAAAACCAGCGTGGGCAACATAGCAAGACCCTGTCTCTACAAAAATACAATAAAACAAAAAAAAGATTAGCCGGGCATCACTGGCAGTGGCATGTGCCTGTAGTTCTAGCTACTTGGGAGGCCGAGGTGGGAGAATTGTTTGAGCCCAGGAGTTTGAGGTTACAATGAGCTATGATCATACCACCGCACTCCAGCTTAGGTGACAGAGTGAAATCTTGTCTCTTTAAAAAAAAAAAAAATCCAAGGGCTAACAGCAATAGTAGTTTCTGACGGTAAGCAGGACATGATCAGAACTGTGCTTTAGAAATAATTTGGGTACCATTAGGTGGGTTAATAAGCTAGAGGTAGAAGGACATGTGAGGGGATAGAGACAGAATAAAGGGCCTGAACTTTGAGAGTAGCAGTGGAAGTAGGAGTCAATCTCAAAAGGTATTGTAGAAGTCAAAAACATTAATTCATTCATTTGATAGATACTAAGTACCTCATGTAATCAGCACTGTGCCAGGTACTGTGGATAACGATAAAATTTTACCTGCCTTTGAAGGGAATTCATAGTCTAATTGGGGCAACAGAAGAATGACTGCAATACGGTGTAGTAAGTGCAGTGATGGTGAAGCACGTCATGCGCTGTGATGTAACAAAGGGTGCAGTAAGGATTTGCCTGCAAGTTTCCTGGAAGAGAAGATTTGTAACCTGGGTTTTGAAAGATAAGGAGCTGACAGTGGCTGGGGAAGCTGGGATGAGGTGTAGGGTTGACTGGAGGATGGCAGATCAAGCAAAAGATGATATGTAGTTTGGTATGACCCAGCACAGGGAGGGACTGATTGTAGAGGACCTTATATGCCACGATAAGTAATTGAAACTTTATCTTTTTTTTTTTTTTTTTGAGACAGAGTCTGACTCTGTGGCCCAGGCTGGAATGTAGTGGCGCGATCTTGGCTCACTGCAACCTCTGCCTCCCATACTCAAGACATCCTCCCACCTCAGCCTCTTGAGTAGCTGGGACTACAGGCACATGCCACCATCCCTGGCTAATTTTTGTATTTTTTGTAGAGATGGGGTCTTGCTCTGTTGCCCAGGCTGGTCTCAAACTCCTGGCCTCAAGTGATTCACCCACCTCCGCCTCCCAAAGGGCTGGGATTTCAGGCGTGAGCCACTGTGCCTGGCCTGCGACTTTATCTTGACAGCAATATGGAGTTACTGAAGACTTAATTATGCAAACGGCATGATCCAATTTTTATTTTAAATAGGTTTTGCTGACAGCTATGTAAAGAATGGATTTGTGGGAGGTAAGCATGGAAACAGATTATTTTAGTGACCCAGAAAAGAAATAATGAATTGTGAAGGCAATTGTAGCTAGAATGAAGGAGAGAACAAATTTAAGAAATATTTAGAACTTAGAATCAATGAGAGTTATACTAAGATGTGAACGCTTGAGGGAGGAAGGAGCTTTGCTCAATTTTTTGTTGTAAATAGGTGGATGGGAGGTAGTGTCATTAAAGAAAAATGTTGAAGGAAAATTAGATATGGTACTGGAATCAGTAACTACTGAAGTTTTGGATTTGTGAGACGGCTAGGAAGAGATAGAATTTGTAGACTTCTATTTTTTGGCAATATGGCAGACTCAATTTTAGAAAGTATTTACTTTGATATGAAGCCTGTTAGAATGTTAAACAAGAACACCTTTAAAAATATTTCATTTATTTATTTGGGACGGAGTTTCACTCTTGTTGCCCAGGCTGGAGTGCAATGGCATGATCTCGGCTCACTGCAACCTCCGCTTCCTGGGTTCAAGCGGTTCTCCTGCCTCAACCTCCTGAGTAGCTGGGATTACAGGTGCCCACAACCACACCTGGCTAATTTTTGTATTTTTAGTAGAGATGGGGTTTCAGCTATGTTGGCCAGGCTGGTCTCAAAACTCCTGACCTCAGGTGATCCACCCACCTCGGCCTCCCAAAGTGCTGGGATTACAGACCACTGCACCCGGCCAAAACATATTATTTAGTTTGCAAAAAGAAATCTTCTGGAGCCAGACCAAAGTAAGTCTGCAGCTAGGGAGGTAAGCAAGTGCTTAGGGTATCAGTTGCCCCTAAGAGTATCTACTAAGCCCAGGTGGCCCAGAGTTCTAGTCTTCTTCTTCTTATTATTATTATTATATATATATTTTTGAGACAGAGTCTCGCTCTGTCACCCAGGCTGGAGTGCAGTGGTGCGATCTTGGCTCACTGCAAGCTCCGCCTGCCAGGTTCACACCATTCTCCCACCTCAGCCTCTGGAGTAGCTGGGACTACAGGCGCCTGCCACCATGCCCGGCTAATTTTGTTTTCATATTTTTAGTAGAGACGGGGTTTCACCGTGTCAGCCAGGATGGTCTTGATCTCCTGACCTCATGATCCGCCTGCCTCGGCCTCCCAAAGTGCTAGGATTACAGGCATGAGCCACCACGCCTAGCCATTATTATATTTTTTTGAGTCAGAATCACGCTCTGTTGTCCAGGTTGGAGTGCAGTGGCGTGATCAAACTCACTGCAGCCTTGATCTCCTGTGCTCAAGTGATCCTCCCACCTCAGCCTTCTGAAAGTAGCTGGGATTACAGACTTGTGCCACCATGCCTAGCTAATTTTTTTGATTTTTAGTAGAGATGAGGTCTCACTGTGTTGCCCAGGCTGGTCTCAAACTCCTGAGCTCAAGTAATCCACCTGCCTTTGCCTCCCAAAGTGCTTGCATTATATGCTTGCGCCACCATGTCTGGCCGGATTCTAGTTTTAAGAAGGTGGCACATAGGCCAGGAGAAAAGCTTAGGGCTCAAACCAGGGAGTTAGAATGAAGATTCCCCTAAACCAAGAACCATAAAGAGTTTTGCCCTCAGAGAAAGGGTGAATTAGAAAAAATGATATTTGCTCACACCTGTAATCCCAGCACTCTGGGAGGCCGAGGCGGGTGGATCATCTGAGGTTGGGAGTTCGAGACCATCCTGACCAACAGAGAGAAACCCTGTCTCTACTAAAAATACAAAAAAAAAAAAAAAAAAAAGGGCCGGGCGTGGTGGTGGGTGCCTGTAATCCCAGCTACTCGGGAGGCTGAGGCAGGAGAATTGCTTGAACCCGGGAGGCAGAGGTTGCGGTGAGCTGAGATCACACCATTACACTCCACCCTGGGCAACAAGAGTGAAACTCCATCCCCCCCAAAAGAAAAACTGATATTTATCTGAAAAAGCAGAGAGCAGAGCAATGTGTGTATCTTGCCTTGGCTCAGGTTGGAGGAAAGAGTCTCTTCTGAGAATGTGTGGCTAAGAGCCAGTCCTCATGCCAGTTTGGAGTCCGAGTTCAAGTTACCTGCATATCTAAAAAGGTTACATGGGGCAAATTTAACTTTGACCTAGGTTTGTAGGGCATGGTAGTCAGCACAAATCCTCACCAGAGAGAGAAGGGTTACCCCAACACAAGCTTCAAAAATCCCCATAAAGTTCCAGTGAACGTGAACTGTCAGCAAAAATCACAGTACTGGAATGTCCTGAGCAAGAGTCAGCACAAATAAACAGAACCATACCCACAAAGAATTCAGACCCTGGAATTTTCAGATACACATTATAAACATAAGATGAGATATAAGTCTAAATATAAGTCAGCTTTCTGCTCAGGGATCAGAAAGCTTTTGGAGAGAGTGGTATATACTTGATGTTATCGTCTCAATTCATAGAATCTTAAAAAGTAGATGTCTACTTAGGAGAGTTTTCTCCTCTGGACACCTGATAATGAGTGTCAGGGTCAATTCCCAGTGGGGCTGAATGTTCAGTTTCTGAGACCTAAGCACCACTGTGAAGCATGTATCCATGACTATGGGCCTGGAGCTTCAGAACGGTGTCTATGAGATTAAAATACCCAAATGGTCATTTCCAATGTGGTTCTAACTCTAACTTTCATCAGTGACTGTTTCTAAACTAGTCTTCCAGGCCAGGTGCAGTGGCTCATGCCTGTAATCCCAGCACTTTGGGAGGCCGAGGCAGGCGGATCGCCTGAGGTCAGGAATTCGAGACCAGCCTGGCCAACATGGTGAAACCCTGTCTCTACCAAAATATACAAAAATTAGCCGGGTGTGGTGGCATGCGCCTGTATAGTCCTAGCTACTTGGGAGATTGACGCGGGAGAATTGCTTGAACCCAGGAAGTGGAGGTTGCAGTGAGCTGAGATTGCGCCACTGCACTCCAGCTTGGGTGACAGAGTGAGACCCTGTCTCAAACATATAAATATAGGGCCTGGCACAGTGACTCACGCCTGTAATCCCAGCACTTTGGGAGGCTGAGGCAGGTGGATCACCTGAGGTCAGGAGTTTGAGACCAGCCTGGCCAACATGGTGAAACCCCGTCTCTACTAAAAATACAAATATTAGCCTGCCATGGTGGCTTATGCCTGTAGTCCCAGCTACTCAAGAGGCTGAAGCAGGAGAATTGCTTGAACCCGGGAGGCGGAGGCTGCAGTACGCCAAAATCATGTCACTGCACTCCAGCCTGGGCAACAGAGTGAGACTCAGTCTCAATAAATAATAATATAATATAATATAAATATAAATAAAAAACTAGTCTTTCAGTTGTAGATTATGCTGGTGATGATGGGAGACACAATGTATCTATTGGTATTCTTTTGAGAAACAGAGTTTGTAAATTGGGCATAAGACTATGTATATGAGATTCATTTTTGAAAAAATACAAGATTACTACATACCAAGGATGAAATCTGTTACGGGATGTGTCAAGCCCAGCCTCATAGAGTGTTTCTATAATAGTTTAATATGAAAGCTTATGAAGATTTTAAGAAGTAAATTGCAATATCATCAGGCCTATGTATAAAACTTAAAAACGTAAAACTAAGGGAGGCTGGGCGCGGTGGCTCATACCTGTAATCCCATCACTTTGGGAGGCTGAGGCGGGCGTATTATGAGGTCAGGAGTTCGAGACCAGCCTGGCCAATATGGTGAAATCCTGTCTCTACTAAAAATACAAAAATTAGCCGGGTATGGTGGCATGAGCCTATAGTCCCAGCTACTCGAGAGACTGAGGCAGGAGAATTGCTTGAACATGGGAGGTGGAGGTTGCAGTAAGCCGAGATGTGCCACTGCACTCCAGCCTGGGCTACAGAGCAAGACTCTGTCTCAAAAAACAACAACAACAACAAAAAAACCAAAAAAAAAATAATAAGGGAAAGCTGTAGTCTACCAGAAATGTTATAAACTATTATTAAAAAGTTTTTTTTTTTTTTTTTGAGATGGAGTCTTGCTCTTTCACCCAGGCTGGAGTGCAGTGGTGCAATCTCAGCTCACTGGAACCTCTGCCTCTGGGTTCAAGAGATTCTCCTGCCTCAGCCTCCCGAGTAGCTGGGATTACAGGCACCCGCCACCACGCCTGGCTAATTTTTGTATTTTTATTAGAGACAGGGTTTCACCATGTAGGCCAGGCTGGTCTTGAACTCCTTGCCTCAAGTGATCCGCCTGCCTTGGCCTCCCAAAGGATTACAGGCGTGAGCCACTGCACCCAGCCTCAAATGGTCTTTAATGTTGGTGTTTCTTTGTATATTTGTTCTGGATTATTATAATTAAAATGAACAATACATTGATATGATTAATAAATTAATGCATTGATATGATAAATAAAATGAGTAAGCCTCTTAGGTAAGACTTTTTTGACTAGTACTTTATAAAGTTTGAGCCAGTTTGTCCCTGTCAATTGAGCTATTATTATATTATTATTTTTGCAGCATGAAAATTATTGAGCTGGAGGTAGTTTGGGAGAAACCAAGCAGTATGAAACAGTCTTGACAAAACCAATGTCCTTCCTCTTATCCACCCTTCTACCCCCAATGAGGGCAGAGTGTTGTATTTTAATCCCTCTTATATACAGAAATCAGATTGAACAACTATTGTTATAATACCAACGCTGGTAAAGCTAGAAAGGGCTGTTTGTATAAGGTGGCGGCCTTTTTTTTTTTTTTTTTGAGACGGAGTCTTGCTTTGTCACCAGGCTGGAGTGCAGTGGCACGATCTTGGCTCACTGCAATCTCTGCCTCCTGGGTTCAAGCAATTCCCCTGCCTCAGCCTCTTGAGTAGCTGGGATTACAGGCACCCACTACCATGCCCTGCTAATTTTTTGTGTTTTAGTAGAGACGGGGTTTCACTATGTTGGCCAGGATGGTCTCGATCTCCTGACCTCGTGATCCACCCGCCTCAGCTTCCTAAAGTGCTGGGATTATAGGTGTGAGCCACCGTGCCCGGCCAAGGTAGCAGGCTTTAAAGCATGACCTTTAGCATGCACTTTATTCTTAATGACTGAAATTTGCTTTGGGTGTTGGAGTATCTTTAGTAAGTCATTAGTTTCTTTTCCATTTTTGATTCAGTTGTCTGAGGAAGTTAGGAAACCCCTTTGTTTGCACAATGTGCTGAAATCACAAGCAATCCTGAAAGTTCATCTGTAGACAATATGGATGTTAACTCTTAATCCTTTAGCGTGATGGCGTGTTCTTAATAGAGCTATCAGTTTAGCTGTCTAAGCTGTTGCTTATAAAGTATTCCAAAATGGAATATTTCAAAGTTATAGCATATTTGGTGCAAAGTATACCTTGATTCATTTTTAATTATGAGTCATAATCAAAAGGCAATATATCAGGGTTGTACAGGAGAACATCAGTCAAATCAAGACTGGGCATGCTTAGATTTTAAATATTGGACAATATTGAGATTCCTCTTCATCAGGAAGGGGAAATAGGGCAGCTAGATTTAGATTGGAGCAGTATTTAACAGCTAAAAAGGAAGCAGACAAATAATATAGAAGGTAATGAGCTTGTAATGAGTCCCTAGTTTTGAGTAAACATCACTAAAACAACCAGTCTGTCTTTTTTTTTTTTTTTTTGAGATGGAGTTTTGCTCTTGTCTACGCTGGAGTGCAATAGCACTATTTTGGCTCACTGCAACCCCCACCTTTCGGGTTTAAGCAATTCTCCTGCCTTGGCCTCCTGAGTAGCTGGGATTACAGGTGTGCGCCACCACACCTGGCTAATTTTTGTATTTTTAGTAGAGACGGGGTTTCACCATGTTGGTCAGGCTGGTCTCAAACTCCTGACCTCAGGTGATTCACCCACCTTGGCCTCCCAAAGTGCTAGGATTACAGGCATGAGCCACCGCACCCAGCTGACAACCAGTCTTTCATGTACAAACAATGAGAAGGCTTTAGCATAGTTAGGAAATGCCCAAGTTCGAGATGATTTTGAGAGGTTATTATTTAAGAAAGAAAATGCCTGTTGAACATTTGTATCCTATGGGCAGAGCTGTGAGTTATTAAGTGAACTCATACAGTGTTTTAGTTAATCTAAATAAGTAAACTACCAAACATGTCTAATTATATTTAGTATCTCTCCTTTCATGAGATAATAAAACATTATGGCCATCCGGGTCACTCCAAAGAAAGTTTAGATGTAAAAGGCCTCTTAATAATTCAATCATTCTTCATTTAGGTCTTAAGTTAGGAAATTAAGAAAATTGTCAAAGAAAATTGGCTTAAATATATGCATAAGTCAGGGTGGGCGCGGTGGCTCACCCCTGTAATCCCAGCACTTTGGAAGGCCAAAGTGGGCAGATCACGAGGTCAGGTGTTCAAGACCAGCCTGGCCAATATGATGAAACCCCGTCTCTGTTAAAAATACAAAAATTAGCCGGGCATGGTGGTGCGTGCCTGTAGTCTCAGCTACTTGGGAGGCTGAGACAGACGAATCTCTTGAACCAGGGAGGTGGAGGTTGCAGCGAGCTGAGATCATGCCACTACACTCCAGCCTGAGTGACATAGCGAGATTCTGTCTCAAAAAATATATATATATATATATAGAGAGAGAGAGAGAGAGAGAGAGAGAGAGAGATGCATAAGTCATAAATACCAAAATACAAGAAAACATCTTGCTTTAAAGTGACAATATGCACAATAGGAGGGTTTTTTTTAAGAACTGAGGAGCTTTTGGTTAGATTGATTCAAGAGTGTGATGACAAAGGTACAAAAACTTTATTTAAAGATTGAACTTATTCTGTATTACGAATTTTCTCTTTAAAAATGGTTTATGAGCTTTTTTTGGCTACTAATCTTAATATTTCATTATATGTGTATGGTTATATATATACAAATAGATGGTATTTTAAAGCTTTTGACTAGTTTTTTTTTTTGGAGACAGAGTCTCCCTTTGTCGCCCAGGCTGGAGTGCAGTGGCACAGTCTCTGCTCACCGAAGTCTCCACCTCTTGGGTTCAGGCAATTCTCCTAACTCAGCCTCCCAAGTAGCTGGGACTACAGGTGAGAGCCACCATGCCTGGCTAATTTTTGTATTTTTAGTAGAGACGGAGTTTCACCATGTTGGCCAGGCTGGTCTTGAACTCCTGTCCTCAAGTGATCTGCCTGCCTCGGCCTCCCAAAGTGCTGTGATTACAGGCATGAGCCACTGCATCCGGTCTTGACTAGCTTTAAAATACGGTTAACCTTGTTAGCATAGTATGTAAGCAAGCACATGTATCTTATTGAATTTTTTGCCTTAGTAAACTAAAAATTCTCTTGATAAATAGACAAAACATATCCATTTTCAAGTATATATATGTATATATATAGCAACAACTATATCTAGTGTAGTCTTTTTTTTTTTTTTTTGAGATGGAGTTTTGCTCTTGTTGCCCAGGCTGGAGTGCAATGGCACAATCTTGGCTCACCGCAACCTCCACCTCCTGGGTTCAAGCAATTCTCCTGCCTCAGGCTCCCGAGTAGCTGGGATTACAGGCATGCGCCACCACATCTGGTGGCTAATTTTGTATGTTTAGTAGAGACGGGGTTTCTTTATGTTGATCAGGCTGGTCTCGGAACTCCCGACCTCAGGTGATCCGCCCGCCTCGGCCTCTCAGAGTGCTGGGATTACAGGCGTGAGCCACTGCGCCCAGGCTATCTAGTGTAGTCTTAATCATAGACATTAGTTACAATCATTAACTACAGCAATAAATTTGTTTCCTCACAGACAAGAGAAAACCATCAGGCAGGTGACTAAGAGCTGACACACAGAGTACCTTCATAAACACTAATATCACCCAAAGGCATAGGGACATTCTCTTAAGCATGCTAATTGATGCTCAATATATATAAAAATACAGTTAAAGGCATAATAAAACTAGATTGGTGACCTATGCTTTGTATTTTCTAGCTTACCTAGAAATTGTCCAGGTGTCTAAGGATGATTTACTAATTAACTTAAATAATAGGAGGGGAAAGAGAAGAAATACAGGGTAAATGGCCCCAAATAAGATGGTAAAAAAGAAAACCAGATATGGCACTAATCTCTGACAGAATAAATGGGTTAAATCTACTGGTCAAATTATAGATATCAGGTGAGATAAAACAAAATACAGCTATATACTATATAAGAGATATGATTAAAATATAAGGACGTAAAAAGGGCAAAAGGGATAAAAATGGATATTCTTTCAATACAAACCAAAAGAAAGCTGGTATATATGTATTTATATCATTCAAAGTAGACTTTAGGGCAAAAAGCATTATTAAATATAGAGTCAGGCTGGGCATGGTGAGTCATGCCTGTAGTGGCAATTTGGGAGGCCAAAATTGTTGGATCTCTTGAGGCCAGAAGTTCAAGACCAGCCTGGGCAACAAAGCGAGACTCCGGTTCTATAAAAAAATGAAAATAATAAAAAATTTGCCTGGTTCAGTGGCACATGCCTGTAGTCTCAGCTACTTGGGAGGCTGAGGCAGGAGGATTGCAGGAGCCCAGGAGTTTGAAGTTGCAGTGAGTTATGATCAGCTATTACACTCCAGTCTGGATGACAGACTGAGACCCTGTCTCAAAAAAATAAAAGTCATTACATTACAATAAAAATTCACCAATATGTTATAACAGTCTTGACCTTTATGTACCTGATAATAGCCTCAAAATTTCTAAAACAAAATGACAGAATTCCAGAAGAAAGCATGGAAAATTTCAGGTGTATTTCAGAGGTGGACAGATTAGTTAAAAAAATTAACGACATATTTAAACAATAAAATATTTAACAATAAAAGTAACAAGTTTGATTTAGCGGACATATGTAGAACTTTGTACCTACCCGTAAGAGAATATATGTTCTTTTGAAAAACATACCTGACCATGTATATAGACTACAATAAAAAAAAAAAAAGCCTCAACAAATACTGATGAGTATCACACAGAACGACTTGAGGAGGGGCTCAGGATGCAAGATGTATCTAGTACTTTCTTCTTCTACCAGGAAGATCAAAAATAATGAGTAATGTGTCATCTAAGAGAGAACACTGGAATCCAACAGAGAACTTACAGAAAACACCAGTAGCAAGGAAGGAGAAGGAAGCGAGGAAGTCTGCTCAGCTGGGGTCATCTGGGAACCTATAGAGGCTCCCTTAATGCGGAGAAAGGGTAAGTGAAAGACCCCCAAATGTCCACATTCCCACCATGGTTCCCTGCAATCCTAGCTATAGGAGAGTCCCTTGACCTTTGTGGTCCCTGAGACTAATATAGGGAGCTGCCCGGAGACCACATAACAGCATTGCTCCACAGAGGGAGCTCATGCTGAGTCCTACAAACTCCAAAGTCCTTAAGCAGTGGCAGTTGCCAACCCCCAGCAGACTGAATCCTGCCTTAGGGTCCAACAGCCTCCGCATCTCCACATCCCTGGAGCCCCATTGACATTCCCTATCCACAGCTGCTACCCATGGAAATGCAAGCAGCCTTCTCAGTGCTTTTGTGGCAATCTCAGGATATTCTGCCTTGACTTTAATACAGACTATATGAAGATTTGAAGTTTTCTCAAACATACTTTTAAGGCTACCGTCATTTGCAATCTCAAGCAGTTGATCCTCTTCTAGCATAGACAAAGTCGATTCACTTGGCTTATCCACAAATGGGTCATGGACCCATTCCTTGCCAGTTTGGGGGGTCTTTAGCGGTTGGGAAGTAGCTCTCAAACTCTCTTGAAAGCTGAGATAGGTGATCAGGCACCAGTTGGGGGAAAGAAGGCCCTGGCTTGGTCTCTCAAAATCTCTGCTAATGTTTGAAACATGTATAAAATCCCAATGTTCACTTATCAGCCCCATAATTTTAGTTTGGCTTTGAATGCAACCGCTTTATCTGCCAACTTGAACACAGTTGTTGTTCTCCAATGAAGTGATAGATTGAGTTCGTTGAGCAGGTTGAATATGTCACACAAGTAAGCAAGTTTTGTGACCCATTCTGTGTCACTGAAATGTGCTGCCAGATTTCCTTTCCTGAAAGAAATCTCTGGAGCGGCTCTCATAACTCAAAAACTCTGGCTAGTGATCTACCTTTAGAAAGCCATCTCACTTCTGGCCGGACAGGGTGGCTCACGCCTGCAATCCCAGCACTTTGGGGGCCGAGGTGGGTGGATCACAAGGTCAAGAGATCGAGACCATCCTGGCCAACATGGTGAAATCCCGTCTCTACTAAAAATACAAAAATTAGCTGGGCGTGTTGGTGTGCACCTGTAGTCCCAGCTACTTGGGAGGCTGAGGCGGAAGAATTGCTTGAACCTGGGAGGCGGAGGTTGCAGTGAGTCGAGATTGTGCCACTGCACTCCAGCCTGGCGAGAGAGCAAGAATGCGTCTCAAAAAAAAAAAAAAAAGAAAGAAAGAAAGAAAGAAAGCCATCTCACTTCTGTGTATAAGAGAAGAGGTGTGTGTTCTGCTTCCATCTCCTCACAAAGCTGTGCGAACAGATGTGAGTTAAGGGCATGTGCTTTGATGTTGATAATTTTAATCACATCCTGCAAAATGTTATTATGTTCAGGTGACATTTTTGGCCAGCCAGAATTTCTCTATGGATGACACGGAGCGTAGACTCACATTTAGAAGCTACCTCTTTGACCCAAGAAGTGAAATCAGAAAGCCGTCCAGTCATGGCAGCCGCCCCCTCTGTGTATATACCGACACAAAATGACCAATTCAGATTTCCTGATACGTAGTCATTCAAATACTTGGATAGTTCTGCAGCTGGGGTGTTGGTTGGCAAGAAAAGCACACAAAACATCCTCGTGCACATCCTCTTGAAAAATATATTGCACGAAAACAAGCATTGTTGCCTTGTTGTCAGCAATGGTAGACTTGTCAATCTGGATTGTGTACCACAGTGACTCATTAATCCTCTCTAAAAATTGTGCCTCGATATCCTCTGCTATTTCATCAATTGGTCTAGTTATGGTACTGACTGGAAGAGGAACATGTGGCACCTTTTGAACTGCAGCCTCTCCTAAAAGTTCATAACAAATGTCCTTAGCAGCAGGCAGGATCAACTCTTCCCCAATAGTAAAGGGCTTCTTAGCTTTAACAATGCAGTTAGCCACTAAGAATGATGCTCTCACTGCAGACACATTTGACAAAGTGGTGGCCTTCAATAATGGCCTTCAGTAGTGGTGGCTTCTGTTCTTTGTGTTCACGTTTTGTTTTCTTTTGAAAAACTCCAAAGCTTGTCTTTTAATGCAGGGTGATTTGTTTCCATGTGGCAAAGCAGTTTTGAAAGTTTCATGGCTCTTTTGGATAGTTGGTCACCACATATTATACAAAGCAGGCTTGGAGAATATGAATCACCTGTTGCAATGAACCCATAATTTAAGTAGGACTCTTGGTATTTTCTTTTAAATGCATTTTTCTTTTTTTGTTAGTGTTAGAGTCTTCTGCTGTCTCCTCATTGGGTCTTTCCCCTTTTCAAAGAAGCTCTCCATTGACATTTGGTTTTCACTCATTTTAGCTAGAGCTAGCCTGTGGGTTTACCAAAACTGTGACTGATACAAGTTGCGCAGTGCTCCTCCCTCAGCCTCCCAAGTAGCTGGGATTACAGGCACTTGTCACCACACCTGGCTAATTTTTGTATTTTGAGTAGAGACAGGGTTTCACCATGTTGGCCTGGTCTTGAACTCTTGACCTCAAGTGATCCACCAACCTTGGCCTCCCAAAGTGCTGGAATTACAGGTGTGAGCTACCGCGCCCGGCCTTGATTTGCATTTTTTCTGATGCTCAGTATTGTTGAGCACCTTTTCTTATGCCTGTTTTCTATTTATATGTCTTCTTTTGAGAAATGTGTATTCAAATTTTTTGCCCGTTTTAAAATCGATTATTAGATTTTTTTCCTTTAGAGTTGTTTGAACTCCTTTATATATTCTGGTTATAAACTTCTTGTCATACGGGTAGCTTGCAAATATTTTCTTTCATTCTATAGGTTGTCTTTTCACTTTGTTGATTGTTTCTTTTGCTATGCAGAAGCTTTTTAGTTTGTAATAATCCCATTTGTTTATTTTTGCTTTTGTTGCCTACGCTTTTGAGGTCTTATTCTTAATATCTTTTCCAAGACCAATGTTCTAAAGTATTTCCCCTATGTTTTCTTCTAGTAGTTTTGTTGTTTTGCGTCCAACATTTAGGTCTTTGATCAATTTTGAGTTGACTTTTGTATAGGGTGAGAGGCGGGGGGAGTGTCTAGTCTCATTTTTCTGCATATGGATGTCCAGTTTTCCCAGCACCATTTATTGAAGTGACTGTGCTTTCCCCAATGAGTATTCTTGGTGACTTTGTAAAAAATCAGTTGGTTGTAGAGATGTGGATTAATTTCTGGATTTTCTATTCTGTTCTATTGGTCTATGTGTCAGTTTTTATACTGCTACCATACTGTTTTGGTTACTACAGCTTTGTACTGTATTTTGAAGTCTGGTAGTGTGATGCCTTTAGCTTTGTTCCTTTTGCTTAGAATTGCTTTAGCTATTTGTGCTCTTTTGTGGTTCCATACAAATTTTAAGATTTTTTTTTTATTGCTGTGAAGAATAGCATTGGTATTTTGATGGGGATTTCATTGAATCTGTAGACTACTTTGGGATGTATGGTCATCTTAAAAATATTAATTCTTCTGATCCATGAACATGGGAGGTCTTTCCATTTGTTTGTATCCTTTTTATTCATCAATGTTTTGTAGTTTTCCTTGTAGAAGTTTTTCACCTCTTTGGTTAAATTTATTCCTAGGTATTTTATTTTATTTTTTTTTTGGTAGCTATTGTAGATGGGATTGCCTTCTTGATTTCTTTTTCAGCTAGTTCATTGCTTATGTACAGAAATGCTACTGATTTTTGTGGGTTGATTATATATCCTACAAATTAACTGAATTTATCAGTTCTATGAGTTTTTTGGTGGAGTCTTTAGGTTTTTCTATATATAAGATCATGTCATCTGCAAACAGACAATTTGGCTTCCTCCTTTCCAATTTGAACTTCTTTTATTACTTTCTCTTGCCTAATTGCTCTGGCTAAATCTGTATATAATTTTGGAAAGTATTGCCATCTTTACTACATTTAGTTTTGTTTTTTTTTTTTTCAGACGGAGTTTTGCTCTGTCGCCCAGGCTGGAGCGCAGTGGCATGATCTCGGCTCACTGCAACCTCCGCCTCCCAGTTTCAAGCAATTTTCCTGCCTCAGCCTCCCAAGTAGCTGGGATTACAGGCGCGTGCCATCATGCCTGGCTAATTTTTGTATCTTTAGTAGAGACGGGGTTTCACCACGTTGACCAGGCTGGTCTCGAACTCCTGACCTCAGGTGATCCACCCGCCTCAGCCTCCCAAAGTGCTGGGATTACAGGCGTGAGCCACCGTGCCCGACCTACCTTTAGTCTTCTTGATCAAGAGTATTTCTCCATCTGTTTTAGGGTTCTTTTTTTTTTCTAAATAGTTTTATCATTTTTCTGAGTGACTCTTTTATTACTAAATTAGGTTATTCCCAATATGACCTTTCTATTAGAAATGGGATTTAAAAGATTATGCTTTCTAACTTATATCACTTATATATTGAAGTAAAATTATTTTTTATGGATGTATGTAATGTTTTGCAATTTTGCAGAATTTACTTATTTGCTGATAAATCTTTAGTTTCAAAAATTTTTATTATATACAAGCCAGGTATGGTAGCTCATGCTTGTAATCCTAGCACTTTAAGAGGCTGAAACACAAGGATTACTTGAGCCTAGGAGTTTGAGACCAGCCTGGACAAGATAGTGAGACACCATCTCTACAAATTTTTTTTTTTTTAAATTAGCTGGGCATGTGGTCCTAGCTACTCAATAGGCTAAGGCAGGAGGATTACTTGAGGCTGGAGTTTGAGGTTATAGTGAGCTATAATCACACCACTGCACTTCAGCCTGGGCAACAGAGTAAGAACTTGTCAAACAAAACAAAACTTTTGTTATATACAAATGGCCAATAAGCACATGAAACGATATTCAAAATCACTAATCATTAGGTAAATACAAATCAAGACTACAAACAAGATAGCACTTCACACCCATTAGGATGGATATATTTAAAAAATTAAAAAACAGAAAATAACGTGTTGGTAAGGATGTGAAGCAACTGGAACCCTTGTGCAATGTTGGTGGGAATGTGAAATACTGTGAGCTCTGTGGAAAACAGTATGATGATTCCTCAAAAAGTTAACAATAAAATCACCATATGATGCAGTAATTTAACTTATGGGTATATGCCCCAAATAACAGATAACAGAATCTCAAAGAGATATTTGTACACCCATGTTCATAGCAGCATTATTTACAATAGCTAAAACATAGAAGCTACCCAAGCATCCATTGATAGATAAACGGATAAGCAAAATGTGGTCTATACGTACAATGGGATATTATTCTGCCTTAAAAAGGATGGTTGTAATCCCAGCACTTTGGGAGGCCGAGGCAGGCGGATCACGAGGTCAAGAGATCAAGGCCATCCTGGCCAACATGGCGAAACCCCGTCTCTACTAAAAATACAAAAATTAGCTGGGCATGGTGGCAGGTGCCTGTAAACCAGCTGCTTGGGAATCTGAGGCAGGAGAATCGCTTGAACCTGGAAGGCGGAGGTTGCAGTAAGCCGAGATCGCGCCATTGCACTCCAGCCTGGGCAAGACTCTGTCTAAAAAAATATAAATAAATAAATAAATAAATAAATAAATAAATAAATAAATATTTAAAATAAATAATTAAATATATGATATATATGTTTGCATATATAATGTAAATTATATATTAGTGGTGTGATCATAGCTCGCTATAACCTCAAACTCCATACTCTCTCTCTCTCTATATATATATATGTATATATGTAATATTTTGCAATTTTGCAGAATTTACTTATTTGCTGATAAATCTTTAGTTTTAAAATATATATATATATATATATATATATATATAGAGAGAGAGAGAGAGAGAGAGAGAGAGAGAGAGAGAGAGACCTAGACCACAAGAGCAGATTTTGATAAACTAGTCCTGAAGTATCTCTTTCTTTCCACTAGGGGGAGCAGATTTCCTGCTTCTCATCCAGTCTCTCCTTCACCGGAGGTTGCACCCTTTTCCCCCAACTCCAAAAAAAGAAAAATCACGCTTCTATAGCTGAGATTTTTTTCTTTTCCTTTTTTCTTTCTTTCAATCACATGAATTTCAAAAAACTATTGGAAGAACTGTCTAATTCTCACTTGTGTGTAAAAAAAAAAAAAGAAAAAGGAAAAAAAAATTTTACAAATCAAAAAACTGTTGGGCAGAAAGTTTGGGGAAACTAACCAGAATTCAAGTGTAACCCTGGTGTGATTTAGAGTTAGGGGAGAGAACAAGGAAAATCTTACTAGGGCTCCATTTTTAAAAAATCACAATTCCTCATGTAGTAGATTAGCTGAGACTAACAGAAAACCAGGAAATAGAAGCAAAAGGGAGATGCAGCTTCAGCAGAGCCGAAGTACACCAAGTGAAAAATGGCTAGAAACTGGGAATGAGGCTGGGACACATGCACATGACCTGCCCTCCAGATAGAGACTTTATTTGTTTTGACTGATTGATTGACACAGGTTCTTGCTCTGTCACCTGGGCTGGAGTGCAGTGGCACAATCATGGCTCACTGTAACCTTGAACTCCTGGGCGCCCGTGATCCTCTTGGCTCAGCCTCCCAAGTAGCTAGGGCTACAGGTGCACACCACCACGCTGGGCTAATTTCTGTATTTTTTGTAGAGGTAGATCTTGCTATGTTGCCAAGGCTGCAGGTACAGATTTTAAAGGAGGATTCAACCATCCAGCTATCAGACAGAAAGCAGAACCAAAGGAAATCCTCACTCACTCTGCTTGGTAACAAACACTGAATCTGAATAGCTATCACCCTGTTCAAAATTGAGCACGGAGAAAAAAAAATCAGCATGGGACCTATTAAAAAAACAAAACAAAACTATAAAACAAGTGAAAGAAAAAAGTATAATAGAGGTTCAGAAGTTTTGCATAGGTCCAAATGATTTTTTGCGGAAGCCAGGAAAAAGTTCTAGGAAATTGTTGGGTATCTTAAGTGGAAGTGAGTGAGTCATGAGCTCTGTAACAGAAGAAGATGAAGGTAGGCTAAGATGGAAGATAAACTAGGTGTGATGAAAGAGGAAAAAGAAAAGGAAGGGTTGAAAGGAAATGAAAAACACAGGATAAGGAGTAAAAAAGCAAAATTAATTCTGTCAAATTAAAATTAGCAAAGGAAGACAAATGTAAATAAATTTCTCAGGCCAGGCACGGTGGCTCATGCCTGTAATTCCCGCATTTTGGAAGGCCGAGGCAGGCGGATCACCCGAGGTCAGGAGTTCAAGACCAGCCTGGCCAACATGGTGAAACCCCCGTCTCTAATAAAAATACAAAAAATTAGCTGGGTGTGGTAGTGGGCACATGTAATCCCAGCTACTTGGGAGGCTGGGTCAGGAGAATCGCTTGAATCCAGGAGGTGGAGTTTGCAGTGAGTGGAGATCGCACCATTGCACTCCACCCTGGGCAACAGAGTGAAACTCCGTCTCAAAATAAATAAATAAATAAAAATAATAAATAAATAAATTTCTCAGATGCAGAGGATAAAGACAAAGACCAAAAAAAATGCTCACGAAAAGACAAAGATGCATATTCAAAAACATTCATCAACATTGTTACTTCTGATAGAAAAGAAAATCGAATCAAGCTAAATGTGTAACTAGAGGACCAATTAAATAAATTGTAGGATATTCATACATATAAGGTAGGTTTCCTTTTGGCTGCAAGCAGAAGAATACACACCCACTATCTCCCATTAAAAGAGTACTACCACAGAATCGCTCATAGAAAAAGATGTCTGGGTAGGCAGGTCCAGTTTTGATGCAGCGGTTAAGGATGTCATCTCAGACTAAAGTTCTTTCTGCCTCTCTGTTCTCATCCTCAGCATGTTGGCCTGTCACTTTTAGGCTCGTCAATTTGTGGTCACAGTACAGCTGGAATGGCTTCAAGTACCACATTCTCCTTTGATTGATTCAAAGGCAGGAAGCAGGGTTGCAGGTAGGGCAGTAAAAGCCTTGGTCGTCAGAACATCTTTTTCATCATTCCCTGCAGACTTCTTTTTAGAGTTCATTGATCAGAGCTGGCACATTTGGCCACCTCTTGCTGTAAAGGCTTAGGGAAACGAGTGTCTGCTGTTCTCAGTCTCTGCATTAACAAGGGAGAAAGGGGCTGGGGATGGCCTCTGGGTGGTCAAAAATATAACATGAGTACTCCATTGCTATTCAAAATGATATACATCAATCTTTGACTGCATCTCTGATTATTTCCTTAAGATAGAGTCTTGAATAGGAATTTCTAGGTAAATCATCATGAGCCTTTAAAAAGTCCTGGTTATGTCATGCAGTTGATTTCCAGAAAGCCAACAGAAATAGATATGTGTCAACATGTATATCTCCTGATGCCCGCACCAGTACTGAGTGAAAAACTTTGCTGAATGTTCCTGTTTGTCTGAACTTAAAAGGAGCACATGCATAGAACAAAGAGCCAGCATTTGTTAAATAGCAAAGATAAGCTCATCGAAACTAAGATAAAATAGGCCAGGCACGGTGGCTCACACCTGTAATCCCAGCACTTTGGGAGGCCGAGGTGGGTGGATCACTTGAGGCCAGGAGTTCGAGACCAGCCTGGCCAACACGGTGAAACCCTGTCTCTACTAAAAATACAAAAACTATCAAGGCGTGATGGTGCACATCTGCAGTCCTAGCTACTCATAAGGCTGAGGCAGGAGAAACACTTGAACCCAGGAGGTGGAGGTTGCAGTGAGCCGAGATTTGTGCCACTGCAATCCAGCCTAACCAATAGAGTGAGACTCTGTCTCAAAACAAAAAAAGGAAAAAAAGCCTAAGATAAAGCAAGAATGTTTCCTGTCCTCCCTCATTTCTGTTTAACAGAGATACTAACCATAGAATCATTGGATTCTTAAAAAAATGAGGAACAAATATAGGGAAAAAATAACAATACAGCAGGATTTTTGGATGACATGATCATAATTAGACCATGCAAGTAAAAAAAAAACACCTAAAAATCTATAAGGGAAATAAGGGGGGAGTGGAGAAATAGAAGAAATGAGATAAGCAAAATGTCGATAATTGTTGAAGCTGGATGATGAGTATTTGTGCAAGTTTTAAACTTTTTATAATAAAAGTTGTTTTTCCAATCTTATTGTGTTAAAATATAAATAACATAAAATTTACCATCTTAGCCATTTTCAAGTGTACAATGCAATGGTATTAAATACATTCATAATGCCATATGACCATTACCACCATCCAGCTCCAGGACTCTTTTCACCTTGCAAAACTGAAATGCTGTACCCATTAAACTCCCCATTTCCTCCTCCTTCTGGTCTCTGGCAACCACCATTCTACTTTATGTTTTTATCCATTTGACTATTCCAAGCCTTATATAAGTGGGATCATACAGTATTTGTCTTTTTTAGACTGGCTTCTTTCACTTAGCATAATATCCCAAGGTTCATCACATTGTAGTGTATGTCAGAACTGCCATCTGTATTAGTCCATTTTCACACTGCTGATAAAGACATACCCGAGACTGGACAATTTACAAAAGAAAGAGGCTTATTGGACTTATAGCTCCACATAGCTGGGGAGGCCTCATAATCACAGTGGAAGGCAAGGAGGGGCAAGTCACATCTCACATGGATGGCAGCAGGCAAAAAGAGCTTGTGCAGGGCAACTCTCATTTTTTAAAGCGTCAGATCTCATGAGACCCATTCACTATCATGAGAACAGCAGGGGAAAGACCTGCCCCCATAATTCAATCGTCTGCCGCTGGGCCCTTCCCACAACGCACAGGAATTGTGGGAGCTACAAGATGAGATTTGGGTGGGGACACAGAGCCAAACCATCTCACTATCTGTTTTTTTTGTTTTTGTTTTTGTTTTTTTGAGACGGAGTCTTTCTGTTGCCAGGCTGGAGTGCAGTGGCGCAATCTTGGTTCACTGCAACCTCTGCCTCCTGGGTTCAAGTGATTCTCCTGCCTCAGCCTCCTGAGTAGCTGGGATTACAGGCACAAGCCACCACACCCAGCTAATTTTTGTATTTTTAGTAGAGACGGGGTTTCACCATGTTGGCCAGGATGGTCTCAATCTGTTGACCTCAGGTGATCCACCCACCTCGGCCTCCCAAAGTGCTGGGATTACAGGCGTGAGCCACCACACCCGACCTTTATATATATATACATTTTTTTTTTAATCAACACAAATATTTTAAAATACCATACACTTAAAAGGAAGTTCAATTCATATCTTAGACGTCAGGAATAAAGGAGTGGCACTTTCTGTTGTCCACCAGTTTTCCTGTTTCTAATCTGAATATTCTTTCCTAAAAAGATGGATGTGGGCCAGGTGTGGTGGCTCATGCCTGTAATCCTAGCACTTTGGGATGCCAAGATGGGCAGATCACTTGAGGTCAGGAGTTTGAAGCCAGCCTGGCCACCATGGTGAAACCTTATTTCTACTAAAAGTACAAAAAAAATTAGCCAGGTGTGGTGGTGGGCACCTGTAATCCCAGTTACTTGGGAAGCTGAAGTAGGAGAACTGCTTGAACCTGGGAGGCGGAGGTTGCAGTGAGCTGAGATCACACCAGTGCACTCCAGCCTGGGCAACAGAGAGAGACTCCATCTCAAAAAAAAAAAAAAAAAGAAAGATGGATGTGACAGATGGTTGACATAGTATTAAAGGTGCCTCCTGAGCCATGACTCAGCTATGTTGGTGGCCCTGCTAAATTTGTGGCCAGGGCACCTCCTCCCTTTCCCCCAAACTGGTTTCATCTCCCTCGAAGCTGGTTTCTCTCCCTCAAAGCTACTACTGCAGAATTAGGGGCTTATTTGGTATGGGTTTATTACTTCCTGTGACTTAGAATCTTGGAGAATTCAATACTTTTTAATTTAGCTTCTTTGTTTTATCTAATAAGTTTAGTAGATTAAAATATTCTTCTGGCCAGGTCAGGGTCTAACCACTATAGGGTATCTTCAACTCAATGTACATTTTAACCGAAACACACTCAGCATCTCACCTAAACACGATCAATATGGGCCTCTATTGTATCTTTTTCCAAGGTAATATGATCCTGACAATATTCTCTGGAAAAATTTCACTCATAGACTAACCCATATTTTTGTTTTTCCTCATTCCCACCCTCAAAGGTAATATGAATGCAAATAAAATTTAAAAGAACCTCCCATGGAGAGGAGACATTGCCATTTTCCATGAGGTACAGAAGCCCACGTTTCTGAGTTGGTGGACACAGTGGCACAAGTAGGAAGTTTTAGTTTTGAGGGTTCCTTTCTTCTCCCTCTTCACGTCAATGTACTTTGGTTGTCTAAAATGCGTTGAAAGCCTTATTTTCTGTACTTTATGTCTCTCACAATGTCATCTAAAAACATTAATTGGCATTACAACATTAATCTTGCTTTTACATAATTTTAAAAAAATTAATTATTTTTTTTTCTTTTGAGACAGGGTCTTGCTCTGTTGCCCAGGCTGGAATGCAGTGGCACAATCACAGCTCACTGCAGCCTCGACCTCCGGGGCTCAAGCCATCCTCCCACCTCAGCTTCCCAAGTAACGAGACTACAGGTGTACACCACCATGCCCGTCTAATTTTTTTTTTTTTTTTTTTTGTAGAGATGGGCTTTCACCATGCTGTGTCGGCCATTACCCAACTCCTGGGCTTAAGTGATCCACCTGCCTCAGCCTCCCAAAGTGCTGGGATTACAAGCCTGAGCCACCGCGCCCAGCTGTTAATCGTGACTTAATACATGTGCATCTTCCCCTGTTTCCTGTGTTTGCTTTCATAAGTCCACTGCTCCTGCTGTGAAGATGGGTACATTCATCTGTCATAGCTTAATGACACCACCTTAAAATTTGCAGATGGGTTCATATACATCTTATTATTCACTCACTCATATATTAAAAAATATTTAAGTATCTACTATGTACCAGGCACTGTGCTGGGTCCTGGGGATACAGAGATGAAAAAGATACCAGGAGGCTGGGCGTGGTGGCTCACGCCTGTAATCCCAGTACTTTGGGAGGCCAAGGTGAGTGGATCACTTGAGGTCAGGAGTTCGCGACCAGCCTGGCCAACAGGCTGATGGTGAAACTCCATCTCTACTAAAAATACAAAAACTAGCCGGGCGTAGTGGTGCATGCCTGTAGTCCCAGCTACTTGGGAGGCTGAGGCAGGAGAATCGCTTGAACCTGGGGGAGTGGAGGTTGCAGTGAGCCAAGATCGTGCTTGGGCGACAGAGCAAGACTCTGTCTCAAAAAAAAAAAAAAAAAAAAAGACACCAGAAGCTCACAGACTTGATGGACAGGCACATAAGCCAATAAAATGTGTTCAAAGCAAACTTCTGATAATGGCTTGGTTTCTAAAGAGACTTTTTTTAAAAAACTGGGAAGTCAGGATATTGACTAATGGACACTGGAATTTTGTTCATTTGACAGTTTTATTGTGTGTGTGTGTGTGTGTGTGTGTGTGCATAAAAAATGAATACATTTATATTTTGGCTTATGTCCTATGTCTTAAGAGCATGGCTAGCACTTAATCTTTAATACGGGTAACTGGACAAATGTAAGGTTGTGACCCTTAAACTTGAACCCCATATGCATTCCCCCCTGGCGATCACACCAAGGCTCAGACAAGCAGGGCAGTCTGGTCTGGTCCGTCGACTGTCCTCTTTCTCCTTCTCAACATATAGAACATCCCATTGGTCACAAATGCTGGATAAATGAAGGATTGCAAAAGCTCAAACTTTTTTCTTTTTTGCTTGCATTGATGTTGTAATTAACACATAGGAGCTGAGCTTTTTCCTGTGCTGACTTGTAATTTTGGCATCGTTCAAACTGGAAACGGGTTCTAATGGTATCAGTGTTATTTCCTGGGCAATAAATATCTAAAATAGAGAAGTGAGTCATAGGCCCAATGAAACTTATGAACCAAGATTAGTCACGCGGATAGTGGAGCTGCTTAACATCAATATAACTTTCTCTTCAGGTCGTTTCCCACAAAATTGGGTGGAAAAACCCACTCCTATTGCTCAGTTGGGCAGTTGCAACGATGAGCTAAATCAATTGTACTCTGGCAGTACTGTAGTAATAGCTGTAGTTTAAAAAATCACGGTAGTTAATCCACTTTGTTTCAAACTCTTCTATATGCTTTAAAAGGTATGAATTGGCAGGGCGCGGTGGCTCACGCTTGTAATCCCAGCACTTTGGGAGGCCGAGGTGGGCGGATCATGAGGTCAGGAGATTGAGACCACGGTGAAACCCCGTCTCTAATAAAAATACAAAAAAAAAAAAAATTAGCCGGGCGTGATGGCATGCGCCTGTAGTCCCAGCTACTAGGGAGGCTGAGGCAGGAGAATGGCATGAACACAGGAGGCGGAGCTTGCAGTGAGCCGAGATCTCGCCACTGCCCTCCAGCCTGGGCGACAGAGCGAGACTCCGTCTCAAAAACCAAAAACCAAACCAAACCAACCCCCCCCCCAAAAAAAACCAGAAAACAAAAAGGTATGAATTATTAGGGATATAATATCCAATTAAGAAGAAAGATGTTAAAAAATGACTCAGAACTATGGCAAAAACTATTCTATTTTGGAGGTGTTTTGAAATTAATTTTAATTTATGGGTGTTTTGGAATGAAGCAGTCCTGTCCTCTCAAAAAGCAAACAAACAAACAAAAGGGCATTGTGATTTTGATTGCTTTAGAATGTCAGTAGGACTAGTTAGTCAAAGTCTATTTCTAAAACATACCTCCTTTTCGTCATTGCAAAGGAGAAGTACACTTTACTTTCAAGGCTGACTTTGGGCATTGAGAACACAGAAAGATGATTTCCTACATTCTTAGCTAATTAATTTTAAGTGTAGCTGGAAGCCTGGTGAGGCAGAACTTAAAGAAGATGCTACTTCTTGACTTTTAAGCAGAGGCAGCAAATCACTTACAGTAAAAATTACTCAAGGAAATCACTCAATTGGCTTTTTTTGCTATGGAATTGTGACTTTTTTCCTATAATGCCCTAGGGAAAGAATATAACTGTACCTCCCTTCCTTCCAATTTCTTCAATGTCCATAGCTTTAAAGAAGAGGTCAAAATTTTGTATAAAGGACTCAAGAACCTCTCGAAAGGACAAGCTCTAAGAGTCCAATCTCTTACCACTCTCAGCGTCAAGGTTAGGGCACCTTCATTGGAAGGAAACTGCACGGTCCAGTTCTAGACTTGGGGGCAGATAAGGCCAGGAGTTCCAGTTTCCTGCCATAAAATTACCACAATGGCTGGAGATGAAACCAGCTTGACGGCCCCTGCACTGGCGAAGGCAGCAGGAGAAGGGCACAGCTTTTGGCATGTGAAATGGCTGGTGCTGGAAGCTGGCCTTACCCAGCTGTCTTGGGGCAGACTTACCTCCTGAGAAAGTAACTATGTCCACAGAGCTGTTGTCTTGAGAACCCCTGACTGAACTAACGGTGAGACATGAGCTTGTTTTTTTTTCAAGGAACTCTTTAGTCTAGACTGTTGCAGCAAGTGGAAAGCCCCTTAGACCTTCTTGGGACATCTGTGACCCTAGCTCCTACAGTGACCCTTCCAGGAACAACCAGTCTGGTGGTGATGGGGTCATCTTTTGGCCTCAAATGCCAAACAAGCTTGAGCCTCTCTTTCCCCGTCTTCTGACACTTAGACTCACAAAGGAGCCTGCAAGCCTAAGGGGGATGAAACTGCATGCCTTTGGAGATGAAACTGGACTTGTGTGTGGGCGCTGAGCATTAAAGGTTGGGAGGTGAGGGTGTGTGCAGTTGGATATTATAATAACCTCAGTAATGATTCACACATGTAAGGCAAAAATAAGAAGCTCAATTCTTCCTGTTAAAAATAAAGGATGCCAGGCATGGTGGCTCACGCCTGTAATCCCAGCACTTTGGGAAGCCGAGGGGGATGGATCACAAAGTCAAGGAGTTCAAGACCAGCCTGGCCAAGATGGTGAAACCCTGTCTCTACTAAAAATACAAAAAAAAAAAAAAAAATTAGCTGGATGTGGTGGCAGGCGCCTGTACTTCCAGCTACTCGGGAGGCTGAGGCAGAGAATTGCTTAAACCTGGGCGGAAGAGGTTGTAGTGAGCCCAGATGGCGCCACTGCACTCCAACCTGGGCGACAAAATGAGACCCCATCTCAAAAAAAATAAAAATAAAAAATAAATAAATAGATAAATAAAATAAAATAAAATAAAATAAGGGATGAGACCTGCCCTGGTCCCTTTTCTTAGAGTATTTACTTTAGAAAACGTGTAAGTTCTCTTCAGAATACATAAAATCCTTGTAAAATTTAAATACGAATTTTGCTAGCTTTACAACCCAGGAATGTCTTTCTCAAGGACCCAGGAGCCATCTCTTCTGAATGTAAACTTCCAGGGAAAATCATTTCCCTGTGTCGCAGTTTTTGTGAGAGTGTAGGAGCCTAGCTTCGGCAGGTGCCTGGCACCCAGTGGCAAAACTCCCTGCTGCCAAGAAGATAGCAGAAGTTTCTTTTTCCTTTGTATTAAACCAAGTGACTAACACAGGTGGTCACCCCTGTTACCAGGTGAATTTAGGATGAACGATGTGTTATGAATGGCGCTGTCAAGTCCTCTTCCTTGGACTGATGATTGTTTATCTTGAGAACACGTGTGTAATGGATTGCGTCTGTCTGGCTGTATGAAAGGGTGAGATTTATTTCTGCCTTTGCAATCTTTTAGTGAATTGCTTGGGATGTGCATCACTTTCTGGTTTAATGCTTATTCAATAATAAGTGTGTTTTCTTTCTCTTCCTTTGTGGAGAGATTTACTGGGTTGAGAGAAAAGTTTATTTTTAAGTATATTTCCCCAATTACACTAATGCCACAACTCAACAATATGTGAAAAAAGGAAAATTTATATTGACTTGAATCCTTCAGAAGACCTGACTTTTAACAAATTTATTTTGTCAGACTTTACAAGAAAATGGCCTTTTTTTCCTTTTGTCTCTTCCTCTCCCCCTCATTTTATCCAATTTTCCTATATTGCCTGTCTCTCTTTTATCCTATTAAAAGACCACTCTTAAAATAAGATAAAGTCACGATTCTCAAACAGATGTAAAAATGAACACGTTAAAGATTTTATTCTATTCACTTAATCTATGAGAGAATCAGGAAGCTGTTGCAACCAGTTCAGAAGATAATCTGAAGAACAGACACATTTATAGAGAAGAAATATTGAAATAAATGGGATGGAGGCAAAACTGGTTTTCAGAAGGAAGGAGGGAAGTCAATGGCTCTTCCACTACACAGGAGAGAACTGCATGTCTATAGACAAGAATTATTTTGGATTGTTATCAGTTCTATACAACTTAAAGAATAGTAAAATAGCTTCAGCAGAATTGGAGTCAGATAATTAGAGGGGCCTCCTCAAGACCATGCATAATATAATTTTCCACTAAAGCATAAAAGTTCTCCTACAATCTTCTTTCTTTCTTTTTAGAGACAGAGTCTTACTCTGTTGCCCGGGCTGGAGTGTGGGGGCACGATCATAGCTCATTGCAGCCTCGAACTCCTGGGCTCAGGTGATCCTCCTGCCTTAGTCTCTTGAGAAGCTGGGATGACAGGTGTACACCACCGTGCCCAGCTAAGTATTCTTCTTACTGTAAAAAAAGATTAATAACATATGTGGGCTGGGCATGGTGGCTCAAGCCTGTAATCATAGCACTTTGGGAGGCTGAGGCGGGTGGATCACGAGGTCAAGAGATCCAGACCAGCCTGGCCAATATGGTGAAAAACCCTGTCTCTACTAAAAATACAAAAATTAGCTGGGTGTGGTGGCGGGCGCCTGTAGTCCCAGCTACTCAGGAGGCTGAGGCAGGAGAATCGCTTAAACCCGGGAGGCGTGTAAAGACACTTTGAGAAGTCGACAATAGGTAGTAATTATTTTCTTTTTCTCTACCTAAACAAGTTTCTTACCTTAAGTGTGACTTAAAATTATCTATTCTAGGAAGAATTCACTGATTAACTCAAGCTGGCTTAGCTCCTCTGTTTACTATCATTATTAATAAACATTTTTTGTCTTTAGTGTGCTGTTGCTGTGTCTGACAGGTAATGTTTGCATAAATAATTATGTCTGTAAAGCCATGAGTAATTGCAATAATTATTAGGATTACTGGTATAGGTAAAAATAATTAAGAAATTTCTTTTCTTTTTAAAATTATTTTCTTTTTAAAATTTTTTATTTCCTCTATCTGAAGTCTACCCTGCAAGCAACTGCTTTTCTTCAACTGCAGGATGTCAGAAAACCAGTGTGACAAGTTAAAAAAAAACAAAACAACCAATTAAAAAACTAATTGACAAATAATTATATATTTTCAAGGTATACAATGTGATAATTTGATATACATTGTTTGATGATTACTACAATCAAATTAATTAACACATCCGTCACCACACCATAGTTACCATTTGTGTGTGTGTCAGGGTAGAGGGCGGTAAGGACACTTAAAATCTGTTCTCTCATCAAATTTCAAGTAAACAGGACAATATTATTAACTGTAGTTACTTTGTTTACATTAGATCCCCTGAACTTATATAGAAACCCCTAAAGATTCCACCAAAAAACAGAACTGAGAAATGAGTTCAGTAAAGTTGCAAGATATAACAGGTTCATTTAGTAACTTGATGGATGATTTTGGCATATTATAGACCTGGTCTATAGTATCTTTTTTGTTTGTTTTTAACATTTAAAAAATACATATATTTTTCTCTGTCTTATAGATACTCAAGTTCCTTAAAAGCAGGTATTACGTCTGGGTCATTTTTGTATGCCCAGCACCTGGCACAATGCCAATGCCTGGCACACAGTAGGTGCTTAATAATACCAACCAAATGACCAACTCTCTGACTTTAAATTTCTATTTTTCTTTTGAGACAGGGTTTCACTCTGTTTCCCAGCCTGGAGTGCAGTGGCGCGATCATAGCTGACTGCAGCCTTGATCTCCCAGGTTCAAGTAATCCTCCCGCCTCAGCCTCCTGAGTAGCTAAAGGCAGGCGCCACCATGCCCAGCTAATTTTTTTAATTTAAATTTTTAGTGGAGATGAGATCTTGCTATGTTGCCCAGGTGATCTCCAACTCCTAAACTCAAGGGATCCTCCCTTGGCCTTCCAAAGTGCTGGGATTACAGGCGTGAGTCACTGCACCTGGCCTCTGATTCTAAAAGTCTTGAGGGCAGGGATCCTGCTTGCTGTCTCCTTGGCATGCCAATGGATACTGGCTTTATGCTTCTGCTAAGGTCTCAATTAGTCTCCTTATTTTGAAATTATCTTTCTTGTCTCCTTGGGGCCCACAGATACCCAATAGTATAGTGGTTTATTGGAAAATTATATGTCGTGGTGGAAAGACTAAGGGGCTGGGAGCTCTGGCACTACCAGAGACTAGCTGGGTGATCTTCGGGCAAAGCATTTCACTTCCTGAACCTCTGTTTATTTTTTCCTCTGCACCTCAGTATACCCTTCTGTATAACAAGGATAATAGCCTCTTTTTTTTTTAATTGGAGCATTGTGATTATAAACAAGACCTATTCTGTATGTTGAATTCTATAGAAGCCATGAAAGGACTTAGAAAACTATGAGCTGCAATTTAATTTTTGATCTCAACTAATTTTTAAAGCAGCAAGCATGTGTGTGGGTTGTGTATGTTATGAATATGCATCCAATAGATTTATCTTTTAGTTGCTTTAGAGACTGAAGGTGCATTTCCTTCGTACTCATTGTTTTAAATGTGAGATTTGATACTACCAGGCCTGTCTGGACACTTTTTTTTTTTTTTTCGAGACAGTTTTATTCTGCCTCCCAGGCTGGAGTGCAGTGGTGTGATCTCAGCTCACTGTAACCTCCACCTCCCAGGTTCAAGTGATTCTCGTGCCTCAACCTCCCGAGTAGCTGGGACTACAGGCATGCGCCACCAAGCCCAGCTAATTTTTGTATTTTTAGTAGAGATGGGGTTTCACCATGTTGGCCAGGCTGGTCTCGAACTCCTGACCTCGAATTCTGCCTGCCTCGGCCTCCCAAAGTGCTGGGATTAGAGGTGTGAGCTGCCGTGCCCAACGGAGACCTTCTTAAAGATGTCTGTCCCTATGTGATTCTGAATATGGAAAACTCCATTGCCAATGAGGGTCATGGTTTTGTAGAGAAAGCAGATGGTAAATGGACTCTACTCTTCAGGAATTCAGCTTGCTTGGCAAGTAAGGTTGGATAGGCCAGGTGATGTCAGACCTAAACCAGGAGTCATCCTGCATTCCTCCCTACCCTTACCCTCACATCCAATCTATTGGCGATTCCTGCTGACTCTCCAAAAAGTATCGGAATCAGAGAGCTCTCTCCTCGTGCACTGCTACATCTGGTCCGGTGTTGTTATCCCTCATCTAGGCTAGCACACTGCCTCCTAACTGGTCTCTCTGCTTCCACCTTTGCCCAACTCAAATCCATTCTCTTCCCAGTGGCCAGAATAATCTTTCAGAAACATAAATCAGATTGCATAATTCCCCCAACTTAAAGCCCTGTGTTGGCATTTAGATAAAATCCATACCCCATTCTTGAGTCCACAAAGACTCTGACCAAACCACAACTGCCTCTCCCACCTCATTTATGGCCACTCTCCCTTCTGCCAAATCTCCCCTGGCCACAGGAGCCATTTTCTCTGCTTCCTACACTCCAAGCTTGCTCCAGCCTCAGGACCTTTGCACCAGCTATTCTCTGTGCCGAGAATGCTCATCCTCATAATCTTGGCATGGGAGATCTTGTCTTGGCTTTCACATCTTAGTTTAACCATCACCTCTTCATAGAGGTTCTTTTTTGTTTTTGTTTTGTTTTGTTTTTGTTTTTGAGATGGAGTCTCACTCTGTCACCCAGGTTGGAGTGCAGTGGTGCGAACTCGGCTCACTGCAATGTCTGCTTCCTGGGTTCAAGCAATTCTTCTGCCTCAGCCTCCTGAGTAGTTGGGATTACAGGTGCCTGCCACTACGCCTGGCTAATTTTTGTATTTTTAGTAGAGACAGGTTTCACTGTGTTGGCCAGGCGGGTCTCGAACTCCTGACCACGTGATCCACCCGCCTCGGCCTCCCAAAGTGCTGGGATTACAGGCATAAGCCACCACGCGCAGCCTTCACTGAGGTTCTTAATTTTTCAGATAGCATTTTGTGTTATCTGATTTTTGGATCTTTAAAACATTCTGTCTACATGTCATTTTCCCCCTACTAGAATGTAAGTTCCTTGGGAACAGGGATCTTTCTCTGTTATTTTCTGAATACTTAGTGCCTTGAAAAGAGCTTGGCTTATAGTAGGTGCTCAATAAATATTTGTCAGATGCATGAAAGGCATTTTAATACTTCTTGTTAAATTGGGGTCGGGTGTGATGGCTCATGCCTATAATCCCAGTGCTTTGGGAGGCCAAGGTGGGTGGATCACTTTGAGCTCAGGAGTTTGAGACCAGCCTGGCAAACATGGCAAAACCCCATCTCTACTAAAAATACAAAAAATTAGAGGGGTTTGGTGGCATGTGCCTGTAGTCCCAGCTACCCCAGAGGCTGAGGCAGGAGAATCGCTTGAACCCCAGAGGTGGAGGTTGCAGTGAGCCCAGACTGTACCACTGCACTCTAACCTGGGCCACACCACGAGACACTCGGTCTAAAAAAAAAAAAAGAAAAAAAAATTAGTTTGTCTTCTTCTACCTAAGGGTGAAAATAACATGTGAGCTTCAAGATTCAATGCATGGCTTCCAACCCTGATGGGCTAGCTGGAGAGTGGTGGAGTGAGAAGACAAGGTGGCAGACCCAAGGTGGATTGTCAGATGGCAGAGATGGGAAGACACCAGGAAACCAGGCTCATATTTTCATGGAACCACTGGCTGCTGAAGCCTGTGACTTTGGCAGGCAGCCCAGGGTGAATCACTACTTAGATGAATGAGGAGATTCTGCTTTGTCCCTGACACTTCAAATTGTTATTCCTTCCTTAAGCAATTTATGGGCACTCCCATAGACTCTCTAGCCTTTGGAGCCTTTGCATTAGGAGCTTGATTTATGGATATCTGTATAGTTACAGGAAATAATGTCGTATAAAAGGCATTTAATATGGAGGGGCTTTATGACCCCTTGCTTGGGTGTAACCATCCCTGTCAGGGTGCCAGGAGAGAAGGGTGGAGCCTTTTTGGATGCTGGGAAGTGAGGGTGTGAGGTGTTATCCAGGTGGGAAAGGCATGCTGAGAGGGAGGGCCCCTGTGTGGTTCTGAACACTGTGCTCCATCCACACAGCCCTCCTCGGGGGCTGGGTGCAGCAGCTGTTGGAGTTCTTTCTTCACAGTAAATATTTAACCACGTAAGATGCCCAGGCTACCAGCCACTGCTAAGTGACAGGCAAAATCCTAAGCCACAGATGTTGCCCTCTGGCTCTCAGCTCAGAGAGCTGAGGCTGTTGACTGGAGTCCTCAGAACTTCAGAGAGCTTGGAAGTTTGTGCATTTCATCAACTGACTTGCTTTGTCTGCCAGAAAGCATTAAGCCTCAGAATTTATACCTTCCCTTCTTCATTCATTTGTGTATATTCATACATTGAGCACCTGCTCTGGTCCGGGTTCTGCGCTTAGGTGATTGGGATACATCAGTGAATAAAACAGACAAAGGTCTCTGCCTCTGGGACCCAACGTTCTACCAAGGAAGAGGGACAATAAACAATGAGCATACTATATATATTAATTATATGTAAACATTATATATTATAAGGTGATGGGCCTATAGATGAAAAATAATGTGGTGTAAAGGGAACTAGAATGTGTGGAGGTGGGACGGGGCAGGTTATGGTATTAAATAGCCAGGGTAAGCTTCACTGAACAAGTGAGATTTCATCAGCATCCTGAAGGAGATGAGGAATTTGTCAAATGGACCTCTGAGGGGAGAGAATTACAGGCAGAGAAAATAACTAGGCCCCAAGCTGGAAGTACGCTTAGAGTGTCAGAGCAACAGCAAGACCGGTGTGGCTGAAGCAGGCTGAATGAAGACTAGAGAAGTAGGAGACAAAATTGGAGTGGGAACTGGGAACTGGGGACCAGGCAGTCAATGGGGACCAGAGGTTGCTGGGCCTTGTAAGCCGTTATGAGGATGTTGGCACTTACTCCAATGGAAAGAGGAACTTTTGCAGAACTTTGAGCGGAGATGTCTCATGATTTGACTTCTGTTTTTAAAAGGACCACTGCAGCTGCTCTATTAAGAACAGATTGTAGGGAAGCCAAGGCAGGGCCCAAGGACTTGGGAGGAGGGTATAGGGGTGAGGTTGCTGCAGTAACTGATCACATGGCTCAGATGAGGCTGATAGTGGCAAGGACGCTGAGACGCAATTGAACAATCAGTATATTTTAAAGGTAGAGCTAACCTGATTTCCTGATGGATTAGATGTGGGGTTGAGAGAAAAAGAGGACTCAAAAATTACTTAAGAAGTTTTTGGCTTGAACAACTAGAAGGATAGAGTCTCCATCAACTGAGATGGGAATAGCTATGAGCGGAGCAGGGTTTGTGGGGGGAACTCAACAATAAGAAGGACTAAACTATAAATACATACAACGATTTGAATGAATCACAAAAGCATTTTGTTGAATGGAAAAAGGCAGTCCAAAAATGTTTCATAGTGTTTGATTCCATTTGTAAAACATTCTGGAATAGGGAAAACTATATGGATGATAAACAAACCAGCTTTTGCCAGGGGTTAGCATTGAGGGGTGGGTTTGGCTACAAAGGGGCAGGATGAGGGGATTTGGGTGATTAACTGGCCTGTATCTTAATTATGTTAGTAGGAACATGAATCTATATCTGTTAAAATTCATGTACTGTACACAAAAGCAAAGTTTATAGTATGTCAATTTAAAAATTAACAAATATTTAAAAATTGAGGCTGGGTGTGATGGCTCATGCCTGTAATTCTAGCACTTTGGGAGGCCGAGGCTGGTGGATTGCTTGAGCTCAGGAGTTTGAGACTAGCCAGGACAACATGGTGGAACCCTGTCTCTACAAAAAACACAAAAATTAGCCAGGTATGGTGGCGCACACCTGTGGTCCCAGCTACTTGGGAGGCTGAGGTGGGAAGATCACTTGAGCCTGGGAGGTTGAGGCTGCAGTGAGCCGAGACTGTGCCACTGCATTGCAGCCTGGGTGACAAAGGGTCTCACTCTGTCACAGACAAGACAAGAAAAATTAAAAATATTATGTTGCTGTTTCAGGAAAGTCATATTTTTCTGTGCACGATAATATTTGTAGTATTTGTCAGCTTTTAAAAATTATAATTTGATTTATTTTGTTATTCTACATACACTTTTTTTTTTTTTGTAAGACAGAGTCTTGCTCTTGTTGCCTAGGCTGGAGTGCAATGGCGCGATTTTGGCACACTGCAACCTCTGCCTCCTGGGCTCAAGTAATTCTCCTGCCTCAGCCTCCCAAGTAGCTGGGATTACAGGCACCTACCACCACGCCCAGCTAATTTTTGTATTTTTAGTACAGATGGGGTTTCACCATGTTGGCCAGGCAGGTCTTGAACTCCTGACCTCAGGTGATCCACCCGCCTCTGCCTCCCAAAGTACTGGGATTACAGGCGTAAGCCACTGTGCCCGGCCATTCTACATACACATTTTTACACCTGATTTTTTGTTCATATTACTGTACTGTTTTTCTTAAAATACAACAGCTGATAGCCACCTCTCTGCTGGATAGGCCTGCAGTCCCACAAACCCCAGATCTTCCCCTGGAACAGACATCAGATGGGGGACCCTGTGCAGTCAGAGGTTTTTCCTGGGCCCTCATTTCTGTTTGCTGGGAAAGCCTGGCCAACGTGGTGAAAACCCATCTCTACTAAAAATACAAAAAATTAGCTGGGCATGGTGGCACGTGCCTGTAATCCCAGCTACGCAGGAGGCTGAGGCAGGAGAATTGCTTGAACCTGGGAGGCAGTGGTTGCAGGAAGCCAAGGTCATGCCACTGCGTTCCAGCCTGGGTGACAGAGCAAGACTTTTTTTTTTTTTTTTAATCTAATTCAAATGGAATAAACAGATTTTATTGGCTCGGTAATAAAAGCTCAGAGGTGGGAGTGCTGTGATTAGACTCAGTTCATTGTTGTTCTCACATGGGTGTTGGCTTTAACCTCAGGCTGGCTTCCCTCCTAACAGCAAGGTGGCTGAGTCAGCTCCAGCCTCACACCTGCCTGTTCAGAAAGAGAATGTGTCTTCTCCCAACCACGCAGAAATACTTTTCAGTTTGGACCAACCTCAGTCACATGCTCAGCCCTAAAAGAACCACTGTAATGAGGACATGCTATCAAGGCAAGAAGGAGGGGTTAAGCCTGAGTCAAGCAGGAGCCACCAGTGGAACTGGTAGTGATGCAGGTGAACCCCAAATTGGGGCTCAGCCTGGGAAGGTTCTTGTGTGCAGGAAAGAATTCAAGAGCCAGCCAACAGATTAAAATGAAAGCAAAGCAAATTTCTTAGAGCAACAGAGTACAGGAAAATGGCAGCTCCATAGACAGAGCAGGGCTATTCCACAGGCAGAGTAGCACTTGTGGATTGCTGGCTAGCTATATTTGTGTGTGTGTGTGTGTGTGTGTGTGTGTGTGTGTGTGTGTATGTTTTGAGGTAGAGTCTTGCTCTGTCACCCAGGCTGGAGTGCAGTGGCACAATCTTGGCTCACTGCAGCCTCCACCGCCCAGGTTCAAGTGATCCTCCTGCCTCAGCCTCCCAAGTACTAAGATTACAGGCACCCACCACCACACCTGGCTAATTTTTGTATTTTTTGTGGAGATGTGGTTTCACCATATTGGCCAGACTGGTCTCGAACTCCTGATCTCAGGTGATCCACCTGCCTCGGCCTCCCAAAGTGCTGGGATTACAGGTGTGAGCCACCGCACCTGGCCTGCTAGCTAGCTATATTATTTATAGCTACTCCTTAATTATATGCTAAATAAGAGGTGGGTTATTCACATATTTTTTAGAAAAGGTGTGAGGATTCCTGGGATAGAGGGTTTCTCCCCTTCTAAAGCATATAAGGTAACTTCTGGGCATTGCCATAGTGTTTGTAAACTGTCATGGCATTGGTGGGAGTGTCTTTTCATATGCTAATACATTATAATTAGCATATAATGAGCAGTGAGGGTAATTAGAGGTCACTTTTGTCACCATCTTGGTTTTAGCTGGGTTCTTTACCACATCCTGTTCTGACCAGACTGTTTTGTTCAGCGGGGTCATGACTGGTGCCTGGGAAGCAAGTCCTGCTGATCTCCTGCCTCAGAAGGGAGGGGTGGTGGTGGATGCCAATCCCACCCCAATCACCTGCCTGTCATTATCACGGAGGTGGTGAAATGGATCCTGGGTCAGCAGCTGTGGAAATGGAGACAGCTATGCTCCTAAAAGGGCTTTGTGGACAATAGTGAGGCTCTGCTCAGTAGCCAGACATCTCAGCAGATTCAGAGATTGTCAGTATTGACCAAGGATCAGATCCCTACTCACCCTGTCCCTGGCACCTTGGTACTATTTACCCTGTGGAACTTACATACAACTATGTAGAAAGAGGGGCACCCAGCGATTACTCAGATTGAGTTTCCACTACCCTCAGCATAATGAGAACTTGGAGAAGAAATTAAAATATAGAAAATAAAGTTGCATTTCTTACACATCAGTTTGTGGACTTTGACTCATACCTGCTATATCAATTAGGGCTCTGACCTACAGAGAGAACTTCCACAAATCCAAGTTCCCGTGCTCGAAGGAAACAGTCCTTCCTCACATGTGTCTTCAGAAATTCTTCTTGTCCTTCATGGGTTAGCTTAAGTGACACTTTTTCTGTGAAGTCTTTCCCAACCAGCCACCCAGAAGTCCTCCTCTCCCTTTGTGCTTGCTCTTATCCCTCCTGTTGCAGGGTCCCGGTGGAAGGCCCAAGGCTCTGCCCCAATGTGTGCCTCCAGTCTTGAAAGGCATTGTGTTAGGAGAAATATGATATTTGAGAGCTTTCTGGACATATCTCCAACCATCTTTTTTTTTTTTTTTTTAATTAAAGGCTTTAAAAAAGTGAGTTAATGATTCTGAAAATGTCTTGTAGTTCATACTGCAGTCTAAGAACCAAAAAGAGAAAGTGCTTTCTTTGTGTATCAGTTGAGGGATTCTGTGGGGGAAGGTGGAATGTCACAGCATCTTGACACAAATTTGCCTATGCCTTTGATTTTTGTTGTTGTTGTTGTTTTTTATTTTTTGAGACCAGAGTCTTGCTCTGTCACCCAGGCTGGAGTGCAGTGGCACGATCTTAGCTCACTGCAAATTCTGCCTCCCAGGTTCAAGCGATTCATGTGCCTCAGCCTCTCGAGTAGCTGGGATTACAGGCACGCACCACCACACCTGACTAATTTTTGTATTTTAGGAGAGATGGGGTTTCACCATGCTGGCCAGGCTGGTCTTGAACTCCTGACCTCAGGTGATCCATCCACCTCAGCCTCCCAAAGGGCTGGGATTACACCTTTGATTGTTTTTTACTTCCTAGTTCCCTGAACTGAGCTCTGTGAGATACATTGAATTTAAGTCCTAGACAAAAGACACGGTCCACTCCTAAGGACCCATCCATGAACGTTTGCTATCACCATCAGAAGAAAAAATCAAGGCTAAATTTTGAGCAGGACTGCAGATGTGAGTAAAAAATTTGTTCAGTTATATGGGTTTTGTGAATCTGGAAACGATCATAGATTTAGCAAAATTCCAAGCTGTGAAGTGCTATTTTCTATGGATTAGGTAAAATTGGATTTGTGTGTGTGTGTGTGTGTGTGTGTGTGCAACAAAATCAAAAGTGTAAAATTTGGAAAACAAACATGCAAAACAAAGCAGGCTTTTATGTCCTGACATTTTCTTTCAGTTATAAAGCCCATGTGTTGAAAGATAGGGCAAAAGCAACATACGGCTACGAGCCAGAAAGACAGGAGGCAATGATGCTTTTATTCCTTTAGGGTGGGAAATGAGTTTACACAGTGCAGGAAGAGAAATGACATAAAACAGGGTGGGATTAGTTCTTGTAGGGAGGAAAGGCCTCTTTTCTCTCCTGCACGTGATGTGTAGTGTGTGAGGTCTGGTGGGGGTGAGTGGTGGGTGTATGGAGAAGTGTAGGAAGGGAAATAATACTTCTTTTTTTTTTTTTTTTTTTTTTTGAGACGGAGTCTCGCTCTGTCGCCCAGGCCGGACTGCGGACCGCAGTGGCGCAATCTCGGCTCACTGCAAGCTCCGCTTCCCGGGTTCACGCCATTCTCCTGCCTCAGCCTCCCGAGTAGCTGGGACTACAGGCGCCCGCCACCGCGCCCGGCTAATTTTTTGTATTTTTAGTAGAGACGGGGTTTCACCTTGTTAGCCAGGATGGTCTCGATCTCCTGACCTCATGATCCACCCGCCTCGGCCTCCCAAAGTGCTGGGATTACAGGCGTGAGCCACCGCGCCCGGCCGGGAAATAATACTTCTTAGCTATGGTGTTCCAGTACCAGATACCACTGGGAGCTTTATCTCATTTAATCCGTACAACCATCTTATGAGGTAGGTATTTCTTATCATTCCCATTTACATGTAAGAAAACCAAGCCTCAGAGAGATTGTGTCCAAAGTACACTTTGTACTTGGTTTTGGGACAAGCCTTGGGTTATGGAACAAGATATAAAACAAGGTTGTGTGTCTGCAAAACCCATTCTCCTCATTTCATCATTTCACACTGCATCTTTAAATGTCCACATCATATTATAAGAAGTCAACATATAAAGAAGCGAGACCAAAGAAGCTGAGAAAATGAATGGGGTTGGGTGCAGTGGCTCACACCTATAATCCCAGCACTTTGGGAGGCCGAGGTGGGAGGATTACTTGAGCCCAGGAGTTTAAAACCAGCCTGGGCAACATAGTGGAACATTGTCTCTACAAAAAATAAAAAAGTCAGCAGGGCATTACCTTGCACACCTGTAGTCCCAGCTACTCGAGAGACTGAGGTGGGAGAATCCCTTAAGTCCACAGGTTTGAGGCTACAGTGAACCATGATCATGCCACCGCAGTCCAGTCTGAGTGACAAGAGTGAGACCCTGTCTCAAAAATAGAAAAGAAAAGAAAGAAAGAGAGAGAGAGAGAGAGAAAGAAAGAGTGAGAAAAAGAAAGAAAGAAAGAAAGAAAGAAAGAAAAAGAAAGAAAAGGGCATGACTCAATCCTTTAGTTTCCTTCTTTAAAAAATTTTTTAATGTAATTTTTTTTATTTTAGAGACAGGGTCTTGCTATGTCACCCAGGGTACAGCACAGTGGCACAAGCATGGCTCACTGCAGTTCGACCTCCTGGGCTCAAGTGATCCTCCCACCCCAGCCTCCTGAGTAGCTGGGACTATATGACGTGTGCCACCATATTCAGCTTCAGATTTAATTTTCTAAGACCCAAATTGGCAAAGACTGATGTCAGATTCTAGCCAATAAAAAAAAAGTGATCAAACTAAGTAATTAAGAGGGAAAGGACATAAAACAGTCTGTTTATCTGATGCTTGTTCTGTATTTTTTTTTACAGAAGTACTCTCCCTGTCTATTAGGATCTTAAGATTGGCTCTAACCCCCATCTGAGTAAAGTTCAGTGTTGTTCTCAAAGTTTCTTCAGATTCTCGAGACTCTGGGAAAACTTTGGTTCTATGGCTTGCTGCCTCCAACAAGGATCATCTTGATATTCAAAGCATGCTCCTCTTTAATTCACACTAATTCAGACTTGAAATTCATCTATTCTCCCTAATTTCCACAAAAAATCAGCCACACATAGTGTTACATATTTAGCAGACTTTATTAAAGGTTTATGGAGATGGGGGTCATCACATTAGAGTAATGCAAATAGTTCTAAATTGTGTACTGATTTTCATCAATTCCAAGACAGTGACTTTTCACATCTTATTATCTCTGAAATAAGAATATGCCTTGGCCGGGCGCGGTGGCTCACGCCTGTAATCCCAGCACTTTGGGAGGCCGAGGCGGGTGGATCATGAGGTCAGGAAATCGAGACCATCCTGGCTAACAAGGTGAAACCCCGTCTCTACTAAAAATACAAAAAAAATTAGCCGGGCGCGGTGGCGGGCGCCTGTAGTCCCAGCTACTCGGGAGGCTGAGGCAGGAGAATGGCGTGAACCCGGGAAGCGGAGCTTGCAGTGAGCCGAGATTGCGCCACTGCAGTCCGCAGTCCCGCCTGGGCGACAGAGCGAGACTCCGTCTCAAAAAAAAAAAAAAAAAAAAAAAAGAATATGCCTTACAGTTGAAGGCATGTCGTAGTTTAGTTGGCAGTGTCTTTTCTTTTTTCATGGTACATAAAATAATGGTGCATCTTACAATCAATGGCATCTTAGATTTGATGAAAAAGGGTACTTGGAAGTAAGTGTAGTGGATGGTTCCATGCCAGCTCATACTAATAATATTGCCTCAAATGTGCAGTGAGTTTGTTCATTTTCTTTCTTTCCTTCTTTCTTTCTTTCTTTCTTTCTTTCTTTCTTTCTTTCTTTCTTTCTTTCTTTCTTTCTCTTTCTTTCTTTCTTTTTTCTTTCTTTCTTTTCTTTCTTTCCTCTTTCTTTCTTTTTTCTTTCTTTCCTTCCTTTCTTTCTTTCTCTCTTTCTCTTCCTTTCTCTTTCTTTCTTTTCTTTCTTTCCTTTCTTTCTTTCTTTCTCTCTTTCTTTCTTTCTTTCTTTCTTTCTTTCTTTCTTTCTTTCTCTCTCTTTCTCTCTCTCTCTCTTTCTTTCTTTCTTCTTCTTTTTTTTTTTATTGACAGTGTCTTGTTTCGTTGCCCAGGCTGGAGTGCAGTGGCATGACCTCGGCTCACTGCAGCCTCCACATCCCAAACTCAAACAATTCTCCTGCCTCAGCCTCTCGGGTAGCTGGGCTTACAGGCATGCACCACATTTTGTGCCAGCTAATTTTTGTATTTTTAGTAGAGACAGTGTTTCACCATGTTGGCCAGGCTGATCTCAAACTCCTGACCTTGTTCGTGATCCACCTGCCTTGGCCTCCCAAAGTGCTAAGATTGCAGGCGTGGGCCACCATGCCTGGCCTGAGTCTGTTCACTTTCCACTGAAGGTAAATCTGCCTGGGTGAGCACAGCTTGGAAGTGTGGGGGTTAACACACCCACAGGCAACCTTTAATGACTGGGTGTCAGGAACTAGTAGGTAAATACCATGCCGTATCTCTCTTCCTGAATTTAGGTGGGCCATTGGGAAGCATTCTGCAGGCTCCTCAGGAGGGGCTGGACAAATCAGGTGCACAGGGACAACCTTGATGCCCCACCTTCTACTGATGTTTGCACCGTCGCTCTCTTACTCTCCACCTTTTCTCACTCCTGCTCGCTGGGATCGCCTCTCAAATAAATTACGTACACACCTGCACACAAGTCCTTGTTTCAGGCTCTGGTTTTTTAAATTTTTTTTTTATTTTTAATATTTAAGTTAGGACTTTCTTTGTGGCCTCCCTCTCAGAGCACCCCCTTCTTGCTTAGGCAGAACCGTTCAGCTCTTTCCGTCCTTGACACCCAGTCTGAGCTCAGCTTTCCCCTTTGCCCGTCCAAAATTGCCTCCATTTGCCTGTTCATATTTCAACTGAAGCTTTGCAGGGATGGTTGTAAAGGTATACTAGATTCTGTCTGGGGGAAGGGATAGAGAGTGTTTTTATTTTTCAACCTACATTCCTATGGAAAGAAAAATTATAAAGTTATATGCCAAAATGTCAAAAATGCTTATCTGAAGATGGAAGGGTGGATGGTTTACATTTTCTTCTTTCTGTTTCTTTGTATTTCCTAAAATTTCTTAACAGATATGTTTTATTTTTATGGAAAGAAAAAACAATAAAAGCTAATATAAATATTTAATTGGCTTTTTTGTCTCTTTTAAAACATACTTTTATTGAAGTATAATTTGTATACCACAAATTCACCCATCTTATGTAGACAATAATTTTTAGTAAATTCACCAAGTTGTACAACCATCACCATATGTAGTGGGTGTTTTTTTTTTTTTTTTTTTGACAGGGTCTTACTCTGTTGCCCAGGTTGGAGTACAGTGGTACTATCTTGGCTCACTGCAGCCTTGACATCCTGGGCTCAAGTGATCCCACTTCAGCCTCCTGAGTAGCTGGGACTACAAGGTGTGCACCACCATGCTCAGCTAATTTTTTACTTTTTTGTAGAGACAGGGTTTTGCTATATTATCCAGGGTGGTCTCGAACCCCTGGACTCAAGCGATCCTCCTGCCTCAGCCTCCCAAAGTGCTGGGATTACAGACGTGAGCCACCATGCCCAGCCCACCATATCTAGGTTGAAAATGTTTTTTTCATCATTCCAATAAGATCATATCTTTTTATGAAGCTTCTTCATATCCGTTAACCCTAGGCAAACATGAATCTATTTTCCTGTCTCCATAGATTTGCCTTTTCTGGACATTTCATATATGTAGAATCATATAATATATAACCTTTCACGCGTGGCTTTTTTCACTTAGCATAATGTTTTGAAGTTATGCTATATCATTCGTGATATAGCTCATATAAGTATTTTACTGCTTTCTGTTAGGATTTGTCTTCCATTAAGGATCTCCTACATTTTGTTTATCCCTTCACCAGTTTTTAGACATTTAGCCTGTTTCCACTTTTTGGCTATTATGAATAATGCTGCTATAACATTAATGTACAAGTGTTTGTGTGCACATATGTTTTATTTCTCTTGAGTAGATACGTAGGAATGGAATTGCTGAGTTGTATAAAAAAATTATACTTAACCTTTTGAGCAACTGAAAAATGGTTTTCCGGCCAGACCCGGTGGCTCACACTTGTAATAGTAGCACTTTGGGAGGCCTAGGCGGGTGGATCACCTGAGGTCAGGAGTTTGAGATCAGCCTGGCCAACATGGCGAAACCCCATCTCTACTAAAAATACAAAAAAAATTAGCTGAGCGTGCTGGTGGCTGCCTATAATTCCAGCTGCTCAGGAGGCTGAGGCAGGAGAATCGCTTGAACCTGGGGGGTGGAGGTTGCAGTGAGCTGATATCAAGCCAGTTCACTACAGCCTAGGCGAGAGGGCGAAACTCTGTCTCAAAAATAAATAAATAAATAAAAAATAAAAAATGGTTTTCCAAAATGGCTATATGCTAACTCACATTCCCGCAGGTAAGGAACGAGAATTCTTGTTTCACTACTTCCTTGCTAGCACTTGCTACTGTTTGTCTTTTTGATTATAGCCTTCCTGGTGGATGTGAAATGGTATCTCATTATGTTTTAAATTTGCATTTCCTTAATGACTGACGATGTGAAGCATCTTTTCATTTGCCATTTGTATATCTTCTTTGAAAAATGTCTATTGAAATCTTTTGCGCATTTTAAAATTGAGTCTTTTTTTATTTGGTTTGTTTTTAAGAGTTCTTTGTATATTCTGGGTACAAGTTTTTTTGCAATGTATGTGATTTCCAAATACTTTCTCCCTGTCTGTGGCTTTTCTCTTCCTTCCTTCCTTCTTTCTCTTTCTTTCTTTCTCTCTTCTTTCTTTCTCTCTCTCCTTCCTTCCTCCCTCTCTCTCTTTCTCTTTTTCTTTCTTTCTTTTCTTTCCTTCTTTTTTTTTTTTTTTTTTTGACAGAGTCTCACTCTGTTGCCCAGGCTGGAGTGCACTGGCACAATCTTGGCTCACTGCAACTTCTACCTCCCAGGTTCGAGTGATTCTCCCGCCTCAGCCTCCTGAGTAGCTGGGATTACAGGCGCCCACCACCATGCCTGGCTAGTTTTTGTATTTTTGGTAGAGACAGGGTTTTGTCATGTTGGCCAGACTCATCTCCAACTCCTGAGCTCAAATGATCCGCCCTCCTTGGCCTCCCAAAGTGCTGGGATTACAGGCATGAGCCACCTTGCCTGGCCGCTTTTCATTACCTTAATGGTGTCTTTTGAGGGCAAAAGTTATTTCTTTCTTAAAATACTTTTTATTTTCCACTCTGTGCAACATAGCAAGACTCCCTTCTCTACAATTAAAAAAAAATTAGCCAGGTATGGTGGCATGTGCCTTTAGTCCCAGCTACTTGGGAGGCTGAGGCAGGAGGATCACTTGAATTATAGCTGCAGTGAGCTATAATCACACCACTGCACTCCAGCTTGTGTGACAGAGTGAGGCACTCTCTCTAAAGAAAGAAAAGAATAGCTTTTTATTTGGAAATAATTAAGGGTTCACAGGAAGTTGCAAGAGTGGTAGAGAGATGTCCCATGTATCCTTCACCCAGTTCCCCCTCAACCCCAAAATAATGCATTTTGGTTAAGTCAAATTTGTTAATTATTTTTCTTTTATGGATCATGCTTCTCGGGTCACGTCTAAAAAACCTTTGCTGAACCCAAGATTTTACCATTTTCTTGTATGCTTTATTCTAAAAGTTTTATAGCTTCCACTCTTACATTAATGTCTCTGGTTCATTTTGAATGAAGTTTTGTATAAGGTATAAGGTAAGGGTCTAAGTTAATCTTTTTTTTGCATGTGGATATCCAATTGTCCCATTATCATTTGTTGAAAAGATACTATTTTCTCTATCTATGACACAGAGTTTTGCTCTGTTGCCCAGGCTGGAGAGCAGTGGCACACTCTTGGCTCACTGCAAACTCCACCTCCCAGGTTTAAGAGATTCTCCTGCCCCAGCCTCCTGAGTAGCTGGGATTATAGGCACATGCCACTACACCTGGCTAATGTTTGTATTTTTAGTAGAGACAGGGTTTCACCATGTTGGCCTGGCTGGTCTTGAACTCCTGACCTCAAGTGATCCACCCACCTCAGCCTCCCAAAGTGCTGGGATTACAGGCATGAGCCACTGTGCCTGGCCTTATTTTCTCTATCAAACTGACTTGGCACCTTTGTCAAAAATCAATTAACCATAAATATTAGAGTTTATTTCTGGACTCTGAAATCTGTTCCTTTGATCTATATATCTTGTATTAGTACTAAATGGTCTTGATAACTTTAGGTTTATAGTAAGTTTTAAAATTAGGAAGTAAAAGTTTTCCAACTTTGTTTTTAAAAAATTATTTGCTCTTCTGGGTCTTTTCATTTCCATATACATTTTGGGTACAGCTTGTCAATTTCTGCAAAAACCCTGCTGGAATTTTGATGAAGACTAAATTGAATGCATGCATCAATTTGGGGACAATTGTTATCTTAACAATATTGAATGAGTTTTCCAATCAGTGATCATAGAATGTCTCTCCAATTATTTAGATCATCTTTAATTTCCCTCAGAATGCTTTGAAATTTTCGATGTACAAGTTTTATAATTATTTTGCTAAATTTATTTGTATTTTATTTTTTTAATACCATCGTGAATGGAATTTTCTTGTTTTCAGATCATTCATTGTTCATATACAGAAATACCAATATACCATTTTTTTTTTGGAGACGGGGTCTCACTTTGTTGCCTAGGCTCGAGTGCAGTGGCTATTCACAGGCAAGATCACATTGCACTATAGCCTCAAACTCCTCACCTCAAGTGATCCTCCTACCTCAGCCTCCCAAGTAGCTGGGACGAAAGGTACATGCCATCTCCACTGAGCCCAGCCTTCAATGTATTTTTGCATATTGATATTGCAACCTGCAACCTTGCTGAACTTATTAGTTCTAACATGTGTGTGTATTCCTGACGGTTTTCTGCATAAAGAACCATGTTGTCTGCAAATAAAGACTTCCTTTCTAATCTGGGTGCCTTTTATTTTTATTTATTGTATGGTTGCTCTGGCTAGAACCTCCAGTACAATGTTGAATAGAAGTTGCAAGAGCTGACATGCTTGCATTATTCTTGATCTTAGGGTAAAATAATTCAGTTTTTCATCGTTAAGTATGATATTAGCTGTAGGTTTTTCATAGATGCCTTTATGATGTTCTCTTTCAAGTTTGAGAATTTTTATTATGAATTGGATTTTGTCAAATGCTTTTTCTGCATCTATTGAGATGATAGTGTAACCAAGGAATTGTGAAAAAAGAAAAAAAGATGAGAATACTGTTTTGATACTTTATTAATATAGTATGTTATGTTAATTGATTTTAGGATATTAAACCATCTTTGCATTCCTAGGATGAATGTCAGTTGGCCAGAGTATATAATCCCTTTTATATATTGCTGGATTCAGGATCAAACTGAATTTTAAAAATATACTGACTTTGGAGGAAATTCAGAAATTTGTCAAGTGAAGTGGCCTCCTTATAAAAATATTGATGGTTTAACGATATTCTTAAAAATTAGAAAGTTCAAATATCAATATCTTTTGTCATTAGGACTAATAACCCAAAAGATTTAAAAATAATTATATTAAGTATAATTAATATGCCAATTAACAATGTAGAATGTTTTCAAACTATGAATTTTTTAAACATTATTTTATTTTATTTTATTTTATTCACTTAAATAAGGGAAAGTCTGTTTGTTTGCTTTTGTGAAAGTTCATTCATTTCTTAATGATGTTTTTCAAGACTAGTATTTATTTTATTTCACCATTACAATTATAGACTAATAATCTCATAATCTTTCTAAACATAAAAATTCAGACAGTTCACATTATGAATTTTTTATTTGTTTATTTATTTATTTTATTTTTTGAGATGGAGTTTTGCTGTTGTTGCCCAGGCTAGAGCGCAATGGTGCAATCTCGGCTCACCACAACCTCTACCTCCGGAGTGCAAGTGATTCTCCTGCCTCAGCCTCTTGAGTAGCTGGGATTGAGGGCATGCGTCACTACACTCAGCTAATTTTTTGTATTTTTAGTAGAGATGAGGTTTCACCATGTTGGTCAGGCTGGTCTTGAACACCTGACCTCTGGTGATCTGCCCGCCTCAGCCTCCCAAAGGGCTGGGATTACAGGCGTGAGCCACTGCGCCCGGCATGAAATTTTAATAGCTAGTCTTCGTTTTGAACAGTGAACATTATAGATCTATCCCCCAATTCATCCTCTTTTTTCAAAATGAGTTTAAAAAGGTCTCTCTCTTTTTCACAAGCTAGAAAGTATCCTTCGTATGATGAAGATTCAAATTGCATCTTATTATCATGTCCTGGGACACTTCTCTGAAAGAATATGATGTCACTTTTTGTATCCTTGATGTTATCAGGAGGATTCATTTCCTATAGAGAAAAAAACATTACCTAATTATTTCAGGACATGAACAATTTGAATATATGAAGTTTGTTTTGAAGTATATTACCAAACAGAACAAAAGTAGTTTTGCTTCTCAAGAGTTACATAAAAAAAATCTCTGAACAGCAGTACTGACCTCCTCTCCTTCTTAACTCCGAATCTCCTATTCTCCCTGTCATGGGATGCATATTCAGTTCCAGGCCTCTAGTTTTCCCCTATACATCAAACAGCTTACTTCTCTCCTCTCCCATTGAGTGGTGTCCACATTTGCTCAAGATTAAGTAGAGTTCCAGCAAAGACCACAAGCTTTTTGGGCTAATGTCAATTTCTGTCCTCTATAATAACCATTCACGGCTAAAGACGATGATGACCTCCTCCCACAAACTTAGGCTAGTTCTAGTTTCTTTTTCTTTTTGCTTTGAGACAGGGTCTCGCTCTGTTGCCCAGCCAGAAGTGCAGTGGTGAAATCATAGCTCACTGCAGCCTTGAATTCCTGGGCTCAAGCAATCCCCCTGCCTCAGCCTCCTGAGTAGCTGGGACTGTAAGTATACACCACCACATTTGGCTAATTTTTAAAATTTATTTTTGTAGAGAAGGGGTCAGGGGGTATCTCACTTTGTTGCCTAGGCTGGTCCTGAACTCCTGGCCTCAAGTGACCCTCCCACTTCGGCCTCCCAAAGTGCTGGGATTCCAGGTGTAAGCCACCATGCCTGGCCTGGCCAGTTCTCATTTCTGAGCCAACTGTGAGAGAGACAGAAAGTGCCAGGAATCTTAGCTTACTCTTTCAGTGGAGCCTGAAATTAAAACTTACAGTGAATAGACCCAATAATTGTTGTAGGGCTAGGCCCTGGGTTCCTGTGTAAGCCTGCTGTATTGGCTCAGTTGGCAGTCCTTGACTCTGTCTTCCTGCCAAGCACTCCAGTTCCATAGTAGTCTTGAATTTCTGTCCTGAATATGGTCTCCTTGGCTGGGCCCTGCCTTAGAAGGCCAAATGCAGATTCTTGTATGTTTCAGTCACAGAATAGGGTCTTGTGAGAAATGGTTAGATTACTTGAAACTATAATCTTGCAGGTTATCCAACTGGTAGTGCTGCCTGCACTTTTCCTGTTAGTGCAGCATGTCTATTTTGCAGGATGGATCAGAACATGTGGGCACCACCTAAGGTTCTTCCATGTTAATCCTGGAACCAGTAGATGTTTTGGACTTAATTTTGGCCTCATGGCAGCACAGATTCCCATGATCCTAAGCACTGATAGAGAAACCTCCAAAATTAAAATAGCATTTCTTCATCCTTCAAAGAGCCTGAAAGACTCTGGATGGCAGAGGTCACGGGGTTACCTCCAACTTCTCAATCAGTTGTGGAATCAGTAGTCATAACTCTTGACCTTTGTTCTTTATCAACAAGTGTGGGTCCTAAGTTGATGAAAGTATAAACTAGTTCCCCTATTGGCACCCACTTCTGCAGCTGTCTACAATATACAATTTAGGAAGAGACCCTAAGCTGTGGGCATCAATTTGGAACTAATCTGAAATCTAATGTATAAATGAGAAATAATCCATAGCCAAAACTTCAAAAGCTCTAGTAACATTACAGGGGAAGATGAACCAGTATAGAAAGTTACAGTTGAGCCGGGTGCGATGGCTCACGCCTGTAATCCCAGCACTTTGGGAGGCTGAGGCGGGCGGATCACAAGTTCAGGAGATCGAGACCATCCTGGCTAACACGGTGAAACCCCGTCTCTACTAAAAATACAAAAAATTAGCTGGGCATGGTGGCAGGCGCCTGTAGTCCCAGCTGCTTGGGAGGGTGAGGCAGGAGAATGGCGTGAACCCGGGAGGCAGAGCTTGCAGTGAGCTGAGATCGTGCCACTGCACTCTAGCCTGGGCGACAGAGCGAGACTCCGTTTCAAAAAAAAAGAAAAAAAGAAAAAAAGAAAAAAAGAAAGTTACAGTTGAAAGCGAGAGTGTGGATAGGTAGAACAGGCAATCTCTTTAATCACACTTATTGCACATTTCAGAATAGAGGTAAGGACATCCTTGGGCAGTAGCTTTCCTAGTTTTGATGTTGACCACTCCCAGCCATCATAGGGAAGGTACATAGCAAATGGATGTGAAAGCAATCCCAATGACCTTGGAGAACCCCCAACTTGGAAAGCCCTACCTGGTGAAACTTGAGTGCTCCAAGGGGAAAGGGATTTCTTTCTTTTTTTTTTTTTTTTTTTTACATCAGAAGGGGTTGAATCTGAATCCAGGGAAAGTTGATATTGACCTAACATCTCCCAAGTGCACTGGAAAGTCTGAGGGAACCCTGGCCAAGCCTGGATATAGATACATATATACATGTATATGTATATATATGAAACAGACACTGACAGTAACCTCTCAAAGCAAATCCCTCTTAGTGTTGTCAAGGTTCTTGACCAAAGAACTTTATAGGACTTTATAGCTAGTAATCAACAGTGAAAGGTGAGCACATAAGGGTAGCCTGTTGTATCTTTTTCTTTTTTTGAGACAAAGTCTCATTCTGTCGCCCAGGCTGGAGTGCAGTGGTGCGATCTCAGCTCACTGCAGCCTACACCTCCTGGTTTCAAGCGATTCTTCTGCCTCAGGCTCACGAGTAGCTGGGATTACAGGTGCATGCCACCATGCCTGGCTAATTTTTGTATTTTTTTTAGTAGAGACAGAGTATCGCCATGCTGGCCAGGCTGGTCTTGAACTCCTGATCTCAAGTGAGACACTCGCCTTGCCCTCCCAAAGTGCTGGGATTATAGGCATGAGCCACTGTGCCTGGCCTGTTGTATCTTATTATCTAGAACCTAGGCCACTTTTATAACCACTGCTAAGATCCTTATTAGTGGCAGGAAAAGGGATTAAAGACAAGGGCTAAAACTGGTCCTAGTCCACCCCTCACTCTCTCCCCCCCTCCAACTAATATTTATTGAGTTCCTTCCAGAAGCAGATTTGCTATGATGCTGATGAAGCTTAAATGTCAGATTCCCTCATTTGCACAGATCTCTTCCAGCCACCCCCCGCCCTTTTTAAAATTTGAATTAAAATTTGAATTAAATTATTAAGCTTATGCCTTTGGTAATTTTACTTTTTTTTTTTTTTTTTTTTGAGACCGAGTTTTGCTCTTGTTGCCCAGGCTGGAGTGCAATGGCACGATCTAGGCTCATCGCAACCTCTGCCTCCCGGGTTCAAAAGATTCTCCTGCCTCAGCCTCCCGAGTAGCTGGGATTACAGGCATATGCCACCACGCCCAGCTAATTTTGTATTTTTAGTAGAGATGGGGTTTCTCCATGTTGGTCAGGCTGGTCTTGAACTCCTGACTTCAGGTGATCCGCCCCCCTCGGCCTCCCAAAGTGCTGGGATTACAGGTGTGAGCCACCACGCCCAGCCACATTCTTTTTCTTTAAAAGGGCCATCAAAATTGAATAAACTTCAGGCTCCCCCAAATATGGATTTGCCCAGTTCCTACTAAGTGCCAAGCATTATTTCCATCTTCTTAACATTTTCACCAGTCTCCCTCAACAAGAATCCACCTGTAGGTTCGGACTTATCCCAGTTTCTGAATCTGCCTCTGCAGCTGAGTTTTCCTCTATCCCACATAGCTTGAGCTTGGCCATCTCCTTCCCTTCTAATTATGTTGTTCAGTAACAGCATGCTTAACCCTTTCCACCCTACCCTTCCATCCCAGGCCTCTTATGCTATTTTGATAACTAAGCTGCCTGTCAGGTCTAGAATGGGGACTCCAAATTGTCACCTGAAGGGGTGGCACTCTGGTTGGAGGGAGATAGCTGAGGGATTTGTCTGGGGGCTGTATCTGTTGCATATGCACTGTTCTTACTTGGATTATATTTTAGAGTGGCTTTTTTCTCCCTACCAAGTTGCCCCTTGGTACCTTCACTAAGGTCATATCCTAACTGTCTTTCAGTGGGGACTGGGTGGGCATGAAAGCGGTTATTTATTGGCAAATCTCCACTCAAAAAGAGTCTTCATGACATGGAATTCTCCTCTGAAGCATTGCCAATTTGTAAGCATCCCTGGCTACTCTTACTGGCTCAGTCTGTAGCTATAGTTAATTGTGGTTTATCTAACAATAATGGAGGAAATAGAGAAAAATAATAGAGAATAATAATGGAGAATAATAGAGAAAAAGTAGAGGCCAGAAATACTTTATACCTGGCTTGAAGATAATTATAGCATTACTTTTACAGCTGATCTCATAACTTTTATTCAATTAGATTAACATTAAAAATAACATACATCAACTGGAAGCTGAAGCTTGTGTCTAAGACTTAGGCTAAGGATCAGCAACAAAACAACTAGGGATTAAAATATTATCATAATTTACAAAGGTGTAGAAATATAGAAGGATAATTAGCTTCATTCTTCATAGCAGAACTCATTCTGGAAAGTCACATGTTATTCTTAAATGTATAACTCACATATGTATTCTACATTATTATTTGTATAAAGACTGATTGTTCAGGAGATGCAGGTCATAAAACAAGTGTTGTATCTCCTCTTCCCTGTGACAGGCTCAGAAAAACCATCATTATCACAATAGGTAAAGAGTTTGATAATTTTTAGTAAGTATTCATTTTAATGGTTCTCTGCTTCTTGTTATTTCTGTTCTAGACAAAAGGTTGGTCTGAGGATATTTGAGTTTTCTAATTACATTACTTATATTAACATTAGAAATAATGTTATATTTCTAATTATATTAATTATATTAACATGATTGAAAACAAAGTAAGGCTCAGTCTTACCTTAAAGGAAATAATTTTGTTCTCACAGGAGAGAGTTGAAATTTTCTCACACTTCACAGAGATAGTTACAGCCATACCTCTAGGCTGGCTATCTTTATACATACTTATAATAAATATGGTCCGGGGTGCATTATCTGAAATAAATATAATAAATGAGAACTCTAGTTAGAAGAATTCTTGCACAGGAACATTTGCGGAAATTTAACCAAAGGATAGTCCTTAATACACCTGTTCCCACTTTGAGACTTGGCCAGTCTGCAGGAGACTATGTACAGCTGGTCAGACATTTTTAAAAACACAGTTCAGGCCTGGCACAGTGGCTCATGCCTGTAATCCCAGCATTTAAAAGTTAAAAACAACCTTTTATAATCTATATCATTATACTCATAAAAGTTGCAGCATGTGTGTTGTAACACATATTAAACTGTGGGGTTGTTTGTTTGTTTGGGAGGCTGAGGCAGGCAGATCACTTGAGGTTAGGGGTTTGAGACCAGCCTGGCCAACATGGTGAAACCCCAGCTCTACTAAAAATACAAAAATTAGCCGGGTGTAAGTGGTGCATGCCTGTAATCCCACCTACTCGGGAGACTGAGGCATGAGAATCGCTTGAACGTGGGAGGTGGAGGTTGTAGTGAGCCGAGATCACACCACTGCACTGCACTGCACTTCAGCCTGGGTGACAGAGTGAAACTGCATCTCAAACAAACAAACAACCCCACAGTTTAATGTGTATTACAACACACACGCTGCAACTTTTTTGAGTATTTTAAAGATATGAATTCTAAAAGATTGTTTTTAACTTTTAAATGCTAAATAAAATATTTAAAATATATGTTAAGGTAAGTATTCAGTATTTTTAAAGAATGCACATTCACTGCTTCAACTCAGCCTAACTTTGATATTTGGAATTCATATTTTGGAAGGCACAGTAGACTTGATCATTTTCTTTTCTTAAGTTTTTTTTTTTTTTTTTTTTTTTTTAATTTTAGAGACAAGGTCTGTATATCACCCAGGCTGGAGTGCAGTGGCTATTCACAGGTACGATCACAGTGTACTACAGCCTCAAAGTCCTGGCCTCAAGCAATCCTCCTGCTTGAGCCTCCCAAGTAGCTAGGATTACAGATAGATGCCACCACACCTGGTAAACTATCAGCATTTTCAGCTGTAACAAGCAGGGATTAAGCATCCAACTATAGAGGTTTTAAACAGTTAATGCAATCACAATAAAGGGATTGGTGATTCAAAGGCAGGCTCAGAGAGGCATGACCCCTAGCAATGTCTTATTGTATCCAATTTTTTACCCCAACTAAAAAACGTGGATGCCTTATAAAGTTTCCTGTAAGTGAAATTATTGTCACTCCTGTGACTTTTCATCTGAGGATTGGGACTAGCACGGAACAATGTAAGCAGTAAAACAGAATGGGAAGAAGTAGCTAGTCATTTCTATGTTTGCGAATTAAAAAAAATACCTCTACAGTCAGAATCAGTCATATCTTCAAATAGAGGCCGATTTCCTTGGTCAATGAAGAGAACTTGGTCATTCAAATTTCTTATGACTGATAATTTAGATTCAAGCTTGCCAAAGTAATCTGATTCCAGGTTTTCTACAATAAACATTAAATCTCATTTAAAAATACATAGTTTCTTTGTTAATTGACAAATAAGTATGCTATATATTTTAGTTTTCTAAAACTATTAATGACAATCTTCTGTTCCAGAAGTAGCTACAATAAAGTTGCCTATTGTTTTTTAACCTACTCTCAAAGGCACACTCAATTTCTTGTTACCATTCAGAACTACTCTGCCTCTGAAGTGTTAACTTCAAATAGCCTACTTTCTGACCGGTCTCTTACCCTTCTAGTTTTCTTACACTTTTACTCCAACTCTATGTGTTCTTAAATTTCACAACATCTTCCAGTCTCCTGACTCTTGTATTTCCTATCTAACCTCTTCCCGTCTTCCCTTCCTTCCCTGTGCAGCTGGATCTCAGAGTTCATTTTGTCTACCATTTTGCCAGGATATTAAATCCCTAACTTATTTGTCTTTCTGCTACAAAACTCCAAACTTGGCTGCTGAGTGCTGCTGGTGAACAATGGCACAAGCGTTCAAATCGGTGCCATTACAAGCATACCAATTGTCAATACTTCTTTTGTTTTCCAGTTCAGCACTCTCTTCCATAGCTGATAGCCGCAATTTCAAATTTTCTTTGCTCTCTTCAGGACCTCTACACCATCATCTCTGTTTTCATTTTCAGCAAATGATTTCCTGCTACTCCACGTACAAATTTAACTCTGGCAGCACCAGTTATTGCCTCTCTCCCTTTTGTCCCAAGGGGAAATGAGAAAGTGCCATTTCTGGTATCTAGGGCTGATCCCATTTGTGCTCGGCATGTACCCTCTACTGAAGCTTTAATTTGCCAATCATCCTTTCTCTTCTATCAACCCAGCAATTCTACCTCCTGGGTTTTATCCTGAAGAAAAAATCAGACAAATGTGTGAACATTTTTGTACAGGAATGCTTATGGGAACATTGTTAATAACAACAACAAACTGGAAACAAACATTCACCAATTAAGAATTGATTAAATAAAAAGGGCAAAGATATGCCCTTATTGTGAAATATCATGAACTTAATATAACTGCAATTACTCGTTGCCATGGAGAGATGTCCATATATATCACTAACTAGAAAAAGCAGCTTAGGTATAGTACAATCCCTTTTAATAAAAATATAAGCATTTCTGTGTCTGTATATATACATAGAAAGGAGTGTAGAAATATTGTATCAAAATGGTAGCTATCATTATTTCTGGGTGGTTTTTATATTTTTATCTTTCATATTATTATCTTTTTTCATTGCCTCAATTAGTTACAATTAACACATTATTTTCATAATCAAAAAAGCACAAAGCTCTTTATTTTGAGATTTAAAACTGCTCCATCAACCCAATCTCACTTTGCAGCTAGTCTTGTTTCTCTCCTCCTTTTAACAGCCAAGCTTTTAGCAAGAATTATCTGTATCATTTCTTCACTTTCCATTCACTGTTTCACTCATTGCAATCTGCCTCTGCCTCCATTTCACCATCAAGCTGCTTTCACTGAGATCACCAAACTCCTTGTTGCTAAATCTAAAAGCTGTGTTCTGGCCCTTGATTCTCAAGGCTGCAAAATTCAACACAACACCTATCCCCTCAATCTTGAAATGCTCTCCTGGGAGTCGGTGGAATTCTCTTGGTTTTTCTTCTTCCCTTTTGGTTAGTCTGCTCTCTGTTGTTTATTAGCTTCTTTCTACTGCATCCTTTAAATGTAGGTATTCCCCCCAGTTCAGTACTTGGCTTTTCCTCTCTCACTTTACACATTTCCTCTGATTTGTCTTTTTATCTCTATAGATTCAAATGCCATTTCTATGCATAAGCCTTCAATATCTCTATCTCCAGCCCAAATCTTTGTCCTGAACTCAGAACCACATGTAGAAGAGTTTTTGGACATCTCCACTAGGACGTTCCACAGACATCTCAGATCCAAAACGAAATGCGTCATCCATCCTCCTCTTTGTATACACCAAAACCTGCTCTTCCTCCTGTGTTTCCTATTTCACTGAATGGTACAAATTGCCTAAGTGAAAAATGTAGGCATCATCTTTTCTACTTTCTTCTCCTTTCCAAATCCAACCCTAAATCATGTCCTATTGATTCTCTCAAGTGTTTCTAAAATCCATTCACAGCTCCTCATCAGCACTCCCCTATGTCTACCTTAATTCATGACACCATCATTTCTTGTAATAACTAAAATAATAGCCTCTCAACCCTTAATTTTGTCCTCCTCACCCCACACCATCAATTCTTTATACCAAAGCCAGAATGATATTTTAAAAATATATTATTTCTGAATTTTAAAGAGTCATATGGCTACCTGGAATAAAGATTATATTTTCCAGATTTCCTTGCACTTGGTGTGGCCATGTGATTAAATTCTAGTCAATGGAATATGAGGGGGATTGATGTGTTTAACTTCCAATTAGAGTCTTTGAAAGGAATGAGCCTGACTTCTCTTGACCCTTTCTTGATAACTGGGATATGAACCCAGGAAGTATGATGATTTTCAACTATGTGAGTGAGATCAACAACTAGGGGATGATGGGTACAAGACTGAAGAAAGTTGGGGGTCCCAATATCATCAGGTTGCTTCCAGCCATACTACTTCTGAGCTGCCTACTTAGACTTTCTTTGAGAGAAAAATTCTCTATCTTATTCAGCTACTGTATCTTTGGATGTCTTTGTTACAACAAACTAATCTTTACCCTAGCTAATACATATTGTGCTTAATTAACCCTATTATCTCCAAGATAAAGTCCAAATTTCACATCTTGGGGTGAGAGAACGTCTTGCTCTACACCCTGTTTATCACTCTAGCTTCTCTCACCAGTCTCCTACTCCTACTCTACTTCCATTCTGAATTACCCTGAATTCATCATAAATGCCATGGTTTCTTTCAGCTTTTGGCCTCTGAATGTGGTCTTCTTGCCCCACCCATTCCTATCTCCTCTACTTCCAGAATTTTCTGCCCCACCCCACCACCAACCCGGGAACCTTCCAGGCTTCTTCCCAAAGCATTTCTGAGAGGAGGTGTTACTGATTTTGGACAATTCTAATGCTTCAATCCCTTTTTCCTATGCAACGCTCCCCCTACAACAGAATCCATGACTTCATGCTAATCTTAGGACCTATGAAACAGGCAAAGTCTATTTTGTAGATTCTAAGAGCTGGAGAATTTTTTAAGGCATAGAGAAGCATCTTTTGCTAGAGGTTCTTCTTTGTATCTCTTATGATCATCTTCATTCCAAAGCTGTGCTACTGAGTCCACATTTCTTTGAAGGCAGATTGGTAGCATGAGAACCATTTTTTTTTTTCCTCAGCTGACAATGGTGAGATAGATGTGTCTCAAGCAGATACTTAGTTTGCAAAGAAAAATAAATTCATTTCTACTTTACCATCATCTTCAGCTAAGAGGGGGAAAAAGAGAGAAACAGAATATGTAAAATTTTGTATTTCGACTCAGAATTCAATCTCATTCTAGCTTTTACTTTTGCTACTCCTCTTTCTCGAACTCCTATTTTTATGGTTTAAGGGTCTGTCTTGGCTTTCATCAGAATATTATATAATCATCCAAAAGGCCCATAAAATGAAGCTTATCAGACTTAGTGTGTTCTCAGGTAATTTAGACATAAAACTTAAACCTAGGGTTTAAAAATTTCAATATGTAACTAAAAATAAATTTTATAAAATTAGAGATTTTACTTTTAAATTTATTGCTTAAACGGAAAGTCACCTAAGAAAAGTCAACTAATAATTTTTTATGAAGGTTTTTTTTTGTGTGTGTGTGTCAGGGTCTACTGTCATGCAGGCTGGAGTGTAGGGGTGGGATCATAGCTCACTGCAGGCTCAAATTCCTAGGCTCAAGTGATCCTCCTGCTTCAGCCTCCAAAGAAGGTAGGAGGTGTCCACAGGATATTTTGCAGTTTTTTGTAGAGATGGGGTCTCACTTTGTTGCTCAGGCTTTTAAATGAAGGTTTCAAATGAAGGCAAACTTTCAAATGAAGCCAAATTGTTCACAGAAGATTAATCATAAGAATCAATTTTTAGGCCATGTGTGGTGGTTCATGCCTGTAATCCCAGCACTTTGGGAGGCCGAGGCAGGAGGATCATCTGAGATCAGGAGTTCAAGACCAGCCTGGACAACATGGCAAAACCCTGTCTCTAGTAAAAATACAAAAAATTAGCCAGGCATGGTGGGATGCACCTGTAGTCCCAGCTACTCAGAAGGCTGAGGCAGGAGAATTGCTTGAACCCAGGAGGTGGAGGTTGCAGTGAGCAGAGATTGTGCCACTGCACTCCAGCCTGGGCAACAGAAAAAAAAAAAAAAGAATCAATTTTTACTTGTCAAACATATTTACATAAAATGGTGTAATTCACAGAACTCTAAATTTAGAGAATCTCTTACATAATTTGCCAATTTGCTTTGGGAAATTGTATTTCCTGAATGCACCCAGTTTTGTACTGGGATTTTTCCCATGGAAATCCAATGAAAACTGGGATTTTCCCATGAAAACTGGGATTTTCATGATGTGCACTTACTGCCAACTGGAGAGTGAGCTACTGCTGATTAAAGTGCCAGGACACGTGGTGTGACAAGGTGCTGAGACCTTGGACATGTTGTGGTTAATTTCTAGAGGTCCACTATTTTTTTAAGAGCCATTAATATTACAGTGAAATTTGGTGACAAAAAGAGTCACTTAATAGTTCACCTCACAACATCTTTTCTAATTGAATAGATTTATCTGAACCTGGTATTTGTTCTATGGCATTAGCCTTACCTATAAAGTAAAGCGTATTGTCAATAAATTTCATTGCCACAAAGTTGATGCAATTGTCTTCTACTGGTTCAGCAGCCATCTTTATTCCTAATGAAAGCAAAGAGCCATCTGTTAAGAGACAATGATTGTACCTTTTACTACTACTTTATACTACCTTCAAGTTCAGTGGTCAGTTAATCACCTAGTATACTGATGAACAATCTTGACATTCAATAAATGCCAGAAGTTTCAGCTTATGAATACCCATGTTTAAGTGTTCTCTTACAAATCATCAGATATTTGGAAGATAGAAAGCATTTTCTCATTAAACAATATTATAAAGGGTAGATAAATGGCCTAGTACTGAACTGAATCATTATTCTAGTATTCCTTGAGAAATATAAATATATTGTCAATATAAATATAGTTTCACCTGAGGATGCCATAAACACATCTAATCGTGCCCTTTAGGAAGGACTGGCTTCATCCTTCTCTTACAACCAGTGGGTTCCTATGGGTGAGAGGCTGAAGGTTTGTGACTTCATTGTCAAAATGCTAAAGGTGAAACAATGATAAAAAAGTGCTTCCATCTGAGGGTACAGGCAGGGTGGGAGAAGGCTGAAGGGCTCTGGCATTTGGTGGCCCTCTTTCTCCCTGAGCTGCGGTGATTTTTGATCTGGAGTCTCGATTATACTATATTTTTAACACAAGTAATACATAAATACAATCTTGCTGTAAAATCAAGGGATACAGGATTTGAAAAAAATTTAAATCCTTCCATTTGCTTTTCCTTTCTGCCCCTCTTCCAATACGGTGTGCAGGCTTCCAGAATTTTGTTATGGAATAGGAGTTCTCAGTGTGAGAAATCTGTGAACTTGGATGGGGAAAAAAATACACATGTATTTTCACCAACCTCTGAAATTTAGCATTCCTCCCATGATTAGTTGCAGGAAACAAACCACAGTATTATTAGTAGTACTTGTGACTCTGTCATTAATAGAAATACCTATTTTCTGTTGTGCTACAATTATTGCAGAGATCTTGAGACATGGTTTAAACTCATTACTACTTTGAAATTACAGAAGTTTAGTCCTCACAGTAGATCTTATTATTTAATGTGTTGGTAAAAAGGCACATATATACTGCATTAAAATTTGTTTAAAAATTAAATGGTATGCAGGAGAGTATTCATAAATCTGTGCTCAAAATTTTTCTAGCATAATATGAGGCCTAGCATGTATGGTAGAGTAAGCAGGAATTTAAAACTCAGTTTAAAAAAAATTAATCTGAATTAAGCTAACCCCAAAATAGTTGTTAGTTGGTGTTATACAACTAACTTTGTATAATTTTGGCCTCCCAAAGTGCTTGAGATTACAGGCATGAGTCACTGTACCCAGGCCTTATTTGATAGTTTTATCTAGGTTTAGTTCCTTATGCTCATCTAAGTGCGAACAGTTATTAAATTTATCTTATTTAGATAACATTTTTTTTTTTTGAGATGGAGTCTCACTCTGTCACCCAGGTTGGAGTGCAGTGGCACGATCTCAGCTCACTGCAACATCCACCCCACCCCTCTCACCTGGGTTCAAGCGATTCTCCCATCTTAGCCTGGGACTCCCATCTGGGACCACAGATGCGTGCCACCACACCCAGATAAGTTTTCATATGTTTGGTAGAGACAGGGTTTCACCACGTTGCCCAGGGTGGTCTCAAACTCCTGAGCTCAAATGGTTTGCCTGACTTGGCCTCTCAAAGTTCTGGGATTATAGGTGTCAGCCACCATGCCTGGCCAACACATTTAAATAAAATAAAAACTGATGTACAAATGAATTTAAATAAACATTTAAATATTATAAAATTTAAATATTTATCAAACATTTAAATATTATAAATATTAAATTTTATAAGCTATTTATAATATTTAAATTTACAATTTAGAATTATCACCTAGTTTTTTAAAGGAGGGGATAAGGAAGACTCTTAGAGAAAAATAATATAGCAAAGGATGAAAAGATCACTAAGATAAGTCTAAACATTTTTCACCAAAACCCAAACCAACATTAATATTAAAAATCAGAACAATAATGACTAGGCTGTGAGCTCCACGAGGGCATGTTCTTTATTCACCTTTATGGCTTCATTGCTGAACAAGGCCCTATTATCAGCATCAGAAGGTGTTTGTTAATGACTGCATTAACTGAGAAGGCAGACATTTGTTAACCTGAGAGGCACTCTATGTTTTGATTAGTTATCAGTTGGTGAAATAATGATTAGCATGATCTTCTGTACATACTTTAATATTATGTAATACACACATATTTATCAAACTAATTCACCTGAAATGTACCAAGCAGTATGGGCAGGAATTGGATTAAATTACTGGTGTTTACTATTTTGAGTACATAGTTAGTCAATGAGTGAATGGATTTAGAGAAGGACAATATTTGAGCTGATTCACCAGTTAAGGTTTGAGCATTAACTATGCATCAGGAATGTGGCCAGTAGCTGACCAAACCACACATGAATGAGAGTTGGCTCCTACTCTCCAGTGACTCAGAGTCTAGTGGGAGAGAAGAATCTATAAAGAGTTACAAAATAATGTAATGAATGACGTAAGAGCTGAATTTACAAGAGATTCATTCTTTCTGTTTGATGGTGCTGGAGAAGGTTACCACAGAAAGTGATGACTGTGCTACCTTGAAAGAGAAGCAGGCATTTTCAAGGCCAGAGGAAGAGCTTCCACCAAGAAGAAGCAATGTGAACAAAGGCTAGGCAGCGGGGAGACCGAGAAAATATGGGTTGTTTGAGGCCTCAACATTTTTACCATAAATAAGGCAAATGTAGTCACATTTTACAGAAAGAATGCATTTCTAAAGATCTCACATAGTTCAAGGTTACCTTTTCTTTTCTTTTGTTTTTTGGATACAGAGTTTCGCTCTTGTTGCCCAGGCTGGAGTGCAATGGCACGATCTCGGCTCACTGCAACCTCCACTGCCTGGGTTCAAGTGATTCTCTGCCTTAGCCTCCTGAGTAGCTGGGATTACAGTCATGCACCACCACGCCCGGCTAATTTTGTATTTTTAGTAGAGACGGGTTTCTCCATGGCTGGTCTCGAACTCCTGACCTCAGGTGATCTTCCTGCTTCGGCCTCCCAAAGTGCTGGGATAACAGGGGTAAGCCACTGTGCCCGGCCTAATTTTGTATTCTTTTAGTAGTGAGGGGGGCGGGTTTCTCCATGTTGGTCAGGCTGGTCTCAAACTCCTGACCTCAGGTGATCTGCCCGCCTTGGCCTCCCAAAGGCTGGGACTACAGGCAAGAGCCACTGCGCCCAGCCAAAGTTAACTTTTCTTTGGAAAAAACGTAAAAGTTTGAGAGGAGATATTCTTGGAGTACATAAACCTACAACAACCAAAGCATATTGTTGCTTTCTTTCTTTTTTCAACTTTCTCAGCATTATTACTAGTGTTTTGTAGCCTGCTGTCTCCACACAGCCTATTATGGTGGTACTTTGGCCTTTTTAATATTGTTTTCTTGCATATAAACTTGGTTTCAACATATTTATTTGGAGTTTTTTTTTTTTTGCACAGCAGTAACAATACATCCCTTAGCACTTGGATAACATTATCATATATAAAATTATTTAAAATTATGTTTAAAAAGCACAATAATAACCTGTATGTCTGAAGAACTTCTGAGTTATTTAAAGTCTAATTTACATAATAATGACATGGAAGCAGATAATTCTACCAAGTATAAGAGACACTTGCATGTGGCAATAGTGTTAACAGTTTATAACTCATTTGACCTGACAGCTTTGAAATTATGTCATTCTAGATAAACTATTTGGAAGAGTTAACATTATTTCCATTTTGCCCATATAAACTATAATTTTTATACCGTTGCCTAATTCAATTCACATAAAATGCAACTTGCAGTATACTTTGATGAAAGCTTGGAAAGAAGAGTCAGACTACAAAGGCCTTGTGTAAGCAGACTAAAGAGTTTGAACTGTTTTTTCCTGAAAAAAAAAATACTGACTTAAATAGGAGAAAGATATGGTCAAATTTGTGTTTTAAAAACTCAACTCACTCTAGAAGCAACATAAACAATGGATCTGGTCCGTGTGCAGTGGCTCATGCCTGTAATCCCAGCACTTTGGGAGGCTGAGGTGGGTGGATTGCTTGAGGTCAGGAGTTTGAGACCAGCCTGACCAACATGGTGAAACCCTGTCTCTACTGAAAACACAAAATTAGCTGGGTGTGGTGGCACATACCTGTAGTCCCAGCTACTCGGGAGGGTGAACTGCTTAAACCCAGGAGGCTGTGGTTGCAGTGAAGTGCTCCACTGCACTTCAGCCTGGGCAGCAAAAGCGAAACTCTGTCAACACCACCACCACCACCAAGAACAAAAGAATGGACCTGATTGAACAAGATTGGACAGAGGTCAGACAACAACTACTGAAGTAATTTTAACAATTAAGAGTTGATGAGGCTATAAATTAAGGTAATGAATTCAAGAGATACTAAACAGCGGGATTTCTCAGCTGATCTGTTGTGGGTCAAACAGAAGAAGGAGGAACTGAGGATGACTTCGTAGTTTTTGGCTTGGGCAATTTGTTGAGTGGTTACCTCATTCATTAAGAAAAAAGAACGAAAATACAGCTCAAGTGTAAAATAATTAGTTCAGTTTTGTAAATCTGAGATGTGTCACAGAAGTCAAAAGAGAAAGGGTTTCAGGAGGGGCTGCTCGAAATCAAACTGTAGAGCTCCTAATTTACATATAAGCTTAAACTTGTTCATTGAATTTGGCAATTAGGAAGTTTTGGGCAACCGTAGAACAGTTTGGGTAAAGTGGAGGCAGCAGATGGTAGGTGGACAAATATCTAGGACAGAATGGGAGGGGAAAAGTAAAGACAGTGACTACAAACTATTCTTTTAGGAAGTCTGGCTACAAAGTAGAGAGTTAGGGAAGTAGTTACTGGTGGTGGGGGGAGAGTTATATACATGTACAAATTTTAATTTGGCTCCACATACATAGTTCCAATGGTAAGAGATCTAATACATTACTTTTCAAAACATGTCCTAGTTACCTGCCCCAAACTGAAACCTGGGAGTCATTCTTAACTCCTTTGTCTAATCTTTCCCTTGTCTGATAAATACTGTAGATTCTAACTCAGAAATGTCTCCAGAATTTGGTATCTCCTCTCCATCTCCAACAGCACTGTTTTAAATCAAGCCCTCATTACCCCTGGCATCTTCTATTTTAATACTCTTCTACTTGGTTTTCTTGCTTCCAGACTCTCCTCCATTGTTGCCACAGTTATTCTCTCTGCCAGGCCAGAACTTCCCCTTCCCCTGCCTTTTTTTTTTTTTTGCCTGCAAACCCTGCCTCATCTTTCATCCCGTAACTCCCAGCTTTAATAGTTCCTCTAGGAAAACTTCTCTGCTCTTTCATTCCTAGCTAATTATTCTCTCCTCAGAGTCCTACCTCCTTCACACCTGTTCATGCTTCTTAAATAGCTCTTACTACCCTAAATTGAGATTACTTTGATTAAAAATAGGTCTGTTCAGCTTTCATCTGAGTTTTAAGACAATGAGTTGTCTTTTTTCCCCTGAATTTTCAACACCTGGAAAGAGCTTACCACACAGTAAGAACTCAATAAATGTTGTATGAATAAAAGTTTGCTATGATAAACCTTGTTGCCATGACAACAGCGTAGAAAGGGATGTGTAGAATATATATATTTTTTCTATCTTAAACTTTCCCTCCACCTGAAAGCCAATGAGAAGGAGGAAGAACAGGAGGGAAGCCTGAAAACAGAATTTTAAAAATAGAATAATTTTTCTAATGTCTTCTCCATTTTTCCCTAGTAGTTTCTTTTTTATTTCATGTGTTGATTTTGAATTCTTCATTCTTATTTTCTTACAATTCTTCTTGTTAGTTCTCAATACATCTATGACTGATTACAAGTAGTGTGTTCTCATCCCCATTCCTCCTCTCCTCAATTTTCCTCTTCCTTTCTCATCCGTGTTTCTTTGCTTTAACTCTAATCTATGAAAATTATAGTATCCATTGGATAAAAATGCTTTGACTATTTCATCTAAAATTCTCAGACTACTGACTTTTTTTTTTTTTAAGAGTTATAAACCACCTCAGAAAGATCCTCCCAGGAGTAAGCAGTGACAATTTGTTCTTTAAAACAGACATAAAAATTTAGTTATGCAATACTTTGACAACTAGCCAGAGGCTAGTGAATGGTAGAATTTCATGATGGAAATTAGGACACATGAGTTCCAGTTTTGTCTGGGGCAAGTCACTTAATTTTAAGGGTCTCAGTTCCCTCATTTGGACAAGGAAGTTGGCTAGTCAGTCTTTAAGGTCTGTTCCAGCTCTACCAACCTGCAATTCTAGACTCTAGTTAAAGCTGTAAGGAGAGAACCATTGATATGTGGCAAACGGCCTAGTAACCACTTCTTCATAATTCTAAGACAGTAAATATTTATGGCATATTTATTATACAACCAGCATTGTTAAGCCACTAAGAGTTTAAAAACATACTATTAGGCTGGGCACGGTGGCTTATGCCTGTAATACCAGCACTTTGGGAGGCCGAGGCGGCTGGATCACTTGAGGTCAGGAGTTCGAGACCAGCCTGGCCAACATGGTGAAACCCTGTTTCTACTAAAAATACAAAAATTAGCCAGGCATGGTGGCATGTGCCTTGTAGTCCCAGCTACTTGGGACACTGAGGCAGAATAACTGATTGAACCCATGAGGCAGAGGTTGCAGTGAGCCGAGTTCGTGCCACTGCACTCCAGCCTGGGTGACACAGCAGGGCTCCATCTCAAACAACAACAACAACAACAAACATACTACTAGATTAAAAGTTAAAATGCCTTGAACTTGAAAAGCAACTATGATTATGTTTATCCTTGCTGTGGAATTCCAATCCTGTTGAATAGGTATGGGATGAAATGAGGGAGCATGCTACATAATTAATTACCTGAGATCAGGTAGGTAGTCATCTTGACAGCAACAAGATCAAAACCTAACTTTTCAGTTCTATAAATCATTTTATCCTTGAACATTCTGCCATCTTATTATGAATGCGTGTATGTGAGTGTTGAAGAGGTGAGAGTAGCAGAAAACTTAAAAAATAAGTTTTTAAGTTTTTGTTTTTGAGTCTGTAGACTCAAAGCAAAAAAATCAAAATGGAACTGATGTAGTTTAAATGGCCTAGTTTGAAAAGGAGAATTGAGTTGAATCTCAAAGAATGCTTAAAGATTTGAATAGATAGAGAAGGCAATGGACCAGCATTTATGTGATAATCAAAACAATGTTGTGGTGGGGGTGAACTGAATAGAGCGATGTTTTTTTCTTTTCTTTTCTTTTTTTTTTTTTTTTTGAGACATGGTCTTGCTCTATCACCCAGGCTGGAGTGCAGTGACACAGCAAACATGGCTCACTGTAGCCTTGACCTCCTGGGCTCAAGTGATCCTCTTGCCTTAGCCTTTTGAGTAGTTGGGACTACAGGCACATACTACCACATCTGGCTAATTTTTGTATGTTTTGGAGAGACAGGGTTTTTGCCATGTTGCCCAGGCTGGTCTTGAACTCCTGAGCTGAAGCAATCCACCTGCCTTGGCCTTCCAAAGTGTTGGGATTACAGGAGTGAGCCACTGCACCCAACCTGTGATTTTTGGATTGTAGTGGAACAGTCCTGCTATTTTGCAGTGAACACAAGGTAAAGTCGGATTAGATTATGGAGGGCTTTGGAAATCAGGTAAAAGAGTAAATTTAATCTCACAGGCAATAGGAAAACATTGCAGATAAAAAGTTATTTTGAAGGAAGTTTGTTTGTTTTTTTGTTTGTTTTTTTGAGAAAGTCTCGCTCTGTTTAGTGGCTGAACTCACCACAGATTTGGCTATCCTGGGCTCAAGCAGTCCTCAGCATCCTGAGTAGTTCTACAGGCATGCACCAACACACCCAGGTAATTTTTTATTTTTTTGTAGAGACTGTGTTGCCCTGGCTGGTCTCAAATTCCTGGGCTCAGGCCTGCCTGAGATTCTAGGCATGAGCTAGTGCACCTGGCCTGAAAGAAGATTTAATAGAACGTAAAGTAGCTGAATATAGGCAAAAAGACGAATTTCAGGAGTCCTAAAATTTAGGGGGTCCTAATTTTTGTTATTCAACTTCAAACAGAGATATTTATTCAGCCCTTTCCTTAATTGTGAAAGAAAATTATCTCGGGGAATGCTATATTATCCAATTGTAGCCCAGTCCAAAGGTGTGGCAGATTTCACAAGATGACTAACCATGGGCAAATTTTTTGTTTGCTTTTAATGTAACTGATTCTGTCTTGAGATTCCGTTTAAAGAGAAGCTTATTTATTTTACCACTCTAAAGCAGCAATTCTCAGGGAGTTCCTAAAGTGAAAGCTATTTCTAATAATTCTAAGACGTAATTTGTCTTTTTCACTCATTCTCTCATGAGTGTACAACAGAGTTTACCAGAGGCTACATTCTGTGCAATATTGCAATAGTCTGAATGCAAAGCAGATGAGAATCCAGCAGATCTATATGGCTTCTATTAAACCAGTTAAAACACTTGTAAAAATAAAAAAGTGTCACTCTTTATGCTTTTTTTTTGTTGTTAAAAAAGTACATAGTTATTTTTAATTAAAAATGTTACTTATGCTAACATGTGATGTGCTTAGTGTAAAGGGAACATGAGAGCAAAAAGTTTGAGAACCTCTCCTCTAAAGTGATACTCTCCCATATCTGATAAAAGAAAAAAATTCTACTCTGACTTTGCTTATATTTCTTATGTTGATACTGACTGCTCATCGTAGTGATGCTAGATGGTTTATATTCCTCTCAATTGCTTTCTAGCTTATTTACCTCTAATTGCCATGGCTGACTTTCCAAATAAAGAGGAATGATATTTCTTACCTGCGACAAATAGTTTGTTGCGAGAGGAAGCGATCTGGAAGGTCTGAGGTTCCTTTCCTCTTCCCGAAGCTGTGTAGACTGCAGCAGGTGGCAGCCGCTTTAGCAGCCAGAGTTGGCAGCCAGGAGGGCAAAATGCACTGGGAGACAATTCCTTGCTGACTGTCCAGGCAGTCGCCAGGGGAGCAAAGGGCTCAGCAAGCTGGGGAGAGAATGAGGAAGAAGGTGGAGGGAGGAGACTGCTGTCGGCACTCCTTGGGCCCGCCTTCAAACAGGCTCTTTCCTAGGGCAATGGAAGTCGAAATAAAGTGGCAGAGGATACGAGTACTTCTTTTAATGTAATATCACTATTTTCATGAAATCTTTTCTTCCGTAAAAGTTGGGGCTCTGTGCCTTCCAAAACCTGTACCTCTTTCTGAGTATCTCTTTCTGACTTTAAGAAAGCACCTCCTTAGTCCATTAGAAGCATCTTCTTTTGTCATCTGTCTCTCTTCATTTTCAGACTTCCTGGTCACACTTCAGCACAAAACTTTTTCTTATTTTACAATGCGGAATAATCAGTCCTATTGGGGTAATTCCTACAATGTTACAACACTTAAAATATTTCTAAAATGTAACATTTTAAAAAAAGGAACATTTTGCAAATATTTTCTTTTACTTTATAACCTCATTCAGGACTTCCCCTTCCTCCCAAGCTCAATATGGTGTCAAAGGATAGTTGATACAGGCCATTAAGATTTACTTTTCAGTGGAACAGGAGTCCATTTTCATAAAACTTCTTTATCTGCTGTATCAGATGCAAGCCACACGGATACCATCATTAGAATTTTATTTAATAATTTTTACACTTTCTGCAACAGAAAGTAAGCTTGGGGAGAGGGATACCAAAATTCAGGTAAGAGGGCAAATATTTACTTGCAGTTTCCAGTGTTAAAACTTTCTATTCCTGGAATGATAGCAAAGACTGACCTAAAATATTTGAAATACAATTTAAGGATACATATATTTAGGGCTTATGTTCAACATGTTAAAAAATAGTCTTATAAAATGTAACGTTTGAAGAGCAGAGTGTAAATATCACAGTCTTGAAAATAATTAGTGGAAACAAAATTTCTTAGCCATTTTTTTCTTGAACATGTGCTAAACTGTATTACTTTGCTAGGAAGGGAATTAGCAAGGTGGCATTTTGTTTTTGTGTTTTGCCAGTACAGAGTTGATATAAAAACAGAGGGGTTCCTAGAGTCAGGGAACAAAATGCTTACATAAACACTACTTTTTGTTGGTTTGTTTGTTTTAAAAACAAGATAGGGTTTTCATTTCGGGAAGTCATAAAAACATCATGTCCTTCAACAGTGATTACAAAGGAAGTCTGTGGCAGGGTGGCTGGAAGTGCTTGGTGTGGTGACTATCAGAAGAAAAAAAATAGTACCTTTAAGAAGTATATGATAAGAATACATACGTGACTCAAGTTGAAATAGTAAGTTTTCACCTTCCAACTGTAGAGTCCAATTGGGCCAATTAACATGAAAGCACGAAGTGGGATCAAGTAGTGATCAGAAGCAGCACACTAAGCAAGCTCTAATTTTAAATATTCCATTGCCAGTGAATTTTCTCCAGCTGTAAAGATGCAGAATGTGTAATTTACACATTTTGAAGTTTTGGGACAAACACTTTTTTCTTTGATATAGAGCAACAAATGTCTCAGTGTCCTTTGTACTTCATAGAGTTGTTTTCAAAGATTAAATGAGATAATGATGACAGCCCTTTGAATATTTTAAAGCTCTAGATAACAATATCATCTCACTTATTCCTACCCATTTAGCTTATGCAATGGAAGTTAATATTTAAAAAATAAAAGAAAATAAAATGTCCATGGTGTTCTCTTAATCTGATGAAAGCATTTATGCATTAGGTGGAATCATTTTTCTTGGAAATATTTTAAGAATCAGATGGACAACCACCTGTTTAAATATCATACAGTGTGAAGGCTGTGAGATGAATTCCATGAGTATTTCCCAGACCCTTGGGTTTAATGAACCATTAAAAATAATAACAGCAACCATGATAATAAGGAGGAGGAGATAAACACAGTGGACAACTCTACATTTTACCAAGGAAGGACACTAAAAATGTAAGAATTTTTAATCTTTTTATTTCATAAAACTTATCTCACCTGTGCCCCCCAAATTAGGAAGGACATGGTATCAGAATAAAGCACAGTCACTTTAAAGTGAATATATTTGACTTGATGAAAACTTTATACTGCTGAAGAGTCTGAAACAATAAAGATAAAAATTAAGGCAAACTAAAACTTCATTCCTTTTCCCTTCATTTTACCACAGAGGGTAAAAATTCAACACAGATTGCTATTGTTCTGGGACAGTGTTTGAGACTCCTTACTTCGCCATAGTTATCTAGGCTAGTATTATGTGGCCTATATTTCACAATATTAGCAACTCAGATTAAACACATTGAGCGCTTATTTTCTAGGAACTTATTTAAAACAACCGGCTTCTTCACAAACAGCAAATAAATATACACACACAGAATACTTCCAAGACTTAATGATAACTAACATTTAATCAAGCAAAAGGAAAAAAAAAACCTTAGTAATGTATGTAAATGTTAAATATAGTTCTCTAAGATGTAAGATTTTGTACCTGGAGCTTATGGATGTGTGTTATTGACCTTTGTGTTATGAGGTAATTTGCTTTTTTTTTTCTTCCACATCCACTAACTGGGCGTAAGCTTGGAATGTATATCTTTGAAATTGCAGGTCAAAGCCTCCGCATTAAAGCACCCGATGAGGCAAAGCTACAATTATGTGAGCCATGTGTGTTATGCAACACTTTTTGATAGCTGTTGCCAATTAGACTTAACTTATTGACACACCCGGGGAAGAATTTTCTAAGAAGGCGTGATTCTGAACGTTTGGTTGCACCAAAGAGGAAGAGGGGGCAGTAACTGAGGCTCTGGATCTAAAAGCCTTGCTTGTGGGCCAGGGGAACACGTGATTAAAGCCTTCCTGCAAACAGAGCATCTGCAAACGCAGTTTTAAACCCTTCCTGCAAACAAACCAAGTAAATTTTACTCGAAAAGAGGCCGTGGATGTGCTATTTTGTGTTCCTTTGCTGAGATTCTAAGCTGCTGGGACACACACCGGCCTTGCTTTGGCAAGTCTTCCTTGTTCTTTCTTGACCAGTTTCAGATTTTTTCCTGGTTCAAACACACACAGGGTGGCAGGGAGAGATTTTTGTTTCACGAGTATTCCAAGTGGAGGGGAAAGAGCGGGAGAAAACCGGGAAAAAGCTGCCTTTCCGTGGGGCCTGGCTCTGGGAGGCTACGGTGGGGAAGTTGGGGGGGGTGGTGGTGGGAGAGCTGTCACGTGACTCGTGCAGGGGCTGCTGGGAGTGCGGCGCGCTTCCCACCTCCACCCCCGAAGTCCGAGCACCCCGCGCCCGGGGTCTTCACTCCCTCGCGTTCGCTGACGAGGAAGGTCCCCATACCGCGAAGTACATTGGCCTTGGGGTGGGGCTGGAGGGATGGGCGCCTGTGAGAATGTGACGGACTGTGACACAAGGAAGGGTGCGAGGATGGAAACTTCCTCTGAGGGGCTCTAGTGGGGCGGAAACAACAGTAGGGAGGAAGTGCGGAGGGGCGGCGGGAAGTGAGGGAAAATGGAGGTGAAATGGCCTGAGGGGCTAGGATCGCGTTGAGAAGAGGGAGAAGACTAGAAGGAGACAGCTGCATGGGGCAGAGGGGACAGTGCTTAGTAACAGCCAGGTCACTAAGCCTAAGATGGCAGAGCCAGGGCAGTGGTCAGTGTTTGGCACACGACGAAGACCAGCCCGTCCACCAGGCCTGGATCTGCTGAGGCCTTGAGCCATGACAGGAAAACGAACTTATTTTTGCAGAAACAGTTACTTGATTATAAGTTTTCGTTTGACATAGGTGCACAGTGTTACTTGGGGAGAGAAGAGAAGGGGGTGAAGGGGAAAGGGAAAATTAGAAGGGGAAGGGAAGAGAGAAAAATCTGCCTGTTGGCTTCTCTGAAGTATTTTCCAACTCCCAAGGCAAAGTTAGCACTGCTGTGCATGTGTAGTATTTTCTAGATACTATTAATACTATTACAGCACGTAAACTTACATACTATAAAGGTACTGGCAGGAATGGAGACGTACGATACAGAATTTACTTAACAAGCATCATTCAAATTTGTTGTTGCTCTTTCTGTCTTCTATATATGCATATTTTATAGGACTAATCAAACAGATGTGTTAAAGTTACCCAAATCAGCATCGTTTCTCAAAAACAACAAAGTCAATTGATAACTTGAATATGGACAGGGCTCCCCTCATCTCAAAGACACAGAGACTATACCCTTCCAGGTTTCAACATTTGGACTCCTAGGGAAAATCCCTTCCGAATTTATGGAAAAGTAAAAGTAAAATTTGAAGCTACTTTAAAGTAAGGTTGGACAGTGGGAATAACCTCAGACTCGAGTGAGATCTCGGTTCTAATTTAGCTCAGTCTTACTGGTGTCACTTGATCCACCGTCACTGTCCCTGTTTTCTCACTTGTAAAAAATGAGATTGAATTAGATGAACTGTAAGACCTGTTTAAACATTAAGATTTTGTGAAGATAGAAGAATCCTTTTTTTTTTTTTGAGGTGGAGTCTCGCTCTGTTGCCCAGGCTGGAGTGCAATGGCACAATCTCGGCTCACTGCAACCTCCCTCTCCTGGGTTCAAGCGATTCTCTCACCTCAGCTTCCCAAGTAGCTGGGATTACAGGCGCCTGCCACCACGCCTGGCTAATGTTTGGATTTTTAGTAGACACAGGGTTTCACCATGCTGGCCAGGCTGGTCTCGAACTCCCGACCTCAGGTGATCTTCCTGCCTCAGCTTCCCAAAGTGCTGGGATTACAGCCGTGAGCCAGCGCGCCCGGCCGAAGATAAAAGAATCTTAACTGAGCCAGTCCTGAAACAAGGCAGAATTGCCAGAGAGACTCATTTGGCTAAGTACATAGAGAGGAGTAGTTGAAAATGATGGGACTAGTAGGCTTGCACCAGATAATACAGGACCTTGAAGGCCATATCATGGAATTTCAACTTATTCTGGAACAATGAAAGTTTTTGAGTTAAAGGAATGCAGTAATCAAAGTTTTGAAAGATTACCCAAATAGCAGTTGATAGAATGATTTAGAGGAGGGAGAAATTGAGTTTAGGAAAGTGACAGATAATGACAGTCTAAATTAACATCAGCAGTAGGAGTGGGAAACAGGGAAGGATTCCAGAGAGCTTGTAGCATGGAGTTTGTACCTAAATCTGGCATTGTTCTAAGCTTTGTAGCTGGTGCCTTCGGAATATGATGGCAAATCACCTTGTAAAGCCTGATAATAGAAATTGCAAGAGGCCAAGAGAATTGGAGGTAAGCTGTATGCCTATGGAGCCTTAATCTTTTATTCTGTTTTACATACTACTCAAATTTCTTCCCTTTAAGAAAGCTCTATAGATAAGTGGGATTTAATGTATTCGTATGCCCAGAGCTAGGATTGTCCTACAACATAGGAGGAACTATGTTGATTCCAGCTGCTTTTTCACTAAGTATAGGCCTCCAAGAAACTATTGGGAGATTTCTTTTTGGTAGCTTGAGATCTAGAGACAGAAGTGAGTCTGTGCCTTTATGATCCATAGGATTTTATGTAATTATTTTGCTGTGATAAGTAAGATAACTAGGTACTATAGTTACTGATCTTTTTAAAGAGCACAGTATCCTGTCTTTTACTACTGCCCCCACCAGTTGATCTTTTGCATTTGGGACATGATTTGCTCCCTTGAAGATTATATTATTTAGCAAAATTTCACAAGCATTTGGCTACTGTCTAAATTACAGTTTAGCTTCATTGCTATGAAAACATCTACTGGTTCAAGATACCAGACGCTTTTTCAACAGGAGTTTAAAACCACATTTAAAGTCTAATTTAAGGCTGGGCGCATTGGCTCATGTCTGTAATCCTAGTGCTTTGGGAGGCTGAGGCAGGAGTATCGTTTGAGGCTAAGAGTTTCAGATCAGCCTGGGCAACACTGCAATACATTGTCTCTGAAAACAAAACAAAACAAAACAAAATTAGCTGGGCATGGTGGAATGTTCCTGTAGTCCTAGCTACTCAGGAGTCTGAGACAGGAGGATCACTTGAATCTAGGAGGCTACAGTGAGCTAAGATTGTGTCACTACACTTTGGCCTAGGTGACAGAGCGAGAACTTGTCACAAAAACAAACAAATGAAAAGCAAAGTCTAGTTGAAAACCAAAATAAAATTTAATATATTGAGCAAGGTGTTTCTTGGGCCTGTAAATTTCCTTAATAATAAAAACTCAAATGACTAAGTCATATGCTTTCTAGCATGTTTGCCTTTTTCTGAAAAATGTTTTATTTGCTTTTTCTTAATAAACAAAATGTATATGTCCTGAAGATCTTATTGACTGTACCTGTTTTCTTTATTTTGTCCTGTTAGTCTCCAGTGCCAGATAGTCCACAGCTGTCCTCTCTTGGAAAATCAGATTCATCTTTCTCTGAAATTTCCGGACTATTTTATAAAGATGAAGCCTTGGAGAAAGATTTAAATGGTGATGTATAAAATGTTTATATTTCTAAACATCAGTCTTATAATGCAGAAGGTTTGTTATATTTTATAACTTAAATGATTTTTCTTGAACAGATGTGAGCAAGGAAATTAATCTAATGTTGTCTACCTATGCAAAGCTTTTAAGGCAAGTACTTATAGTATATTCTCTGGGGTCTTTATGTTAGTTTTCTTCTGGAAACTCTGTATTGGGAAGTTTAATTCTGTGGCTGCCAAACCTCTCCAGTAATTAAAACTTTGGAATTTTTTATTCTACCTCAGTCCCTTATAATAGATTAGTTGGTTATTTTCAGGGAATAGCGTCAACTTTTCCACTAAAAATCCTTTCTTTTTTACTCTTGCCAAGCTAATACTAGACTGTATATATCTTGGTCTGTAATTAGATGACATTACATTTTAAATTTTATGTAAATACCTCTTTGAGAAAAATGTTTGATGAAATTAATGATAACAGACTGATATTAAAGATAAATATTTATGTCATAGAGAGTCAGCCTTTCATATCCATGAATTCTGAATCTGTGGATTCAATCAACCACACATTGAAAATATTTGGAAAAAAAGGGTGGTTGTGTCTGTACTGAACATGTACAGACATTTTTTTCTTGTCATTATTTTTCAAACAATACAGTATAACAACTGTTTACATAGCATTTACATGGTATTGGTCTTATAAGTAATCAAGAGATAATTTAAATTATATGGCAGAATGTTCTTAGGTTATATGCAAATACTATGGCATTTTATATAAGGGACTTGAATATCTATGAGGGATGTTCCTTTGGTATCTGTGGGGGATTCTGGAACCAATACCCCATGGATACTGAGGGATGACTGTATTTATATTTTACCTATATCTATTTTAAGACCAAATTTAAATACTTTATTAGCCTAATATGTTTTATGAAGTGTTTTTTTTACACTGCCGGACAGTCATTATACTTGGATAGTGGTTTGTGTGGCTGTAAAAATAATGTATGTAATTGAATATTAGTGTTATAATGTATAAGATACACTTCCTGTTGTGTCAGGAGACCTTTTTGAGTAGTCAAAAATATTTGTGGGACTAATTTTTTTTTCTGAAGAGTATTAGTAAATTAATGAAGTTCTGTGGCACATAAAGCCATTTAAATGAAATAGTTAACAAATATTGTGTAATGAAGAACAACATAATGATGTTGTTTATATCTACTTAGTTTAATATACAACTTTTTTTCCTATTAGTGAGAGAGCAGCAGTAGATGCATCTTACATTGATGAGATAGATGAACTCTTCAAAGAAGCCAATGCTATTGAAAACTTTCTAATACAAAAAAGAGAGTTCCTGCGACAGAGGTTTACAGTGATTGCAAACACATTACACAGATAAAATATATACTTGAAATAAGCTGAGAATTTAAACCTATTATTGTTATAATGAAAGAATGACATTTATGCTTTGAAAGCTCTCGAGTTGTTAAAGAAAATGTATATCTCGAATAGAGAAGGGGAAACTCCTTGAATTTCTAGGTTTAAAAAGGAACTTTTAAATTCCTTAATGTTAATATTAATGTTCATGTTAATGTCCTAAGCTGGCCATTAACATGAACTACGTCACTTTTCTTTTGAGGGTCAAATATTTAGTGCATTTTATAGAAGTGTAAATTATTTAAATCTTATGTGGATTCTTTTATTTTTTCCTTAAACTTCTTAGTGTTTCTGAAACTTCTAAAAAAGGATTCAGTTAATTTATAATGTTTAATAATATTATACTTTTAGAATATTTTGTTTAAATATCAGATAGTTTTGGAGATAATTTTGAAATTTTTTTTATGGTCAGGATTATAAAAGAAGATTAAAACCTTAGAGGTGATTTTTCCAGTTTCTTAGAATATAATGACATAACTGTGTGCTATTTCCATTTGATTATTTTCACTATTAGTTATTATGTATGACTAATAAAAGCTCTCGGCTTAAAATTATTTTCTTGTGGTAAAAGTAGTAAAATAAAAACCAGAAATTACTCACCAGAACCTTGTATGAGTTGGCTTTTTTACACATCAACCACATCAACATGTGCAGTTAATGAATTATATTTAGAAACATTAGCAGCAGTGTGGTATGGGATAAAGATTAGTGATCCAGAAGTAAATAGATTGGCTTAAACAACAAGATGACTTTGGGAGGTCACTTCAATCGTATTATAATTGAGAAATTGAATTTGGACTGGAGGATCTATACTACTCATCTAGCTAAAAAAATTATCCCTTTAATGTGAAGTACTGCTATGATTTTACTGAAAACTTTCTATGTTATATATTACTATATGGGATAGCTATATTAACCAGATTTTTAAACAAAATAGCACCCATTTTTCAATCATATAGGCAGTTCAGTTTATTACATGTATATTTTTCCAATATAAGCAGTCAGAAAATTGCAAATAGTACTACAGGGAATTGTTATTCCTAAGGGAGACTGCACATTTGCCTTGCTGCCTTCTAAACTCTAAAATAAAATCTCATTTTATCACATTACTATTTTAAGGCATAAACACCACATGATGTAAATACTCATATAAGAAAAGATGACAAAAGTGAAATAAAATAATACTTGCTAAAGAAAATTGGTTAAGTGGAAAAAATTATTGGGTTGATAGAGGTGGTGGCACAGAATAGGTTGGAGGTCAACAAAGTAATTATTAGAAATGAATTTTTTTCTTTTTTGCCACTTGCAGTGGCTCCCATTTCTAATCCTAGCTACTTGAGAGACTGAAGTGGGAGGATGGCTTGAGCCCAGGAATCCGAAGCTGCCGTGAGCTATGATTGCATCACTGCACTCTAGCCTGGGTGACAGAGTGACACTCTCTCTAAAAAAAGAAGGAAAGGAAATTTTTTCAATTTTTTCTTTCTTTCCTTTGCTTTTTTTTTTTGAGACAGAATCTTGCTCTGTTACCTAGGCTGAAGTGCAGTGGTGCGATCTTGGCTCACTACAACCTTTGCCTCTTGGGTTCAAGTGATTCTCCTGCCTCGGCCTCCTGAGTAGCTGGGATTACAGGCGCCTGCCACCACACCCGGCTAATTTTTGTATTTTTAGTAGAGACGGGGTTTTGCCATGTTGGCCAGGCTGGTCTCGAACTCCTGACCTCAGGTGACCCACCCACCTCAGCCTCCCAAAATGCTGAGATTACAGGCATGAGCCACTCGCCCGGCCAAAAGGAAATTTTTTAAAACTAAATACAACAAGAAGATTTGTGAGTTAATACGACATGTCATCTGGATTTCGACCTACCATCATTAAGAAATGTTCTTTTTCTAAGCATTTATTACTAATATGAAAAATAAGGCCAACAGATTGTTTGAGACTAGATTTCATAATATACTTGTTATATCCTGATGGTATCACCATTGTTTAACATCTAGTTCTTCCCTTTGCAGGTTCAGTAAATTGATTTGATCATTTCATTTGATATGATTAAGACTGGAGAACTGATTTTAAGTCACAATGTGTTTACTGTTCAGCACTGTTCAGAATTGTTATACCTTGTAGTATAAAGGTGCCTGAAAGCCTAATCATGAAGGCTTATTTATTTATTTTTTTATTGATCATTCTTGGGTGTCGAAGGCTTATTTTTTAAATCAAATTTGGATGGCTTTGGTACCATCCACGTAGACAAGAGTAATTATCTTGGCCAGGCATGGTGGCTCACACCTGTAATCCCAGCAGTTTGAAAGGCTGAGGCAGGCAGATCACTTGAGGTCAAGAGTTCGAGACCAGCCTGGCCAACGTGGCAAAACCCTGTCTCTAATAAAAATTAAAAAAAGTAGCTGGGTATGGTGGCGTACACCTGTAGTCCCAGCTACTCAGGAGGCTGAGATAGGAGAATCACTTGAACCCGGGACACAGAGGTTGCAGTGAACCGAGATTGTGCCACTCTACTCCAGCCTGGGTGACAGAGTGAGACTCTGTCTCAGAAAATAATAATAATTATTATTATCTCACAACTGGAGAAATGCTATTGCAGGAATACTATTGCCCTTTAATTTACACTTCTAATGTTACTCTTTACTATTTCAATAAAATATCACAAATTTATAAGTTATTTTTCATTGATTACTAATCAAAATATATACCGAACTATCTTCGTACTCTGCTATATGTATTAAGACACTCCCTTCTGACAATTTTAACCACTTCTTTCTTGAAATACAATTTTGCTAGGAAAACATGATATGTTAATGTTAAAAGCAACTCTGTGGCAGTGCTGTGGGAGTTACTAGAAGACCTTTTGGTAAGGGAGTCAGAGAGGTAGATTTTAAATTGGATTTTTGAAAAGGAAAGGGGATATTTCAGGCAGGGGAAAAGTTTCTTCAGTGGCACAGAAGAACAAACGTATCATGGTATGTTAGTCACTTTGCTGGGATGATAATTCATGAAGGGGAATAGTGTATGGTCTAAACTGGAGAGCAGGGACAATCTTGTTTCTTGGTATTCTTACTTTGTAGCACAGTATTTGCTACATTGGTGCTAAAAATGTTAATAAAGTCATATACATTTTAAGGGCATACTTTCACTCATGCTAGATTGTCAGAAAATGTTCTGTAAAATTAATGAATAGAAAAGAAAAGGAAGGATGAAGTGATTTAAAGGCAGAGAAAAAGGATGAAAGGTAAATTGTTGCCAGATTGTAGCGTCCTCTAGTGGCAGTCTAAATTCGGACTTTATTCTGTGTCGGAATCTTCCAGAAGAGGAGTGGCATAAAAAAATTGATGCTGTGCATCAGGATAAACGGACTTAACTGTAGTGTGAGAACAGGTTTGAAAAAGAAAAGTTTAGGGCGGGGGAGACCACTATTGGTGGTCTAATTTTAATATTTCAAACAGCTGCGTATTATAGCTAGGGTGTTTGGACGGTTGTCATGGAAATAAGCCCCGCCCCTTAAGCTGCGTCCTCTCTTTGACCTGTCAGTGAGGGAGGGACAGTCCAGGCAGTTCTGTGCGTGTTCACTGTTTAGTAGTACTCAAAACTGCCAGTGTGAGAGGATTTGGAAATCACTGGATCTGCTCAATACAAAAATGTTTTTTCGAGTCTTTCTCCATTTTATCAGGAGTCATTCTGCCACTGCAGTGGATTTCCTTCCTGTGATGGTGCACCGGCTCCCAGGTAGAGGGTTTGCCCCTTTCTCTTCCTCATCCTCCTCTTCTTGCCAGTCTGCGCTTAGAATTCTGTGCCTCTTTCCTGAAGGTTGCTGGGAGCTTCTGAAGCTTTGTGTCCTGTGTGGCTCAGATGAGATAGCAATTCCGCAGAGTCCTGGAAGTTAAAGAAGGCTGAGTTAGGATTGTTTCCTCATGGTCAGGGAAACAGCCTTCACATTTGTATATTTTATGCAATATTTAAGGCAGGATTCAGGGACTTGGTATTCTTTGGGATTTGCAATAAGAAGAATATTCAATATTTAGGCTTTTCTAAATTGAAAAATCACTGCCACACGTTCTAATGTAATTGTTTGGTTTCTCTATTTGCATTTTGCGGGGACTGCCTTAAAACTCATTTATGTTTTATAGCCTTCTATTATAGTTACCATTGTTACATGATTTTATGTATAGAAATTGGCTGATCTAGAGCTTTCAGAAATCATACTAATATGCACTATAAATTTTAAAATTACTTAATGTAGTAATTTAATGTTTGCAGTATGCAAGGGAATGTATTACGTACTGGAAGGAGAGAGGAGACAAACACCAGACCCTGTACTCAAGGAGTACTGGTAGTATCATTTATCATACAAGACAGATAAGATAAGGTCCATATGAGAGCTATAAACAGATGCTGTGAGTTCAGACTAAGGAGAATCAGTTCTTGCTGTAGGTAAGGGGAATGCTGTGTTTATAAAGCAAATGACATGGCAACTGGATCTTGAAGGATGAGTTAGGTGAGTAAATTTCATCTGAAGGAGTTGGGAAATATCCTAGATGAAGAAAATTGATTGGCGGGGGGGGGGGAATTAAACATTCTATTTTGACATGTTGAAAGTCACCTGCAAGAAGTAATTGATGAAATTAAGAGACTAGATGAGATTGCCAAGGGAGAGTGCTGAGATTAAAGATCCAAGGTAGGACCTTAGGAACATTCATGAAGTGGTAAGGGGGATAAGGAGCCCATAAAGGGAATTAACATTTGGAAAGCATCCACTATCTTTATATTTGATTATGACAACAGACATAAACAGGAAGTATTAACCTCCTTTTATTTCCATTTTATCATGGAAAAACCTGAGGCTCAGAGACATTAAGTAACTTGCCCAAGGTTGTCAGCTAATAAGTAATAAAACTAGCAGAATGCAGAGAGTAGTTATAGGGCAGCAGGAAAGTTAGAATAGGACAATGTCTCAGAAGCTACGAATAGAAAGGAGTTTAAGAAAGTGTTAATGTCAAATTCTATGGAAACTTTGAAGAGCATGTAGCAGATTACCAGTAGCATGCAATAGAGTATACAACATATAGACATGTAAATATTTTCTACAATGTAAAATGCTTTAAATTTGTGTATCTCTACTTAGACAAATGCCCAATCAGGCCATTCAATTTACTTAAAAAAGTAAGATGAGTAAAATTACATACCTGACCTTAGGGAATTTATTTTAATCTGAGAATAAGATAAATGGTGCATAATGTTAATAAAAGTAGAGTAACATAAATACCTGAGAGTTTCCTTCTCTATCTTTTCAAAGCATCCTCTTTGTACTTCTGATACTGTAGTTCCCAGATTTTAGTATGCTTAAGAATACCTGCTTGTCCTTCCCCAGAGATTCTGATTTATTAGGACCAGAATGGAGTCCAGGAAACTGCATTTTAGCAGTAACACCAGGTATTTCTGTTGCAAGTAGTCCTCATACCAGACTCTGAGAAACAATGCTGAAATAAAACACAGTGTCAGTGATCTGTTTACTAGGCAGTCAGTTCTTTTATTTCAGGATTCTAATGCTTTTTATTCTCAGCAGTACCAAGTACTTCGTCAACTGAATAAAATAAAGGAGATATTACACCTTATTGGACTGATCATTAAAAGCTATGTAAATATAATAATAGCATTTTTTGAGTATTCTGTTCTAAAAGCTTTACATAAACTAACTCATTTATTACTTATAGCCTTAGAAGTAATATGAATTATCATCATCACCATCTTAGAAAAGAGGAAACAGACCACAGAGAGGTGATAAGTGCCTTTCTCAAGCCTTCTTATTTAGGAGAGGGCATATTTGAAACCAACCAGTCTGGAGCCAGGTAGAGCCCCAGCTCACACCCTTAAATATTACACTGTGCTGCCTCTTAAGGGAAGTACTGTAACACTGGAGATAGACCTTGACCAATTAATGGAATTTGCTTTTTTTTTTTTTTTTGAGACGAAGTTTCGCTCTTGTTGCCCAGGCTGGAGTGCAGTGCTGCGATCTCGGCTCACTGCAACCTTTGTCTCCTGGGTTCAATGCGATTCTCCTGCCTCAGCTCCTGAGTAGCTGGGATTACAGGGGTCGGCCAACACACCCGGCTATTTTTTTTTTTTGTATTTTTAGTAAAGATGGGCTTTCATTATGTTGGCCAGACAGGTCTCGAACTCCTGACCTCAGGTGATCCACCTGCCTTGGCCTCCCAAAGTGCTGGGATTACAGACTTGAACCACCGTGCCCCGCTGGAATTTTCTTAGAACTAGAGAAAAGGACATTGGGAAAGACATTCAGGGTGAAAGAGAATTTTATTTGAAAAATCAGTAAAGAATTAGGTTTGACTCATTTGTTACATGTCATATAGGGGAGTAGAATGTCTCGTGTGCTTCAAGCTGAATTTTTGAAAGATTTGAAAGAAATGGGATAGTAACAACTTGCTAAAAGAATGCAAATCTCACTTCTTCAGAGTAATAGTGTCCCTATATGTTAGCTCATTTTTCTAGCCTAGATTTCTGAATCACTCTTAAACTTTTATGAGATAAAGAATTCTATTTTATAGCACTTAATTATTTATTTGACCACCCCTCTATGTTAGGCAGTACTGCCTTGTGAACACTCAGTAATGTTAAAATAATAGGGAGAAGTTTCAGTTCCTTATTATACAACTATGATTTTTACTTCTTGTGCCTTTTGCACTTTAGGTAATTTCAGACTGGATATCACTGCATAATTTAATTTTTGACACCCTTCTACTGGAAAATGCCTTGTATTTTCATGTATATGCCATTAAAATAAAAGGAATTAAATTTAAGATCTTATTAAATTCACAGGAATCGCTATGAAGTCTTTGGAATCACATTCTGGTATATCTAAATTACTGGGGTCAATATAATTGGATAATATTGAATGGTGGTCATTTTTATAACAACGAGGTTGCTCTTAGCACATCTGGGGTTGGCATGTAGATTTATTCTTGTAAAAAGACAGGTATTGTTCAACTATGAGAAATGATAAAAATAGTAATTGAAGTCCTAAGTTAGTTCTTAGGCAGATTAGTAGTCCTAAGTTAGTTCTTAGGCAGATTAGTACTACAAAAAATAGAAGAATTGTTGTGGGTTGAAAATGGAGAACCAAAGCGTTGATAGTCTGGGAATGAGGAAGGAGAGAGAAGAAATTTGGAGCCTGTATTTGGTGTTAGGTTTATGTTTCCCTCAAGCTGCCAGTTGATAAGATTATTGTCTGTGGGAAACAGGCAAGTTTATAGAAGATTTGGTAAAATATTTTTTGTGCTTTTGGTTTCCTCTGCACAGTTTTCAAAAGGTACATGGGAAATACTCCTCAGAAAAAAGCCGTCTTTGGGCAGTGTCGGGGTCTGCCATGTGTTGCACCGCTGCTGACCACAGTGGAAGAGGCTCCACGGGGCATCTCTGCTCGAGTCTGGGGACATTTTCCTAAGTGGCTCAATGGCTCTCTACTTCGAATTGGACCTGGGAAATTCGAGTTTGGGAAGGATAAGTAAGCCTTGATTTTGGAGAACAACTTGGATTTCTTGGCATGGGCTGGTTCTGTGGAATATGCATTAATATCTGCTTCCTCTGTGAGGTTAATATTTCCATTCCATCCCTTTGATTACAGATAAAGAAACTGTAGCCTAGAGGAGAAGAAAGGAGACTTTTTAAACAAAATGTCCTGCTTTTTCTGCTCTGTAGACTATTGTAAATTTGAAGCCCTCTGTGGTTTGTACCAAAAGAAGAGAGGTGTCAGAAGCTGTCAGTGTGGTGACTGAGCTGTTTCCCCACAAGTTCCTGAAGGAAGGGCAATGTCTCCTCATACCACTCTCTCCCTCACCCAGCACTTGCCAGACACATGGTCTTTTTCAGTTCCTCAAACTGGGCACAGTTGTATCTTCTCAGCATCTTAGCATTAGTTCTCTCACCTATGTTCCCTAATCTTCCCAAGACTGGTCTTTTCATTCAGATGTCAACTCAAATCTCATGTCCTTTGAGCCTTTCCTGATCTCCCAACATAAAAATGCCAGCACAGTCATCCCTCAGCATTCACAGGGCATTGGTTAGAGGACCCCCTAAACACCAGAATCCAAGTATGCTGAAGTCCCTTATATAAAATGCTTTTATTTGCTTTTAACCTACATATATCCTCCCATTATCTTTTAAATCATCTCTAAATTACTCTATAATACTTAATACAATGCTTACACATACTTCATTCCCATGGATTTGTCTTAGTACTCAGCAAATTCAAGTTTTGCTTTGCAGAACTTTGTGGCATTTTTTTCCCACAATATTTTTGACTCAAGAGATTGGTTGAATCCACAGATGTGGAATATATGGATATGGAGGGCTGACTGTATTAATTATAATTACCTATTTTAATTCTCTACACAGTGTTATCAGTGTCTGGTATTTTTTATTTGTTATTTGAGTGTTAAGCTCTGTTCCCCCACTAGAATGTAATTTGATGAGGGTAGAGACTTTTTCTAGTTCATCCTGTATCCCCACTACCTGTAACAGTGGTCTGCACCTGAATAGCATTCAATAAATCGATGCCAATAAATGAAAAACCCAGGCAGGCTGAGGAGCCTAGAAGCAGGGTGGGAAGGAGGACTGGCTGAGCCCTGGGTGTGGGACAGAGTGCATGTGTGTGGTGTGTCCCCAAGGGCAGAAAGGTGGCGAAGGGAGGCGAATCCAAGTGGGTGGAGGGGGGGAAGGGCGGGAGGAGAAAAAGGTGGGAGGAGGACCAGGTGGGAGGGTGGTGGCCCACTCAGGACCCAGTGGGGGCAGCGTGATGAGGCGGATGACCCTGTTCCTGAACGGCAGCCCCAAGAACGGAAAGGTAGTTGTTGTATATGGAACTTTATCTGATTTGCTTTCTGTGGCCAGCAGTAAACTCGGCATAAAAGCCACCAGTGTGTATAATGGGAAAGGTGGACTGATTGATGATATTGCTTTGAACAGGGATGATGATGTTTTGTTTGTTTGTGAAGGAGAGCCATTTATTGATCCTCAGACAGATTCTAAGCCTCCTGAAGGATTGTTAGGATTCCACACAGAGTGGCTGACATTAAATGTTGGAGGGCGGTACTTTACAACTACACGGAGCACTTTAGTGAATAAAGAACCTGACAGTATGCTGGCCCACATGTTTAAGGACAAAGGTGTCTGGGGAAGTAAGCAAGATGATAGAGGAGCTTTCTTTTTTTTTTTTTTTTTTTGAGACGGAGTCTCGCTCTGTCGCCCAGGCTGGAGTGCAGTGGCGGGATCTCGGCTCACTGCAAGCTCCGCCTCCCGGGTTCACGCCATTCTCCTGCCTCAGCCTCCCAAGTAGCTGGGACTACAGGCGCCCGCCACTACGCCCGGCTAATTTTTTGTATTTTTAGTAGAGACGGGGTTTCACCGTTTTAGCTGGGATGGTCTCGATCTCCTGACCTCGTGATCCGCCCGCCTCGGCCTCCCAAAGTGCTGGGATTACAGGCGTGAGCCACCGCGCCCGGCCGAGCTTTCTTAATTGACCGAAGTCCTGAGTACTTTGAACCCATTTTGAACTACTTGCATCGTGGACAGCTCATTGTAAATGATAGCATTAATTTATTAGGTGTGTTAGAAGAAGCAAGATTTTTTGGTATTGACTCATTGAACACCTAAAAGTGGCAATAAAGAATTCTCAACCACTGGAGGATCATTCACCAATATCCCAAAAGGAATTTGTCCGATTTTTACTAGCAACTCCAACCAAGTCAGAACTGTGATGCCAGGGTTTGAACTTCAGTGGTGCCGATCTTTCTTGTTTGGACCTTCGATACATTCACTTCAAAATGGCCAGTTTAAGCTGCTGTAATCTTGCACATGCAAATCTTTGCTGTTCAAATCTTGAACGAGCTCATCTCTCTGGATCAGTGCTTGACTGTGCAAATATCCAGGGAGTCAAGATGCTCTGTTAATGGGAGAAAATTTTTGCAATCTACCCATCTGACAAAGGGCTAATATCCAGAATCTACAAAGAACTTAAACAAATTTACAAGAAAAAAATCAAACAACCCCATCAAAAAGTGGGCAAAGGATACGAACAGATACTTCTCAAAAGAAGACATTTATGTAGCCAGACACATGAAAAAATGCTCATCATCACTGGCCATCAGAGAAATGCAAATCAAAACCACAATGAGATACCATCTCACACCAGTTAGAATGGCGATCATTAAAAAGTCAGGAAACAACAGGTGCTGGAGAGGATGTGGAGAAATAGGAACACTTTTACACTGTTGGTGGGACTGTAAACTAGTTCAACCATTGTGGAAGACAGTGTGGCGATTCCTCAAGGATCTAGAACTAGAAATACCATTTGACCCAGCCATCCCATTACTGGGCATATACCCAAAGGACTATAAATCATGCTGCTATAAAGACACATGCACACCTATGTTTATTGTGGCACTATTCACAATAGCAAAGTCTTGGAACCAACCCAAATGTCCATCAATGATAGACTGGACTAAGAAAATGTGGCACATATACACCATGGAATACTATGCAGCCATAAAAAAGGATGAGTTCATGTCCTTTGCAGGGACATGGATGAAGCTGGAAACTATCATTCTCAGCAAACTATTGCAAGGACAGAAAACCAAATACCGCATGTTCTCACTCATAGGTGGGAATTGAACAATGAGAACACTTGGACACAGGATGGGGAACATCACACACTGGGGGGCCTGTCATGGGGTGGGGGGAGCACGGAGGGATAGAATTAGGAGATATACCTAATGTAAATGATGAGTTAATGGGTGCAGCACACCAACATGGCACATGTGTACATATGTAACAAACCGGCACGTGGTGCACATGTACCCTAGAACTTATATATATATAAAAAGATGCTCTGTTCTAATGTGGAAGGAGCATCCCTGAAACTGTGTAATTTTGAGGATCCTTCTGGTCTTAAAGCCAATTTAGAAGGTGTTAATCTGAAAGGTGTAGATATGGAAGGAAGTCAGATGACAGGAATTAACCTGAGGGTGGCTACATTAAAAAATGCAAAGTTGAAGAACTGTAACCTCAGAGGAGCGACTCTGGCAGGAACTGATTTAGATAACTGTGATCTGTGTGGGTGTGATCTTCAAGAAGCCAACCTGAGAGGGTCCAACATGAAGGGAGCTATATTTGAAGAGATGCTAACACCACTATACATGTCACAAAGTGTCAGATGAGAAATTTTAGGGACTGGAGGAAGATCTACAAGATGAAAATATTTTCCTTATCACTTTTCTTTCTCCATCCACTCAGTTGTCTAGAAGAAATAACACTATAAGGAAATTTTAAAAAAACATTTAGAGGATTATGCTTGTTCTCAGCGGTGCATAATGGAAAAAACTGACTTTTTTCCATCTTCTGATTTTTAACAGAAAAGCACTCATTTAATAGATGTAGGGAAACTAGATATTGCTGCTTTTTGAACGGGGTAGGAGGGTTTACCTAGTTTTATGACCAGGAATAGTATCTATTATATTTGCTTTTAAATAGGCATGATGTGGAAATACCATCTTGGTTTGAGATGCATTTGAGGATTTTAATTTATGGAAAGCACAACATATGCAATTATATTTATTGAATACCTAGATGCAGTATGGATATTTAAATTGTTAAAACTTTATGAAAACTTGGTAAAGGTTGTTTAGGTTTATAAATTGCTTTAGTGATTCCTCCCCTCTTTAAATACCTGTCACACTGTATGAATATGGTGAGATCAGACTCCTTAAGACTCTTTTCAGGTTCGTTTTTACAATGTTTACTTTTTAGGAAAAAACAGTAGCTAAATTAAAGTAATATCCAGTTCTTACTGATTGAAACAGAGTGGAAAGAAAGACATTGTTGTACATCACTGTCATTCCAAAGGTACAGTAGAACTCTGGATGGAGGAAGAACTTACCTATCACTACAACACTTACAAATGAGAATTTCTCAGAATTTCATTCTAGGCAAGTTCCACTGAACACCAGACCAAGCAATTCTGTCTGTTTACACTATTAGCCTAGTTTTCTCATACAATCATCACAAGCATAGGAAGATACTTCAAAACCAAAAAACCAAGGTGCATCATTAATATTCATTTAATTCAAATACCAAATAGTTTACATAGGGCCAGCTTAGAAATAGATACTAAATCCAGAGCTACTGCAATCAAAGCTTATATTAATGAATATGGTTGAGTTGTCTGCTAAAGGCCAATGTAATATAATTGCAGCTAGAACCCTACAGTGGGGAATGAGGAATTTTTTTTTTTTTTTTTGAGACAGAGTCTCGCTGTGTCGCCCAGGCTGGAGTGCAGTGGTGCAACCTCGGCTCACTGCAAGCTCCGCCTCCCAGGTTCACATCATTCTCCTGCCTCAGCCTCCCGAGTAGCTGGGACTACAGGTGCCCGCCACCACGCCTGGCTAATTTTTTTGTATTTTTAGTAGAGACGGGGTTTCACCGTGTTAGCCAGGATGGTCTCGATCTCCTGACCTCGTGATCAGCCTGTCTTGGCCTCCCAAAGTGCTGAGATTACAGGCATGAGCCACTGTGCCTGGCCTGGGAATGAGGAATTTTAAACACACATTTGATTACGGCCACCAAAAAATATATATAAAGTAAAAATAAAGGCATTTGGCTCGTCCAAGATGTAATACCAATCAGTCAGCACCTGTGATTCTTTTACTTATATTTTTTGTTTTTTTTTTAAACAAATTTTAGCCCAATTTTCTTGAGTCATTATCTTTCTGCAGCAGCAGAGGAAGGGCCTGTACCTCCCTACCAATGACCTGGTGTCCTTATTTCTACCCCAAGTGCAGGGATATTAGCTGTGTCCAAATGGGTTCTGAATTCTACAGACTCATCAACATGAGGCAAGGAATCATTGAAAGCCACCTGTGTCTCCTTTGGGGGAATGACATATCTTTAGTATTTATGTAGCTTATTCTTCCATATGTACATATGCAAAGCTTTCCTTAACAGTAAAGGGTACATATGCATAGTGGGAGGAGATCAGACCTTTACAAGTAAAGGAAAGCAACTTCAGAAATGAATTATTTTCTTTGCTTTATTATTTTTACCAAGACAGAGAAGTATTGTATTGAGAAATAATCTATTTTCATAATCAATATGTGCCTAAATTATATTTAAATCATTTCACTCTGTACTATATTTTCAGGAATTATAGAAGGTATTATTCATTCACTTAAAGGTACCTCTGTAGAAATAACCTAAAACTGCAGAACAATCTGAAAGATCTAAACATGGTGTGCTTAGAAACTGCAGATTTTAGATCTAATGTATACTGCATTAATAAACGATATAAAGTGTTGAAAAAAATGAAAAACCAATAACTCTTCAGTATAAATTTCTCTCAGTGTCTACTAGGGACGTGAAGCTATGTGACAAAACCTCTATGGCCAGGAAGGAATCTGCTTTGTTTTAAACATTTTTAAATATTAGAAACAATTTATTATGAAAGTTTTACCCATATAAACTTTTTAAAATATAGAAAAGGGAGGCTAGGGGAAGCATGTACCACCTGACACATCCTTTATTAGCACTTTGATGTATTTCCTGCCAGTTTTCCTCGCTATTTCTACGGATTTGTTTTAAACAATTACAGTTATATGTAGTATTTTTTGCTCCACTTTAATAAAACTTCACACTATCATAAGCCTTTTTATCCATGTTGCTACCAAGTCTGAACGATCATTATTTTTAATGGCTAGATGAATTCCAGGAATTATTGTTTTTTAAAAAAATATTGTGGTAAAATATAGATAACATACAATTTACCATCTTAACCACTTTTATATATAGAATTTAATGGCATTAAGTAGATTCATACGATTGTGCTACCATCCATCCACAGAATTCATTTTACCTTGCAAAACTGAAACCTTGTATCCACTGAACACTAATTTCCCATTCTTCCCTTCCTCTAACCCCTGGCAATCACCATTCTAGCTTCTGTCTGGTAAATCATCATGCCCTTTCCTCTGGGCCTGGTTGGAATTTGATCATGGTCCTTCTGTGCCTCTCATGGTCTGTTGTTGGAAACAGACCAAGAATTAGGGATGTTTAAAAAAAGATTATGAGGCAAAGAGAAGTAGAAGAGAAGGAGGGCAAAGGGGAGGAGGAGGAGAAACTTCTAATCCAGCTCCCAGAGAATAAACAGCCTCTTACAGAGGGTATATGGTATTTCACCTGCTGCAGAAGGAGAGGCTGTAATGTATTGTTCAAACCAAGTAGCAGAACCACTCAGGGCCCAGGCTTGCCCCACAGGCCTCTTTGAAGATAAGCATCTTTGTGGGAGAAGTGGATGGCATGGCTGGCCCTCACAAGTGTCTACTTTGTCCTCAAATCAGTTTCTTCAGAGCCAGTGGTGGGCATTTATAGCAGGAACAAGGTCTTGCCTTCCCCTTGGACAGATATCTTTAGGTCAAAAGGAGATAGACACTCAGTTTAGTGGTTGACTCCCCAGATAGGACCTACAGGGAGAGGCAGTGACCTAGGGAAGGGCAGTGTAACCCTTCACCTATGGATAAGAATAGCCCTGCTCACTTGTGAATCTCTTATCACTCTGTTAGATGCCATTTAACAGATCCATGTCAGCATGCAGACACAGTGATGACATGCCAAAGGTCTATCTTCAATTAAATTTTTTTCATCAATGATTTAATTGAAGACATACTAGTTTTTAAAGTTATGTGAAGGCTGGGTGTGGTTGATCACACCTATAATCACAGTGCTTTGGGAGGCCAAGGCAGGAGGATGGCTTGAGGCCAGGAGTTCAAGGCTAGCCTGGGCAACATAGCAAGACTCCATCTCTACAAAAAACAAAAATTAAACAAAAGTAAAAAGAATAAAGTTACATGAATCTGGGCAGAATACTAAATAGCGTCAGCACCTTTAGTCTCTACCATTCTCTAGACAGGATTTCAGGATCCATAGTCTAGGCTCCCAGTTCCTGGACTATCGCCACTGTAATGATTGTCCCCCTCCATGCCACTTCGACAAGGCCACATACTAAGGCCACACTTGGAACTTACTATACAGAATTTCTCCACCCCTGAAATCTTGAACTCTGAAACTTTACTCTGCTCAAAACCCCAGTTTTCACGGTCCTACATTCCCATTAAACTTATTTTTTTCATTCCATCAAGTTCTCCTTTCCTTCCTGTCCACTACCTTCTTAAGGCTTATCTACTGTCTCTTAATTTCTTCTCCCTGGCCCAGACTTTACCGTCAGTCACTTCAAGCACTTTCAACACCACGCTCACTTCCTTTGCCCTGGTGGTCACTGCCTCTCCTCTGATGATTTTCAGTCCTAGATTAGCCCATCCTTGGTTTCCCCTGCTCATGGCCCAGTCCTGCTGAGCAGGTCTAGAGCAAATCATACAACCTTGCTGATTGATTCAATTACAAAATGATGATTTCCAGTCCTAGCTGAGTGCTTGGTGCTGCCAGGAATCTTTAGCAGTCAGTGTTCTTTCCATCTTCTCACAGGGTCTGCCGCAAGTCTCTGACCCTTTCCTGAAGCCTCCTTCATTCTCCCCGTCCCTTTCACCCTCAGCAGATAAACTGGCCTACTTCATAGGAAGGAATGACTTGAGGGACAGCTGCATTTGAACTCCTTCAGCTTCCCTCTTCCCACCTCCGCACTTCCCCACACTTCTGATCAGAGGACGCAGCTCTTTTCCTCTTCTCTGAAACTTTGATGCATCACGATCCCTCCCATTTCCTCATCTGCCAAATAACTCTTAGAGCTCACCTTACCTTTTGGGATGCTGTAGAGCCCAGGATTTAGCGTCATCACTGAATTCAAACCCTTGTTCTGTCACTGAGCAGCCCTGCAACTGTGGGCATATTCCTCTGAACCTTGGTTTCCACATCTGTAAAATGGGAAAAATATTTCCTCGCAGGGTCAATGTGAAGGGAAAATATATGTATAAGGGATGTAGCAAAGTGCTTAGCACAATACCTGGCATGTAGTAAGTGCTTGGTAGATGGCACTTATCTCACTGGCAAACTTATCTAGATACTCTCAAACATGGATCTCCCACCCCGCCCCCAGCTCTTGGGCTCTAGACCTGTGTTTTGCCAACTGGCTGTGGAACATCTATACTCTGGTGTTCTACAAATAGTTCAGACTCTCTCAAAACCGAGCCATTGACTTTTCCCAGTGCTTGTTCTTCATGTCTTCTCCATCCCAGTTAAAGCATCACCAGCCAGCCAGTCATTCAGGTCCAACATTTTGGACCCTCTCTTTGTCGCTGTCTACATCCTATCAGTCATCTCTGACTTGTTTCTGGAGTTTGTCCTTTGCTCACTGGTGCTGCTTCAGTTTAGGTGCTTATCTTCTCTTGCTTGAATTATTGCCTGGGCTCCTCGTTGGCTTCTTCAATCTGTATGCTGTTCTTTGTATTCCAGGATGCCGGTCACACAGTTTCACTCTCCTGTTTCACAACTTCACACTTTCCTGTTGAAGGTCATTAAGCCTTAGTCTAAGTGCTGGTGGTCGTGGGCAGACCTGTTTCTCCAACATTATCACCTGCTCCGCCCACATGCTACCCCCTCAACTGGCTGTTCCTCTAAGATACTATATGTCTTCTGACCCTTCCTCCTTCCATCATCTCTGCCCTTGTCCTCTCTGCAATTGGCAGACATCCGTAAAGAACCAGCCAAATGTCTCCTTCCCTCTTGACCTTTCCCTGATTCCCCCAGCTTTCCATCCTATTGCTCCTTCTCTGCATAAATAGCTTTTTTTTTTTTTAAAGTTTCTCCCTTGTAGCAGCAATCACTTTGTATCCATTATTTATGTGCCTGTAAGTGCTGACCTTGGCACAATGCCTGGCAGATAGTAGGGACTCAAGAAGATGTTGACTTGAATAAATGAATGCATGGAATGACAGGATCTCTTGAGACACAATCTAACAAGGTGAAATATATTAAGTAGCAAAAATTCTTGAAATTATTGTAAGTTTTTTTGAAAAATACTACCAAAGTAGACAAACCATTAGTTAACATGGTCAAGAAGAAAAAAGGAAAAGGCACAAACATACAAAGTATGAAATGACAATGGAGAAGAAATAATTGAAGCAGAAAAAAATTAATTACAAGAGACTTTGAAGGCCTTTATGCAAATACATTTGAAAGCCTTGATAAAATGGATAATTCTATAGGGAAAGCAGATTACCAAAATTGATGGAGGCCAGGTGTGGTGGCTCATGCCTGTAATCCCAGCACTTTGGGAGCTCAAGGCAGGATAACCTCAGCACTTTGGGAGGGTGAGGCAGGAGGATTGCTTGAGGAAAGGAGTTCGAGACCAGTCTGGGCAGCCTAGCCAGACCTTGTCTCTACAAAAATAAAAATAAAAAAGAATTAAACAAAATTGATAGAAAAGGAAATTTTTTTTTTTTTTTTTTTGAGACAGAGTCTCACTCTGTCGCCCAGGTTGGAGTGCAGTGGCACGATCTCGGCTCACTGCAAGCTCCACCTCCCGGGTTCATGCCATTCTCCTGTGTCAGCCTCCCAAGTAGCTGGGACTACAGGCACCTGCCACCACGCCTGGTTAAATTTTTTTGTATTTTTAGTAGGGGTTTCACCGTGTTAACCAGGATGGTCTTGATCTCCTGACCTTGTGATCCGCCTGCCTCGGCCTCCCAAAGTGCTGGGATTACAGGCGTAAGCCACAGCACCTGGCCTCAGAGAGGGAAGTTTTAAGTAGACCAGTTTCTTTAGAAGAAATAGGAACCTTATTAAGGAAATGTTTCTCAAAAAAATTACCAGGCCCAGATTATTTCACAGATGAATTCTACCAAACCTTCAAATGTGAGATAGTCCCAATACTTTATAAATTATTTCAGAGCATCAAAAATGAAGGAAACTTCCCTATTGTTTTTATAAAGGAAGCATCATATTAATATCTAAATATGACAAAGATCATGGAAAAAAGTAAACTGCAGACTAATATTATTTACGAATATCCACGATAAAGTACAAAATAGGCCAAATATCGTGGCTGACACCTGTAATCCCAGCACTTTGGGATGCTGAGGCAGGAGGATTTCTTGAGGCCAGGAGCTTGAGATTAGCCTGGGCAACATAGTGAGACTCCATCTTTACAAAAAAATTAAAAAGTAGCCAAGTGTGGGGGCGTGTCCCTGTAGTCCCAGCTACTTGGGAGGCTGAGGCAGGAGGATCACTTCAGCCCAGAATTGAGGATGCAGTGAGCTATGACAGTGCCACTGCACTCCATCCTGGACCACAGAACAAGACCCTGTCTCTTAAAAAAGAAGTACAAAATATATAATACTAATATAACACTAATAAATATTTTGTTAAGAAACAGAATTCAATACCACATTAAAAAATAAAATTAACTTTGATCAGGTGGGATTAATTTCAAGAATACAAGTTAGGCTTATTATTAGTAAATTCATTAATACAATACAAATACGCCATATTAGTAAGTTCCAGGAAAAATAATCACAGAATTATCTCCATAGATGTTGAAAAAGCTTTTGTGAAAATTTAACATCCATTCTTCCTAAAAATTGCTTAAGAAAATAGGGTTTGGCTGGGCGCAGTGGCTCACGCCTGTAATCCCAGTACTTTGGGAGGCCGAGGTGGGTGGATCACAAGGTCAGGAGATCGAGACCATCCTGGCTAACATGGTGAAACCCCGTATCTACTAAAAATACAAAAAATTAGCTGGGTGTGGTGGCACGTGCCTGTGATCCCAGCTACTCAGGAGGCTGAGGCAGGAGAATTGCTTGAACCCGGGAGGCAGAGGTTGCAGTGAGCTGAGATCGTGCCACTGCACTCCAGCCTGGGGCGACAGAGTGAGACTCTGTCTCAAAAAAAAAAAAAAAAAAAGAAAAGAAAATAGGATTTGTAGGATTTGTTGGATAGTTGCTAAATATGATTTTATATGCATGTATTTCTTAATATATATCTCTTGGTATATGTATATAATATATATTATAAATATCTTATGTATCTCTATCTATTATATCTTGGTGCTACAAGCAGTAATACTACATTGGAAAATATACCAGTATTTTCTTCAAGTCCAGAAACAGGAAGGGATGGTCAGTATCTTCACTACTGTTCAACATTGTACCAGATGTAAGCAATGCAATTAGATGAAAGACATTGACCAGAGACACAAGGACTAGTAAAGTAAAATTATCTCTTTATGCAAATGATATAATATTACTATTATATCATATTACTATAATGTATTAATCCTGGAAAACCATAGAGGATCAATGATAAAACTAAATTTAACAATAAAAGGTAAGGTCATAGGATGTAAAATTAACACACTGAAATAATATCCTTCATATATGCAAACAATAATCAGAGAACATAATGGTAGGGAAACTTCATTTACAATTGCAACAAAGAAGATTAAATACTTAGCAATGAATTTAGAAATATGCAAACTTTAAAACACCCTTGGAAGACAAATTCAAACAAATGTAAAGACCATCCCCTGTTCTTGAATAGAGTGATTCAACATCATAGAGATGTCCCAGTTCTCCTGAATCAATTTATAAATCTAATACAATCTTAATAAAAATTCCAACAAGCTGTTTAAGAAAGTTGGACCAATTGATACTAAAGTTCATATAGCACAATAAATATGTAAGAATTGACAAGAAAACAATAAATTTTTTTTCAGAGGGAGCAACTAGCCCTACCAGATATTAAAATACACCATAACACCTTTACAATTAAAACATTGTGATATTGGTGCAAGAATAGACCAATAGATGAATGACATAGAATAGAAAGACCAGAAGTAAACCCAGGAACTTAGGGAAATTTAGGTATCTGATAATAGTGGCATCTCAAATCATTGGGTTAAAGAAGGACTTTTTCTTTTTTCTTTCCTGCAATTTAAAAAATTCTGGTAAAATACATATAACATAAAATTTACCATCCTAACCATTTTTAAGACAACAGTTAAGTAGTGTTAAGTATATTCATCTCGTCATGAAACAGATCTTTAGAACTTTTTCATTTTGTGAAATTGAATCTCTATACTCATTAAGCAACAACTCTTTATTTCTCCTTCCTGCTTCCTCCTGTTAACCACCATTCTACTTTCTGTTTTTATGAACTTGACTACTTTAAATACCTTATATAAGTGGATTAACAAGTGGAATCATACAGCATTTGTCTTTTTACGACTGGCATATTTCATATCGCATAATGTCCTCAATGGTTCATTCATGTTGTAACATGTGACAGGATTTCCTTTGTTTTAAAGGATAAGTAATATTCCAGTATATGTTTGGGGAGGCAAAATTTCCCCTCTTACCTCTTAGGGTCTTCAGCTGAACCCAATAATTAAACTGATTAACATGTGTTAATCAGTTAATCAATGTGTTAAGCATATGAAAGAAGAGACCATATAATAAACCATTTAAAAAGCGAAGCCACAAACTTTTCCTTACAGTTTTCAATGTTTAACTATTTAAGTAGATCATTTCTAGTGTAATCATATGGACAAAAATGATTATCTAGGAAGGACAGTTATCTTATTTGTCTACTTTAGCATAATCTTGATAAAGCTGAAAAATTGTAAAGTAAATGGAAACTTTAATACATATAAGATATGAAGATAACTATTTCTAAAAGCTTAGGAACTTGTTCTTTTTCTTTCTTTCTTTTTTTTTTTTTTTTTAATGAGACGGGGTTTTGCCATGTTGCCCAGGCTGGTCTCAAGCAATCCACCTGCCTCAGCCTCCTAAATTGCTGGGATTACAGGTGTGAGCCACTGTGCCCGGCCTGGAGCTCATTCTGATTTGTTAAACATCAGCCATCCCATATCCTCTCATGCTATTATCTTAGCTGTGGAGTAAAGATTAGAATTTTCTTAGGATTCACCACAATAGGGGTTTTCTAAAATGTGAGGTTTTTTTTTTTTTTTTTTGACAGGGGTAAGGGTCAGGAGAATGTAAATTATTCTTTTTTTTTTTTTTTTTGAGATAGAGTCTCCCTCTGTCGCCCAGGCTGAAGTGCAGTGGCGCGATCTCGGCTCACTGCAATCTCCGCCTCCCAGGTTCACGCCATTCTCCTGCCTTAGCCTCCCAAGTAGCTGGGACTACAGGCGCATGCCACCATGCCCAGTTAATTTTTTGTATTTTTTAGTAGAGATGGGATTTCACCACGTTAGCCAGGACGGTCTTGATCTCCTGACCTCGTGATCCACCCACCTCGGCCTCCCAAAGTGCTGGGATTACAGGCGTGAGCCACCGCGCCCAGCCTATTCTTTCCTTTTATACCTAGGATATACCCAAAATGCTCTCCTCCCACAATTTCAAGTTCTCTGACTAATCAGGTTGTGCTGGGAACCTGTCCCATTTCCTTATCTTTATATTTGAAATGAAGATCTATCACTCTGTCCCTCATTTTTATCTCATGTTTTCTTACTGATATTTATTTATTTTCTCCTGTTTGAAGGTACAATCATTGGTTTGATGGGATGGCGCTGCTTCACCAGTTCAGAATGGCAAAGGGCACAGTGACATACAGGAGCAAGTTTCTACAGAGTGATACATATAAGGCCAACAGTGCTAAAAACCGAATTGTGATCTCAGAATTTGGCACACTGGCTCTCCCGGATCCATGCAAGAATGTTTTTGAACGTTTCATGTCCAGGTTTGAGCTGCCTGGTAAAGCTGCAGGTGATAGTGATGATTATTTAAACTATTACGATATATAACCATCTATACAAACATAAATCTTGAAAATAGATTTTTTTGTGTATGTGAGAGGATGTTGAAACTGCTTTCTCCCTTTGAGTGTGTGCTTAGCGTCGTCTACAGTAAGCTGTGGTACTTAAATAACTCTAGGGTTTGGTTTCAGCCATGACTGACAATACTAATGTCAACTATGTGCGGTACAAGGGTGATTACTACCTCTGCACTGAGACCAACTTTATGAATAAAGTGGACATTGAAACTCTGGAAAAAACAGAAAAGGTAAAGTACAGGTAAAAAAAAATGAATAAAATAGATCCTAACATTTCTTTCCATTTGAAATACTTTTTAGAGTAGTATATATCAAGAAGAAATTGAAGCCTTAACTACACAAAAAGAAAGTTATTCATGATGCAGGTCACCTTTACTCTCTGGCCTGATGGCCTCTGGGTTGGTTTTCCTTAAATATAATTCTAAACTCCTTCCTTAGTCCTAATATCTGAAGGCTAGGGTAAAGGAGAAATAGAAGAGTACTGATCTACTTTGGCTAGTTGGGGTGTTCTTCCTAGCTATGGTTAGTATTGGACTGGAGGTTGTCTATACCTGTATTTCCTTCACATAACATGTTAATTAAAAAGAAAATTTTAGACTAGATTTTTAATTTTAATTCTTATGCTTCTTTTGAATTTTCCTGTGATATTAGGCAAATTTATTCAGGGTGGTTTTGTTGTTAGTAGTGGTGATGTGTTTTTGTTTGTTGTTTTAATCTTGATTTCTTTTTTTTAGTGGGAAAAATAATTTTTATTTCTCAGAGGCAAGAAATTAGGGCTTACATTGCAGTTTTCTTATCATATTTTTAAAAACATTAGATATTTCTACTATTTATGCATGTGAATAGAGATCTGCCCATTAAAAATCTCCAGTGGTCTCAAATTTGCAGGTAGATTGGAGCAAATTTATTGCTGTGAATGGAGCAACTGCACATCCTCATTATGACCTGGATGGAACAGCATACAATATGGGGAACTCCTTTGGGCCATATGGTAAAGTTGCAATAAAGGTCTTTTTAGAAATAATTGAGACCAGGCACGGTGTGTATATAAAGATGAATACTACAGGTTTGTTTTTTACTGGCACAAGTAGAGAGAGGGTGCTCTGGACACCTCTACACCCAGCTCTCTCTCCTCTTTATTACTTGATCTCAGATAAGGAGGATTCTTCAATGCTGTTATAGGAAACAGCAAACATCCTTCTAAGTAAAATATTTCAGCAAAATGGATCCATGAACCCAGCAGTTTTTGGTCTATCTATCTTATCTTGATCATTAAAAAAATCAATTTTATAATAAATTAACTCTGTTAACCAAGTAGATAACTTTGTAACTCATTCATAATATGACAAATACTATTTCACCATTCTAAACTACATTTTTTTTTTTTTTTGAGATGGAGTCTTGCTCTGTTGCCAGGCAGGAGTGCAGTGGCGCAATCTCGCTCATTGCAACCTCTGCCTCCCAGGTTCAAGCGATTCTCCTGCCTCAGCCACTGGAGTAGCTGGGACTGCAGGTGTCCTCTGCCATGCCTGGCTAATTTTTGTGTTTTTAGTAGAGACGAGGTTTCACCATGTTGGCCGGGATGGTCTTGGTCTCCTGACCTCGTGATCTGCCCGCCTGGGCCTCCCAAAGTGCTGGGATTACAGGCGTGAGTCACTGTGCCTGGCCAATTACACTTTTTTTTATTTTTTATTTTTTTTTACAAAGGCTCGCTCTTGCCCAGGCTGGAATGCCGTGGCACGATCTCAGCTCACTGCAACCTCCACCTCCCAGATTCAAGTGATTCTCCTGCCTCAGTCTCCTGAGTAGCTGGGATTACAGGTGCTTGCCACCATGCCCGGCTAATTTTTGTATTTTTAGTAGAGACGGGTTTTCAGCCACGTTGGTCAGGCTGGTCTTGAACTCCTGACCTCAAGTGATCCGTCTGCCTCGGTCTCCCAAAGTGCTGGGATTTCAGGCGCGAGCCACTGCGCCTGGTCTGAATTACATATTCTAAAATTAAAGTAACTAGATCTGTGATTTTCAACCTTTAATTGCCTAACAATAATCTGGAATGTAGATAGAATCATCTGGATTTCATTCATCTTCAGGGATTCCGGTTTAGTAGAACTGAAAAGGGGCCAAGAATTTGCATTTTAACATGGTCTCTGGGTGATCTTGGTGCAAGTGGTCCCTGGATCTCACCGATTAACCCAGCCACCCATCATGAGAGCCTGTGCTTGTTACTTTGCCTCAGTTTGCTCCTTATACAAACTCCTGGAGAGTCTTGCAAAGTTCAGCTGACAGTATTGGGCAGGTCCAATCTTTCTGGACATTCCTCTGCTGGGTGTTTCCTGGGTGTCTGTTTGTCTTACCTAATGTCTTCAAGACTTGCAGTTAGAACAGCTCATTAACTAATGTGTTTAAATTCCGTGAATTGAGTAATCCAGTTGCTGAGACAGGAAATTCATCTCTTTATCTTCTCCTAATCCCAACGAACACTGAATCTACTTTTTTTTTTTTCTTCACTTGATTATTTGGTTCAGTGAGAAGTTTATGAACTGGAACTTAATGTGCAGGCAACTGCAGGGAGCTTGACTACTTGATAGACATTTGGGGGAAACTTAGTGATTCTCATTGTAATACAGTAAAATGCTTGCTAGTAATTGCTACCTTTAGGAAGTAAAAAGCTTTGGTTTTAGCTTTTCTAGATATTTTTAAAAGGCTTTTTAAAATTTGTAAAAATCCTGTAAACATTAATCAATCCAGTTGGTTTTTAATACTTATTTAAAATATGTTCTTCAGACTAATATTAGAGACAATAATAGAGTACTCTTGGACTATAGAGCTTGTCTAATATTTCTTTCATCACTGTACAAAGCATGATGTTTTGTATGTAGTGGGTTCTCAAAACATATCTATATCCCCAACCTAGACCTCCCAAGTATTTTATATCCAATTGCTTACTCAGCATTCTTCCTAGGATGTCTAATAGGCATTACAAAATTAACTTGTCAAAAACCAGACTCCTGATATTTTCCTCTAAACTACCACCACCACCTCCTCCTTTCCTCCTCCTCCTCCTCCTTCTCTCTCTTCCTTGTTCTCCTTCCTTTCCTCCTCCTCCTCCTTCTCTCTCTTCCTTGTTCTCCTTCCTTTCCTTCCTTTCCTTCCTTCCCTTCCCTTCCCTTCCCTTCCCTTCCCTTCCCTTCCCTTCCCTTCTTTCCCTCCCTCCCTCATTGCTCTTTCTTCTTCCTTCTTCTTCTTTTGCTTTCTTCGATTAGAGATGGGGTCTTGCTATGTCGCTCAGGCTGGACTTGAACTCCTGGGCTCAAGACATCCTCCCAGGCAGCTGGACTATAGGCATGCACCATTGTGCCTGGCTTATTTCTTTCTCTCCTTAAGATGAGTCTTCCCCATCTCAGGAGATACTAACTCCATCTTTCCAGTTGCTAAGGACAATAACTGTGGAATCATCCTTTACATTTATCTCTTACATCAGTTGATCAAAAAGTAATTTCAGGGTCAGGTGCAGTGGCTTATGCTTATAATTCCAGCACTTTGGGAGGCCAAGGCGGGTGTATTGCTTGAGCTCACGAGTTGAGACCAGCCTGGACAATATAGCAAGACCTCATCTCTACAAAAAATACAAAAATTAGCCAGACATAGTGGCATGTGCCTGTGGTCCCAGCTACTCAGGAGGATGAGGTGGGAGGATCACTTGAGACCAGAAGGTTGAGGCTGCAGTGAGTCGTGACTGCACCACTGCACTCCAGCCTGAGTGACAGAGTAAGACCCTGTCTCAAAAAAAAAAAAAAAGAAGTAATTTCAGCAATGCCTTCAAAATATATCAAAAATCCAACCACTTCACACCACCTCCATGGCCACCACTCTACTTTGAGTCACTATCCCTTCTCACTTGAATGACTGCAATAGCCCCTCAACTAGTTGCCCTGATTCTGCCCTTGCCCCACTTCAGTTTCTTTTCAGCTCTGTAACACCAGAGTTACCAGAGTTATCCTTTTAACCCACACCCACTTCTCTGAGCTTACCTCCTAGACTCTCCTTCTCGCTTGTCATGATAGGGCCACACTGGCCTCCTAGCTGATACTTAAACACTCCAATCGTGCTCCTGGCTGAGAACTTTTGCATTTGCTCTTCCCTCCACCTGGAATGCATTTCTCCCAGATATCCTCAAGGCTTTCTTCCTCACCTCCTTTAGGTCTTTACTCAGACATGACCCACTTAGTGAAGCTTTTCCAGACCAGCATATTTAAAGTTGCAAACAGTAGCCCCTACTCCTCATATGATCACTCCTGATCCTTATTCCTTGGCTTATTTTCCATTATAGTTCTCATTGTCATCTGATACATTGTATTTTTACTTATTATATGATTTAAAAGAAAAACAACAAGGCAAAATAAGAGATTTTGTCTGAGCACAGTGGCTCACACCTGTAATCACAGCACTTTGGGAAGATGAGGTGGGAGGATTGCTTGAGACCAGGAGTTCGAGGCTGCAATGAGCTATGATCACACCACTGTACTCCAGACTGGGTGATAGTGCAAGGCCCTGTCTCTAAAAAAAATGAAGAAGAAGCCAGTGGAGGAAGGGGGGAGATTTTTGTCTATTTTGCATATTTCTGTATACAAGTGCCTAGAATATAGTACTAAGAACACTCAGAATGGTGTCTGGAATATAGTAGGTGCTCAAAAAGTAGTAGTTGCAGAATAAATAAATAAAGAACTGTACTGGAAAGCAGATAAACAAGCAGAAAATTGTATACAATGAGATATGTGCTATGACTATGAGGATGTAATGAGGACATACAATAGGGGCACCAAGTGCCTTTGGGGTGGGGAGGAGTCAGGGAAGACTACTTGAGGAGTGGATATCTGCGTTGATTCTTGAAGAGCCAGTAAGCAATAGCCAGATGAATGATTGCATGAAAGAATGTTGATGAGAAAGGATGAAATGGAACCCAGAGTGACCCTAGCTAGGGGTCCAGAGGGCTGGAGGGAAGGAGTTGGACATGAGTGCAAATGGAGACTGTAGTTGTTGGAATAGGGGAAGGGAGTAAAGGAACAGAATTTGAGGATATTCCTGGCTGCTATCTTTTTTTTTTTTTTGAGTTTAAGAACTTCAACTCTATGACCTGTCTATTCACCATACATATGAGACAGGTCCATTATAATCCTTACCTCATTATATAATAGCTCTTTTTTATTATTATACTTAAAGTTCTGGGGTACATGTGCAGAACGTGCAGGTTTGTTACATAGGTATACACATGCCATGGTGGTTTGCTGCATCCATCAACCTGTCATCTACATTAGGTATTTCTCTTAATGCTATCCCTCCCCTAGCTCCCCACCCCCTGAAAGGCCCTGGTGTGTGACGTTCTCCTCCCAGTGTCCATGTGTTCTCATTGTTCAACTCCCACTTATGAGTGAGAACATGCGGTGTTTGGTTTTCTGTCCTTGTGTTAGTTTGCTGAGAATGATGGTTTCCAGCGTCATCCATGTCCCTGCAAAGGACATGAACTCATCCTTTTTTATGGCTGCATAGTATTCCATAGTGTATATGTGGCAGATTTTCTTTGTCCAGTCTATCATTGATGGGCATTTGAGTTGGTTGCAAGTCTTTGCTATTGTGAACAGTGCTTGGCTGCTATCTTAATGTTTCCTACGAATTAGAGATGAAGTTAGCATTATAGTACAATGAATCATTGGTTGATCACTTTGGATGTCTGTTTCAAAACGTTAGCTAATTATTTTCATAGAGCTAACATTTTTAAGATCCAGATCTTTGTTTGAAATAACCCTTCAGGAAATAAGAGTGTCACACATATTGCATAAATCTCTTAATTGCTTTTGGCAAGTCCACAAGTGCAAGGGTTGTCTTTTAATCTAGAATATATGTAAAACAGGTAAGATAGGACTTTTCATTTTTCAGGTTTCTCCTATAAGGTTATTCGGGTTCCTCCAGAGAAGGTGGACCTTGGGGAGACAATCCATGGAGTCCAGGTGATATGTTCTATTGCTTCTACAGAGAAAGGGAAACCTTCTTACTACCATAGCTTTGGTGAGTCCAGAGATAAGGCAAATTTCAGTGGGCTCTGCCTTGATGTTGCTGTAGCAGAAGGACTAGTCTGGCAAATGTTATGTTAATAGTTTATCACGCTATGGTGATAATGAGACCAAGGTTGCATTTTGATGCCAGGTAAGGTTATTCTGTTTAGTCACATACTCCTGACCCTAGCCAGCTGACTGCTTGAAAAGATATACTGTAGTTGCTTTAGTATAAGCAATTACTAAAAAATTAATTGATATAATTTAAAATTTTAGGCAACCTTAAAGCCCACAAATAGTAATCATACATGAAAATGTTGTCTTGACTATATTTTTTGGGGAAATTCATATTCTATATAGGTTGATTCAGCTTTTACTCAGAATATTTATTTTCTGTACTTTAAATCATTATAGCCAAACTGCTTCTAGATTCTTACCCCCAGTATAAGCAGGAAAAGGATTAAAGGATACATGTAAAGATCATAAAGGACACTTTAATACTATACTTTTTTACTTTGTTCCTAAACCAAATAATTTAAAAAGAAAAGAAAAGGAAAAAAAGATAAAAAGCAAGCTGAGAACATGCAACCCAAGCTATTCTAAGCAGTTCCCTTTTTTATAAAGGAACAGGAAATACGTATAGTAAAGCTGGGAGACAGTAAACATGTATTTCTGGCTGGCATTTGTTTAGGGCATCAGTAACGTGTCCAGGCATTCAGACAAGTCCCCATAACTGGCACATTTCAGACAACTCTAGTTTGCCAAATAACATTTTTATTGTTTGCTGGAACCTTTTAGGAATGACAAGGAACTATATAATTTTCATTGAACAACCTCTAAAGATGAACCTGTGGAAAATTGCCACTTCTAAAATTCGGGGAAAGGCCTTTTCAGATGGGATAAGCTGGGAACCCCAGTGTAATACGCGGTTTCATGTGGTGGAAAAACGCACTGGACAGGTGGAGTATTTTGAGTATATTTATCATGAAAATTGTTGGAAACAAAGGCAAATTTCCATATAGTTGATTTTTTAAAAATCTTCCCTGGTTAAAAGTGCATAAGACACTTTTAATCAAGGATATTACCTTCTTCTATAGGTTGAGCTAGCTACTTATTAATTAGTACGATGGATTTTGCATATTAGAGAATTATAGGAAATGATTTTATCTTTTTAATGATCTGATTCAATTAAAATGGCATCCAGGAAACTCTCTTAGCATGGACTTTTTCCATATCATAATAGTTGCTAAAGAGGGTGTTGTTCGTGCAGAAATCTTCTGTAATTTTTGCAGTAATACTTTAATTAGTTGATTCTCTGGCTTCTTTTTCCTTTTTTTTTGAGATTTTTTTTTTAGATGGAGTCTTGCTCTATCACTAGGCTGGAGTGCAGTGGGGAGATCTCAGCTCACTGCAACCTCCACCTCCCGGGTTCAAGTGAGTCTCCTGCCTCAGCCTCCCGAGTAGCTGGGACTACAGGTGTGTGCCACCACACCCAGCTAATTTTTTTCTATTTTTAGTAGAGACAGGGTTTCACCATATTGGCCAGGATGGTCTCGATCTCTTGACCTCGTGATCCACCTGCCTCAGCCTCCCAAAGTGCTGGGATTACAGGCGTGAGCCACTGCGTCTGGCCCAATTCTCTGGCTTCTTAATATGTGACTATGACAATCCTACTAAAGTCTAAGCATGTTGATTGAATATCTTTTTATACTCCTGATTCATAATGCTATTATATTTGCCTACTTTTTACCTCTCTAAAGAGATAGTATCTTAAATTTACTCTATCTGGATCTCATTACAAAAAAAAATTTAGTAATGACTGCACCTTAAAAAAAATTAGTCTTTGAATTTATCATCAGTATACTGAGTAGCAATATTTTCTATTTAACCATGCAGTTAGAGTCCAAGATTTACATATCACTCAAAACATTGGGCTATATTTCATGAGGGATTTTAAGTTCGTTATAACAATTGATTGGTCTATATCAAATAGACCCAGTTCATTGCTTAAGCAAGCAATGTTTAAATCAAAGCATATTTGCTTCTACATTCTGTATTCTACTTTTATATATACTGGACCTGCCACTTCAGAGGGGAAAATCTTTCTAATTTTCTTATTTTGAACTTTTTGGACCTGTTTCCTAAAGGAAAGGGAAAAAGAAGAAAACTAAAAAAAATTTTTTTCATTGTTTGTGTTTTCCCCTGCAGCTCCTTCCAGGGAGATACTACAGCAAACCTTTTGTTACATTTCATCAAATCAATGCCTTTGAGGACCAGGGCTGTGTTATAATTGATTTGTGCTGTCAAGATAATGGAAGAACCCTAGAAGTTTACCAGTTACAGAATCTCAGGAAGGCTGGGGAAGGGCTTGATCAGGTAAACATTAGAATTTGTCAAGAGTCATCAAAATAATTTTGAACTCCAAGATCTGGCTTTGGCTTTGGAATTACATGTTTCTCTCTCTCTCTCTCTCTCTTTTTTCTTTTGAGACTGAGTCTTGCTGTGTCACCCAGGCTGGAGTGCAATGGTGCGATCTCGGCTCACTGCAACCTCTACCTCCCAGGTTCAAGAGATTCTTGTGCCTCAGCCTCCCGGGTAGCTGGGATTATAGGCACGCACCACCATGCCCTGCTAATTTTTAATTTTTTTGTAGAGATGGGTTTCACCATGTTGGCCAGACTTGTCTCGAACTCCTGACCTCGAGTAATCTGACTGCTTCAGCCTCCCAAAGTCTTGGGATTACAGGCATGAGACACCATGCCTGACCTAGGAATTACGTGTTTCTCTTGTCTCCTTGTGGCAAATAATGAGAGAGAGTAGTTTTAAAGCATTGAAGACACAGCTTCATCATTTATTTAATATTAAAAATAATTTGAAATAGCTTATTTAATACCTAATAAGTAAGAAACATGGCAAAGAGAGCCAAGATATGTGTTTAAAAGCATATGTGGCTGGGCACGGTGGCTCACGCTTGTAATCCCAGCAGTTTGGGAGGCTGAGGCAGGCAGATCACTTGAGCTCAGGAATTTGAGACCAGCCTGGACAACCAAAATGGTGAAACCTCGTCTCTAGTAAAAATGCAAAAATTAGCCAGATGTGGTGGTGGGTGCCTGTAATCCCAGCTACTTGGGAGCCTCAGGCAGGAGTATCACTTGAACCCAGGAGGTGGAGGTTGCAGTGAACCAAGATCGCACCACTGCACCCCAGCCTGTGCAACACAGTAAGACTCCATCTCCAAAAAAAAAAAAAAAAAGCATATGTGATAGTTCCTTATTTCCTTATTACACTTAAGCACCAAAGTTTGCTAGAAGGAATAGCAAAGTAGACCGTCAATCAGTCCACCTAGTTGAAGGGATTCACTTTTTCCTGATGCTGAATCCAAGGTAAAGTTTTTCCTTGAATTATGTAATATACATTGTTTCTAGCTGTAGCTTTATTTTTTAGCTATAATTGTCTTTTTAAATGTTTGTAAAATAGTACTTATTAAGTTTACTTATGCCTTACTAAGCTTACTTATAGCTTTATGGTGGGTCTTGACATCTGTGGTTGTTTATCTCTTTTCTGTTTTAAGATTGCCTGGGTTTTTCATGGCCTTTTGCATGTCTATAAATTTTAGAATCCATTTATCAGGTTTTGTTTTTGTTCTTGTTTTAAAAATAAAATTCATTGTATATATTTGAGGTTTACAACATGATGTTATGGGATACATGTAAATATTAAAATGGTTAGTATAGTGAGGCAGATTAACATATCTATCATCTCACATGTTACTTTTTTGTGTGACAAGAGCAGTTAAAATCTACTTGTTTAACAAAAATCTCTGATAGAATACAATCTTATTAACTTTATTTCTTACGTTTGTACGTTAGACCTCTAGACTTGTTCATACTACATATCTACTGTTTGGTATCCTTTGAGCTACATCTTGTCTTTGCCTTCCCCTCCCCTCTGGTGGTAACCACTGTTTCATTGTCTTTCTCTGTGTATTTGAGATTTTCTTTAAAAAATTCCACATAAAAATGAGATCATGCAATTTTTTTTTCTTTTCTTTTTTTTTTGAGACGGAGTCTCACTCTGCCACTCAGGCTGGAGTGCAGTGGCGCGATCTCGGCTTACTGCAACCTCTGCTCCCGGGTTCAAGTGATTCTCCTACCTCAGCCTCCCGAGTAGCTGGGACTACAGGCACATACCAACATGTCTGGCTAATTTTTGTATTTTTAGTAGAGACCAGGTTTCACCATGTTGGCCAGGCTGGTCTCTAACTCTTGACTTCAGGTGATCTGCCTGCGTTGGCCTCCCAAAGTGCTGGGATTACAGGCGTGAGCCACAGCGCCCTGCCTCATAGAATATTTTTCTTTCTGTGTCTGGATGTTTCACTTAACATAATGTCTTCCAGGTCCATCCATGTTGTAGCAGACGTCAGGATCTCCTTTTCTAAGATTGAGTAATACTCCATTGTGTGTATATATCACATTTTCTTTATCCATTCATCTGTCAATGGGTATTTAGGTTGTTTCTGTTTCTTGACTGTTATGAATAATGCTACAATGAACGTAAGAATGCAGCTATTTTCATGAGGTGGTGATTTCATCTCATTTGAGTATATACCCAGGAGAGGGATTGCTGGGTCATATGTTGTACAGTTGACCCTGAACAACATGGATTCGAACTGCATGGGTCCTTATATGCAAATTTTCTTCTACCTCTCCACCCCTGAGATAGCAAGACCAACCCCTCTTCTTCCTCCCCCTCAGACTACTCAATGTGAAGACAATGAGAATGAAGACCTTTATGATGATCTACTACCACTTAATGAATAGTAAATATATTTGCTCTTCCTTATGACTTTTAGTAGCATTTTATTTTATTTTTTTTGAGACAGAGTTTTGCTCTTGTTGCCCAGACTGGAGTGCAATGGCGTGATCTCGTCTCACTGCAACCTCCGCCTCCTCAGTTCAAGCAATTCTCCAGCCTCAGCCTCCCGAGTAGCTGGGATTACAGGCATCTGCCACCATGCCCGTTGTATTTTTAGTAGAGATGGGGTTTTGTCATATTGGCCAGGCTGCTCTCGAACTCCTGACCTCAGATGATCTGCCCACCTTGGCCTCCCAAAGTTCTGGGATTACAGGCTTGAGCCACCACACCCAGCCTTTAATAACATTTTCTTATTTTCTTTTATCTGGTTTGCTTTATTGTAATAATACAGTATATAATACATATGAAATACAAAATATGTGTTAATTAACTGTATGTTATTGGTAAGGCTTCCAGTCAACAATAGTTTATTAGTAGTTAAATTTTTGAGTAGTCAAAAGTTATGTGTGGATTTTCGACTATGTAGGGGGTTGGCACCTCTACCCCACTCCGTGTTGTTCAAGGGTCATCTGTATTTTTTATTTCTTTAGGAACTCCTATACTGTTTTTCATAATGGCTGTACCAATTTATATTCCCACCAACAATGTACTAGAGTTCCCTTTCTTCTACACCCTTGCCAACATTTGTTATCTCTTGTCTTTTTGATAATAGCCATCCTTATGAGTGTGAGGTTTTATATAGTGGTTTTAATTTGTATTTCCCTTATGGTTAGTGATGTTGAGCACCTTTTTATATGCCTATTGGACTTTCAAATTTTATTTTATTTTTTATTTTATTCTTTTAGGGACAGGATCTCACTCTGTTGCCCAGGCTGGGTGCAGTGGCATGATCATAGCTCACTGAAGCCTCAAACTCCTGGGAACACGTGATCCTCCTGCCTCAGCCTCCCAAGTAGCTGGGTCTACAGGTGCGTGGCACCACACTCAGCTAATATTTTAAAAACTTTTTTGTAGAGACAGGGTCTTATTATGTTGCCAAGGCTGCTGTCAAACTCCTGGGCATGCATGATCCTCCTGCCTCAGCCTCACAAGTAGCTGGGATTACAGGTGCATGGCACCACACTCAGCTAATATTTTTAAAACTTTTTTGTAGAGACAGGGGCCTTGTTATGTTGCCAAGGCTTTTCTCAAACTTCTGGGCTCAAGTGATCCTCCTGCCTCAGCCTCCCAAAGTGCTGGGATTACAAGTGTGAGCTACCACACCTGGCCTCTATTTTTGGAGAAATGACTGTTCAGGTCCATTGCCCATTTTTTATTTATTTTTAATTAATTAATTAATTAATTTATTTTTAACTTTTAATTAAAAAGTAAACTTTAATATTGAAAATGCAAACTTGGGGAAGACAGAAAAGATCACACACAAGGCTGTCACTTCACACTTGGAAGGTTGCGCAGCGGCCAGGCAGAGGCGCTCCTCACATCCTAGACGGGCGGCAGCTGGGCAGAGGTCCTCCTCACTTCCCAGACAGGGCGGGGGCCGGGCAGAGGCGCTCCTCACATCCCAGACAATGTGGGGGCCAGGCAGAGGCGCTCCTCACTTCCCAGACAGGGCAGCGGCCGGGCAGAGGCGCTCCTCACTTGCCAGAGGGTGGGCGGCTGGGCAGAGGCACTCCTGGGGCGGCAGGGGCGGCAGCTGGGCAGAGGTGTTCCTCAGTTCCCAGACGGTGGGCGGCCGGGCAGAGGCGCTCCTCACTTCCCAGACGGGGCGGCGGCCGGCTTTTCCCATTTTTTAATTGGGTTATTTGTTTTTCTGGTATTGAGTTGTAAGAGTTCTTTATAAATTTTGAGGCCAGGTGTGGTGGCTCACGCCTGTAATCCCAGCACTTTGGGAGGCCAAGGTGGGAGGATTGCTTGAGCCCAGCAGTTCAAGATCAGCCTGGGCAAGATGGCAAGACCTCATCTCTACAAAAAAATTTAAAAATATACAAATTTTGAGTATAATTCCTTATTGGATATGTGGTTGCAATTTTTTTCCCCAGCCCATAGGTCGCCTTTTCGTTTTGTTGATTGTTTCCTTTGCTGTGCAGAAACTTTTAAATTTGATGTCAACTTGTCAGTTTTTGCAAGGAAAAAACCTGATACAATATTGCAACTGTAGATCAATTTGGAGACAATTGACATCTTTACAATATTGAGTCTTCCAATCCATGAACATGGAATATCCCTCCATTTATTTGGGTCTTTTAAAATTTCTCTCAGTAAAGTTATAGTTTTCAGTATAAAGATACTACATTTCTTTTTGTGTGTTTTGAAATTATTGTAAATGGTATCTTTTAAGCTTTCATTTTCTGTTTGTTGCTCTTTATAGAAATGCAATTGATTTTGTATATTATCTTCATATCCAGAGATCTTGCTAAATTCACTTATTAGTTCAAATAGTTGATCCACAGATTATTTTGGATTTTCTATGTGCACAGTCATGTTACCTGAAAATAATGACAGCTTTCTTTCTAATACTTAGGGCTTTATTTCTTTTTCTCGCCTTACTGTACCAGCTAGGACTTCGAGTTGAATAGAAGTGCAAGATAGTGAATAGAAGTTGAATAGGTAGTGTTGAAAAATGTTTAATAATTCATTATTAAATATAAAATTGCTATAGGTATTTTTCTAGCTATCTTTATCAGATTATCCTAATAGTGCCTTTTAATGAATAAACATTCTTAACTTAATATGGCCCAGTATACAGTCTCTTCCTTTATGACTTATACGTTGTACATCTTGTTTTAGACATCTTCTCATGGCAAGGTAATGAAAATATTATCCTATGTTATCTTCTAGAGAAGTCAAGTATCTGTATATGCATTATTCTGTTTCTGGACTGTATATTCTGTTCCATTGTTTCTACTTATGGTTACTTGTGCACTGCATTAAAAAAGTCTTAAGGTTTAGTGTCAAGTTATCCTAATATTTTTCTTTTGAAAAGAGTGTCATGGCCATCCCTGGCCCTTCACGTTTTTGTAGAAATTTTAGAATCAGCTGTCAGTTCCCCACACAAAAATATGGTCACATTTTAATTCTATTTGCACTGAACCAATGTATCAATTTGAGAGAGGACTAACCTCTTTACACAATGTTGAGTCTTCCAGTACGTGAACACAATATATCTTTCCATTTATTTGAGACTTCTTTAATTTCTTTCAATGTTTATAGTTTTCTGGTTACATATTTTCTGCATCTTTTGTTAGATTTATTCCTAGGTTTTTTTTTTACATTATTTTAAATGTTGTTTATTTTTTGCTTTCATTTTATGTTAGTGTTGCTATATAGCAATTTTTTTTTTTTGAGACAGTGTGACGGTCTCACTCTGTCACCAAGGCTGGAGTGCAGTGGTGTGATCTCAGCTCACTGCAACCTCTGCCTCCTGAGTTCGAGCAATACTCCCACCTCAGCTTCCTGAGTAGCTGGGACTACAGGCATGTGCCACCATTCCTGGCTAATTTTCATATTTTTTTGGTAGAGATGGGGTTTCACCATGTTGGCCAGGCTGGTCTTGAACTCCTGACCTCAAGTGATCCACCCACCTTGGCCTCCCAAAGTGCTGGGATTACAGGAATGAGTCACCGCACCTGGCCGGCAATTGATTTTTGTTTGTTGATTTTATATTCACTAATATAGTAATTACACTTACAAATTCTAATAATTATAGATTCTTTTAGATTTTTACATCTATAATATCATATGCAAGTAATGATAGTTCCTTTTCTAACTCTACATGTAAGCTGTATATTGGCTTTTTTTTTTTTGTCTTATTTCACTGGATCTTCAGTACAGTGTTGAATATAAGTGATGATAATGGCATCCTTAACTTGTTCCCAATCTGAGAGGCAAAGCTTGCAGCATTTTACCATGAAGCATGCTGTGGCTGTAGATTAAAAAAATATAATAGAAACTGTCCCTTCTCGGGGGTCATGATGGGCAGCAAGATGCATCTGCTAGCAGTGTCGTTCAGGTAGTCAAGCCACATGCTCCATTAATAAGCTTCCCTGCTGGAAGAGACAATCCTAAACCCAATGTACCAGAAGCTCTGAGATCAGCAGGGCAACCATCTCACGATTCTGCAATTTCCCAGCATTCTAAGGGAAGTAAATTACTGGATTTGTGGATGTACCAGACACTGCAGAAGTAATGAAAACATTACCTCAGAAATATAGAAGTAAACTTGTGTCTCAAGAAGAAATTGAATTTGTCCATTGTGGAGATCCAGAATAATCACTGTGGCTGCTGTTTGTCATCAGACAAAAGAATTACCTTTACAATAAAGGACTTCCAAAAAAAAATAGACTGTTTTTTAGAGCAATTTTACTTTTAAAGAAAAATCAAGCAGAAAGTATGGAGAGTTTCCATATTTCCCTCTCCTGCTAATGGTACATTTGTTACAACTGATGAATCAATGTAGGAGTGTTACATTATTACTAACTAAAGTCCATACTTTACATGATGGTTAGGTCTGTGTTGTACAGTTCTACCGGTTTTGAAAAATGCATAATGTCATGTATCTACCAATATCATACAGAATAGTTCACTGCCCTGAAAATCTCCCTGTGCTCCCCCATTCGTCCCTTCCCCTTTCCTCCTCTCAGCCCCTGGAAACCACTGATCTTTTCACTATTTCTGTAGTTTTGACTTTTCCAGAATGTCACATAGTTGGAATCATACAGTATGTAGACTTTTCAGACTGACTTTTTTCACTTAGCAATATGCATTTAAGGTTCCTCTGTGTCTTTTGTGGCTTGAGAACTCATTTCTTTTTATCGCTGAAATGTGTATTCATTCATTTATTGAAGGACATCTTGGTTGGTTCCAATTCTTGGCAATTATGAATAAAGCTGTTATAAATATTTGTTAGCACGTTTTGTGTGGACAACTTTTTAAAAAGATACATTTTATTAGATTAGGAGAGTTCCCTTTTACTCCTAGTTTACTGAGATTTTTTGTCATGAATGGATGTTGGACTTTATCAACTGTTTTTTTTCTGCACTATTGAGATAATCATATAACGTTTATCCTTTATTCTGTGAACATGGTGAAGTACATTGACTGATTCTTTAAAAAATGTTCATAACAGCCATTGATTGATTTTTGAATGTTAAGCTACCCTTCCATTCCTGAAGTAAATCCCAATTGGTCGCATTTTATTTGCTTTTAAATATATTGCAGGATTTGCTTTGTTACTATTTTGTTTAGAATTCTTTGTATCTATGTTCATGAATAAAATTGCCCTTTAATTTTTTTCTTTTCTATAATGTTCTTACTAGGTTTTGGTTTTGTGGTTTTTCTAGTCTCATACAATGAGTTGGGAATTGTTCTCTGTTTTCCTTCTTTCTGGATGATATTGTATAGGATTGATATTATTTCTTAAATATTTGGAATAATTCAACAGTAAAGCCTTCCAGACTTGAAAATTTCCTTATAGGCAGATCTACAGTTCTAGAATATTGATTTGGTTCTCTTTTCCAATTTATAGTTCTCTACCACAATTCTCAGTTTAAAATAATTTCCTTAAACATATTTAGAATAGTTAAAGTCTGATAACTAGTATCTGGATCTTCTGTGATTCTGTTTCTGTTATCTGTTGTTTATTTTGGTTTTTAATCATGTTGCCTTGTCTTTTCATGTGCTGGTTATTTCCTTTCATTTGCAGAATATTGTGTTTTAAAAATTGTGGAAATATTTTGAGACACAAGATGATGTTATTTTCCTCTAGAGAAGAATTTCACTTGCTTATATAATTTGAAGCAGGATTCAGTCCATGCAAGAGCTGGACTATTTCTTGTTTATTCTTATTCATAGGGTACAGACCTATGAGGTCCCAACCCAAAGGACTAGAGGTTTACTAGGCCTTCCTCTTCTTGGAAAATCGTAAATTCAAACTTTTGTCACTCTAGCCCTCAAAACTATTGAAAAGCCCTTCTCTTTAAGGTTAAGGGGTAAGTGAGTTGCTATGGCTATACCCTTATCAAAAAGTAGCGTGAAGGATCCTTGTGGTGATGGATCTGTTCTGTATCTTGAGTGGCGTGGTGGGTACATGAATTTACACATGATAAAATAGCATAGAACTAAATACACGCACACACACACACACACACACACACACGAATGCATGTTAAACTAGAATAAGGTTGGTGGATTGTATCAATGTAAATTTCCCAGTTGTGATATTATATTATAATTATGCAAGACATTCCTACTGGCAAAAAAGGATGACGAATATATGGGAAATCTCTGTATTATTTCTTTTTTTATGGTGTAGAAAGTATATATATATAACATTAAATTTACCATTTTAACCATTTTAGGTGTTCAATTCAGTGGCATTAAGTAAATTCACAATGTTGTGCAACATCACCACTATCCATTTCCAGAACATTTTCATCATCTCAAACAGAAACTCTGTACCCATTAAACAATAATTCCCTGTTCCCCCCACCTCCAGTCCCTGGTAACCTCTATTCTACTTTCTGTTTCTATGAATTTGCCTATTTTAGGTACTTCATGTAAGTGGGGTCATACAATACTTGTCCTTTTGTGTCTGGCTTATTTCACTTAGCATAATGTTTTCAAAGTTCATCTATGTTGTAGCATGTATCAGAATTGCATTCCCTTTTAAGGTTAAATAATATTCGATTGTATACACACACACACACACACACACACACACACACAATATTTGTTTATTCATCTGTTGATGGATACTTGGGTTGTTTCCATCTTTGGAGTATTATGAATAATGCTGCTATGAACATTGGCATACAAATATCCAAATTCCTTTTTTTAGTTCTTTTAGGTATATATCTAGAAGTGGAATTGCTAGATCATGTAATTCTGTGTTTAACTTTTTGAGGAACAACCAAACTATTTTTCTACGGTGGCCACAGCATTTTTCTACCATCAGCAATGCACAAGAGTTCCAGTTCTTCACGTTTTTACCAACATTTGTTATTTTCTGGGTTTTAAAAAAATAATAACCATCCTAATGGGTGTGAAGTGATATCTCATTGTGGTTTTGATTTGCATTTTCCTAATGACTAATGATGTTGAGCATATGTTTAAGTAGTTAGGGAAAAACTTGCCCCAGTATCCAGTTGGTTTCTGTGGGTTTCCTTTTCATCCCAAACCTGGCCCCTTTGTTCTTCACTGTCTTTTTAGCTCACCAGTGCCTTCAGGCAGCTGTTTTAAACATTTTGTCCATAATTTCTAGTTGTTTTCAATGGGGTAGTTGATCCATATAATGTAATCTACCATTATTTGAAGCGTCTTTTGGGTTAGCTATGGTTTTGCAAGAGAAAACAATTGTAAATATAATTAAAAGTCATTTTTAAAAAGTTGGTAACTTCTGAAGCCATGGTGACCTTTTATAAAAAAAAAAGCTAATAACTTTATGAATCTTAAGAATAGCACTAAATCTTTACTCACTAAAAATATTTCTGCATGCTACAGAGATCATATAGACTAGGTATATGGGAGGAAATGGTGCAGTTTGTTCTCCATCCTACAGTATTTCAGAGAGGAAAATGGGCTTAAAGCACTTACTGTCAGGAAAAACACACTTACTTTATTTGGGTCTCCTGCTTAAACATCATCTCTATGGAGAAGCTGTGTTGGGAGTTCCCAGGATCACCCCTAGGTTTGATAATTCATTAGGAGGATTCATAAGACTCAAAATAGGTCAGGCGAGGTAGCTCACGCCTGTAATTCCAGCACTTTGGGAGCCCAAGGCAGGAGGACTGCTTGAGCCCAGGAGTTCGAGACAAGCCTGGGCAACATAGTGAGATACCATCTTTATTAAAAATTTTTAAAAAGACTCTATATAGTCATACTCATGACTCATGATTACAGTAAAAGGATACAAAGCAAAATAAGCAAAAGGAAAAGGCACATGAGATGAAGTCTAGAGGAAACCAGGTACATGCTTCCAAGAGTCCTTTCCCAGTAGAGTCACAATGGACATGCTTAATTCCTCCAGGAACTAGTGACAACATGTGTAAAATGTTGTCTGCCAAAGAAACCCACCCAAGCCTGCTTGTCCAGGGTTTTTATTGGGGATGAATCATATAAGCATAAAACCCCTACATGATGACCCTCAGTTACTGATGTTCCAGATCCTCAAGGGAATGGAGGTGTTCATTATAAATCACATTGTTAGCATAAACTATCTGGACAAACTACTGCAGAGTCACTTAAGGACTGGCACATGCAAGAACACTCTTATCAGACAGAACATCCCAAGAGCTCAGTTCCCAGCAACCAGCCCAAGGTCAGTCATGAAAACAAGTCTTTCTTGAAATAGTGCAGGGTTTGAGCAACCCAGGCTTACTAAGTTGATCCTTTTCCACACAGAGGTCTACCTGATCAAATCTGAAGAAGGAAAGCACCCTTTGTTACTCTCTAGTTTCTTACTCTTTGTTATATAATCATTTGTTTATTTGATGCTAATTAAATAACTTTTTTTTTTTTTTTTTTTTTTTTTTTTTGTGACGGAGTTTCACTCTTGTTGCCCAGGCTGGAGTGCAATGGCATGATCTCGGCTCACCGCAACTTCCACCTTCCAGGTTCAAGTGATTCTCCTGCCCCAGCCTCCCGAGTAGCTGGGATTAGAGGCATGAGCCACCATGCCCGGCTAATTTTGTATTTTTAGTAAAGACAGGGTTTCTCCATGTTGGTCAGGCTGGTCTTGAACTCTAGACCTCAGGTGATCCGCCTGCCTTGGCCTCCCAAAGTGCTGGGATTACAGGAATGAGCCACCGCACCTGGCCACAAATATTTTATAATTTTTAAATTTCTTTATTATCATTCCTCCACTAGAATATAAATTATATGAGGCCAAAGACTTTGCTTTATTCATGACTGTATCTCCAGTGTCTAAAACTGCTTGGGCTATAGTAGGTACTCAACAAATATTAAGTAGATGAATGAATGGAAATTATCATTTATTTAAATATTTAGGAATGCCAATGATGTTGACTGGATCTAAATTATTGGGACATACTGTTACCATATGAATGACAATTTTCATCTCTTTCTTCTTCCCAAACAGGTCCATAATTCAGCAGCCAAATCTTTCCCTCGAAGGTTTGTTTTGCCTTTAAATGTCAGTTTGAATGCCCCTGAGGGAGACAACCTGAGTCCATTGTCCTATACTTCAGCCAGTGCTGTGAAACAGGCTGATGGAACGGTATGCTATGAACAGACATTAGACTAAGACTTTGAACTTTAATGGTGTTACTTTATTCTTTAGCTGTTTTCCAAAATGTCTGGTACCCAATAACTTTTATAACATTCATCCGAGCAGGTTAAGGTTATGTAACATCGCTTGCACAAGAATTGCAGAAACAGTGGGAATGAACACAGTGTTTATCTATCCTTCCTGTGCTTTGAAACAGAGATATGGAACTGTCTAATGGTTGTGGAATGTCTATCCATTTGAGCTTGGCATTAGCAATCCCCACCTTTTATTTTTTATTTATTTTTATTTTTTGAGATGGAGTCTTGCTCTGGCGCCCAGACTGGAGTGCAGTGGTGCTATCTCGGCTCACTGCAGCCTCTGCCTCCTGGGTTCAAGCAATTCTCCTGCCTCAGCCTCTCGAGTAGCTGGGACTACAGGCACCTGTCACCACGCCCGGCTAATGTATTTGTATTTTTAGTTGAGATGGGGTTTTGCCATGTTGGCCAGGCTAGTCTCGAACTCCTGACCTCAGGTAATCCGCCCGCCTCAGCCTCCCAAAGTGCTGGGATTACAGGCTTGAGCCACCGCGTCCAGCTGCAATCCCCACCTTTTAGATAATATGTGCTTAGCACAGACCTATCATTGTGTAGCTGTCAATGCCTTAGCTTTAGAAGAATAAAACGCATATCTCCACCTCCTATGTCATTTGACAGCTTATTAATAAAACTTGATAATCATTATGCATCCACACATATGATGGAAAGAGGAACAATATTAAAACATGACATAGAACCTCAGTTCCCAAGCCCTGTCACAAACCTTTATAGGGTATGAGGCTCCTCACTGACCTACATAAGAGGAAAATAAGAATTAAGCAACCACTACAAATCCTTTTGAAATCTCTTTTAGATCTGGTGCTCTCATGAAAATCTACATCAGGAGGACCTAGAAAAGGAAGGAGGCATTGAATTTCCTCAGATCTACTATGATCGATTCAGTGGCAAAAAGTATCATTTCTTTTATGGCTGTGGCTTTCGGCATTTAGTGGGGGATTCTCTGATCAAGGTTGATGTGGTGAATAAGACACTGAAGGTGATGAAAAACTCTTTCCTTTTTGAACTTTTCAGAGACCTGTTCTTCCCTTTGAATTAGTTTGTTTTATTTAAAGTAGCTCTTAAGATTCTTCAGTATTTAAGCAGCTGAGCCATTTTCTTTTATTTGAGAACTATGAAATCATCTAAGTTAGGGGTATGTTCCTTCTAGGGAATCCAAATTGACCCCAGGCCCAGCAAAATAATTCTATGTTTGATTTTGATGTTATTTTGGGAGCAATTGTGGGGTTAGGGTTGTTAGGACACCTATATTTAAAGTTGATGGCAAATTATAGTTACACAAATTGTGTTTGATGGTGATGGAATCTGGGACTGCAAAGACTCCCTCTCTTTCTCCCATATTCAACTCAGTAGGCCTGATTCTTTTACTTTTGGAATATTCTATTGACAGCCTGTGTTAGTCTGTTCTGTGTTGTTATAAAGAAATCCCCGAGGCTGGATAATTTATAAAGAAAAGAGGTTTAGGCTGGGTGTGGTGGCTCACGCCTGTCATCTCAGCACTTTGGGAGGCCGAGGGGGATGGATCACAAGGTCAGGAAATCAAGACCATCCTGGCCAACACGGTGAAACCCTGTCTCTACTAAAAATACAAAAATTAGCTGGGCGTGGTGGCACATGCCTGTAATCCCAGCTAATTGGGAGGCTGAGCCAGGAGAATCACTTGAACCCAGGAGGTAGAGGTTGCAGTGAGCTGAAATTGCGCCACTGCACTCCAGCCTGGCGACAGTGCGAGATTCCGTCTCAAAAATCAAAACAAAACAAAACAAAAAAACAAAAAAAAACAAAAAAAAAAGGAAAAAGAAAAGAGGCTTATTTGGCTCATAGTTCTGTGGGATGTACCAGCATGGTACCAGCATCTGCTCAGCTTCTGATGAGGCCTCAGAAAGCTTAGAATCATGGCAGAAGGCAAAGAGGGAGCCTCATGCCACATGGTGAGAGAGTAGGAGCAAGACAGAGAGGAGGAGGTGCCATGCTCCTTTAAAACAACTACCTCTCAGACGAACTAATAGAGCGAGAGCTCACTTGTCACCAAGGGGATGGTGCTAAGCTATTCATGAGGGACTGGCCCCCATCACCCAGCACTTCCCACTAGGCCCCACCTTCAGCACTGGGCTCAGCACTCCAGCATGAGCTTTGGAGGGGACACACATCCAAACTACATCACAGCCAAATTCATGCTTGGAGTGACAAAAGCCATAGAAAGCTCCCTACTTACTACTTGCCTTTTATCAAATGCTTTTTTTGGGACTTGCAGGTTTGGAGAGAAGATGGCTTTTATCCCTCAGAACCTGTTTTTGTTCCAGCACCAGGAACCAATGAAGAAGATGGTGGGGTTATTCTTTCTGTGGTGATCACTCCCAACCAGGTAAATATATTTCCCTATCACCAGTCAGAAAGAAAAGTAGCACTGAGTCATCTGATAAATCAAGGATGCACACTCATCTGTCGATAGTTTACTTTGATTCCTTTTCCCTTCTCTTCCCCTCCTTACTATTTACATACCCTTTTATCTCAATCCATATTTTATTGTTTTAAAGTTCTGTTTGGAAGGCCATAATAACAATTTGTATTTGCAAAGGAATTTGTTATTTACGAACTACTTACACATATTTAGTTATCAAAACAACTTTGTGGGATACCATTTTATACATGTGGAATTTGTAAAGTAAACAAGTTGAAGTAGACTTGCATCAGATCTCCTGGTGGTAAAGCCAGTATTTAAATCCAAGTCTTTTGACTTCCAGTCTAATGTTTATATCATCATGTGTGCTGCCAATTTCAATGAACTGACCTCCAAGTCCAATGTCATCAGTCCTGGTCCAGTGTCCCAATAACACTATGCACTATCTGACTTCTTGTCTAGGGCAATCTTATGGCAAATAGGTTCACTTTGAGTATCAACTTTGATTAATTATTAGTGGCTGCCTGGGGTGCAGGGCTCTGAGGCCTTTTAAGGGTTCAGTAAGAAAGGCTGTGATCAATTAGCGATATCTGCCATGGGCTTTAGGAGGACTTTGTCCTCATGCCATGCACTTGCCATTCCTGGAATTAGATTTGGCAGATCTCAATCTGCCTTGCAATGCTGGCCTTTAAACAGCTCCAAAGTAACACAAAATGGAGGCATTTCTAACTTGGAAGAAAGAGTTTCTGTCTTTTAGAAGATTGGAAAGGCACAAGCAAAAATATTAAACTCAAAGAAATTCTGTGAAGGTGATTGATAGAAACAACTTAATTTCTTTGCTGTAGGTATGAACTTCTTTAGCCATGATATCCTTTCCAGTCCAGTTCAGCAACTGAGGAAACAATTTGTGAGTGTATAGGTGAGGCACTGTGCTAGGTTCTGGGGAGAGGTATGAAGATGTGTAAGACATGGTCTTGCTCTTTCTTTCTCTCTCTCTCTTTTCTTTTCTTTTTAAAGACAGGGTCTCGCTCTGTCACCCAGGTTGGAGTGCAGTGGCACAGTCTCAGCCCACTGCAACCTCTGCCTCCCAGGCTCAAGCGATCCTCCTGCCTCAGCCTCTGAGTAGCTGGTACTACAGGTGTGCACCACCACGCCTGGTTAATTTTTGTATTTTTTATAGAGATGGGGTTTTGCCATGTTGCCGAGGCTGGTCTTCAACCATGATCTCAAGCAATCCACCCACCTCGGCCTCCCAAAGTGCTAGGATTACAGGTGTGAGCCACTGTGCCTGACCAACATGGTCTCTCCATTAGGAATTTTACAGCTTAGTGGAGGAGACAGGCAAATTTTTGATGAAAAAAAGATAATTTTCAATATTGTCTTTTCTTTTCTAGAATGAAAGCAATTTTATCCTAGTTTTGGATGCCAAGAACTTTGAAGAGCTGGGCCGAGCAGAGGTACCTGTGCAGATGCCTTATGGGTTCCATGGTACCTTCATACCCATCTGATGGGACAACCACAAGGTCTGGAAACTAGGTTTAAAATAAGTGTGCACTTGGACATAAAGACTGGAGAAATAAACACTGAGGACTCCAAAAGGGGGGCAAGGAGGAAGAGGGGCAGGGGTTAAAAAGCTACCTATTGAATACTATGTTCCCTATTTGGGTGATGGGTTCGTTAGAAGTCCAAACCTCAGCAGCACACAATATACTCATGTAACAAGCCTGCACATGTACCCCAGAATCTAAAATAAAAATAAAAAGAAAAACAAAGAATGTACTCTATACAAAAGACAGAGCATAAAGGGCACCGTACCTCCCAAACCAATGTCCCAAATAGACATTTAGTTTAAAAATTTCTGTTAAAAACAGAATTCACTATTTCCTTGCCACTGCCAAGTCACGCCATGGCAGAGGCTCGAGTGCATACAAGCTTCGGTTTTACCCTTAATACACCATCATGACCAATGGAGGCATTGCTGCTGGAGGTGTCATGGCCATTAACACTACTTTATAAGAGGTGCGGAAGACTGCCCTCACTCATCATGGCCTAGCATGTGCAATTTGTGAAGCTGCCAAAGCGTTAGACAAGCACCAAGCCCACTTTTGTCTGCCTGCACCCAACTGCAATGAGCCTATGTATGTCAAGTTGGTGGAGTCCCATGGTGCTGAACACCAACTCACCCTAATTAAGGTTGATGACAACAAGAAACCAGAGGAATGGGTAGGCCTCTGTAAAACTGAGAGGGAAACCCCCGAAAAGTGGTTGGCTGCAGTTGTGCAGTAGTTAAGGACTAGGTCAAAGAATCTTAAGTCAAGGATGTCATCGAAGAGTATTTCAAATGTAAGAAATGAACAAATAAAACTTTGGCACTCATGTTTCTTAAGAAAAAACACCACAAAGCAGAATTCATAATATAACTATGGTTATAGATATTTATTTTTTAGGGCTCTTACTTGAAATAATTAAGAAAGTATTGATACAACCTTTTGAAGAGGGTTTTAAATTTCATTTATTGGATATATCTTCCTCTAGGTAATAATAAGAATACACGAAATAAAAATTCATGTATTTTGGTCATTACTGCAAGAATTAAAGAAAGAGGAAAGAAACATGAAAGGTGGCTTGCCAGTTAAGACAGGTTTATTTTAGAAAAAACAAACCCGAGAGGAGCCTTTTGGCTGAGTTAGATTAGAGGCACACTTTTTTACAGACTAAGAGTTTTTAAGGATTCAGGGTGGGAGAGTTTATTAGAGGCTTGGACTGCTTCTGTGTTTCTTTGTTGTGTTTATTTGGGAGGGAGAGTTGTGTGTTTGTTCCCATACATATTTTTTTGCAGCTGCAGGCATACCCCCCAAAGTCTGCTTTTAGCTTCCCTATCTTAGTGCACCTGAAGGGAGAGGAATGTCCTTATTAAGGCCCACTGTTTCACTGGGGCCCATTATATGAGGGTGAAATTTGGCAGTTACCCAAGAGACTTTCCCCCTACTTCCCTCTGTGCCCGTGCTGTTTTATTTGTGTTTTACTGTCTGCTTTTTCTGTTTGCTTGTAGTTAGAAGAGAAGTGATTTCCTTGAAATGCATGAGGCTAGAAAGGGAGCTGGAACTTAAAGTGGCGGTTTGTCCAAAATAAAGATGCTCCTGCTCTGTCAATTACCATCATCGGATAGGTGGATGACAGAGGTCCTAGGAGAAGAAATACAAATGATCATAGATAGTAGACTTTGAATACAAATCTGAAAAGCACCTTGTTCTTTCCATCACAGTCTGCCTGTTACCATTGGTCCTAAGGTACTCAGAAGACAGGAAGCTGGCTATATCCTGCATGGAGGCTTCTTCTAAACTGTTTTTTTCTCTGCTGTCCACAGCAGATGCTACTGCAATTGCACAACCCTCCTATGGACCACCCACTACCCCCACCCCACCCTCAGCTCGGCTTTGGGAGCTTATTTTGAGGAACATCACTAAAATCAGGCATTTATTCTAATCTCTACGTGTATAGTTCTCAGGGATGGATGACAAGCCAGTAGTGCTTCATTTAATTGGACAGCAGGTGGCACTAGAGACCATATAATCTTCACATTTCTAAACCCTGCCTGATCTTACCAACAGCCGTAGGCAGGCAAGGTCTGTCACTTAAACGACACTCTTGCCAACACCCCCAAAATCCCTTGTTCCCTTTTCCTTCAGTTACACTCCCTTCCCTCTGCTGAACACCATTCCAGGACCAGTTAAACTGTTTATGCTCCTTCCACATGGTGAATGCTCTGGAGAAGACCCCCAGACATACAATATGTGGCACCTGTGAACTCATGGTTAGGCTCTCTGCACCGTCCTGGACTAACATAGTTTCCTGTCTAATTTTCCTTAAGAGTCACTTCAAACTTCACAGACCCCATCTTCTTTAGTGATGTGTTCCATACATGCAAATGCCATGCGTGGAGCTTTGCACTGTGGCAATAAAGTAAAAGGGCTGAGTTCCATGTCTGGGTTTGTGAGATGCAGAACACAGCAGCAGGTTTAGAATGGCAAGAAGATGCCTAAACAGAACTAATGCAGCAGATGCAGGAGCAAAGAGCCTCAGGTAACCATGAGAGTGTAAGTCCCCCAGTGTTTCCTTTCACAGAAGTCCCTGAAAAGGCATTCATTGTACTTCCTCAGACAAAACATGGAGATTTGATTGATCTTCCTAGATCTGAAGGGTGAAGGAGACTCTGGATGACCTCTGGCAAGTCCATAGATCTGTCACATCTTTCCTCTGTTTATAAATCTCTATCTTAATACACAGGGAATGAAGTTCAGACATATGAAGGATAGCAGTATAATCATAAGATTTTGACCTAAGGATACCTGAATTCTGCCTTGGCTCTGCTCTGCTCTCTGTTTCTTGAAGGAGAACACAAAAAAGGATCAGTGGCATGTTATAATCTAGGCATATATGCCTGGTAATCCAAGGGAGAAAGTTCTGGTAAAATTGAGTGAGCATATGACCAAGGCCCAAAGCATAGGCTGGGCCTCTTCCTCTGCCTAAGCCCAACTCTTACCACTAGCCAGTGTCTGAGGATTCAAGGAAAGGGAGTAAGTGGTGCACAATTGAGGGGAAAAGGAAGAGGCAAATGGGCAGGTTGGGTCCTCCACAGGAGGCAAGCAGTAGGAAAACGTATGAACCAGCCAGCTAGGCCTCCTTGGGGCAGGGTGGGAGTAGGGGAGAGCTTTGGCTTGATTTTTTTTTTTTTCCTCTGAGCATAGCTCTGGAGAGTAAGCAACACCATGTGTGGTACTTCTAACACATTGTAGGCCTGCCTGTGAGTCAACAAGGCCCAACCAGTGCCTGGAAATGTGATTTAAGCAGATGAAAATTCCCTTTTTGTGGGGAGCTACAAGGGAGATAAGGGGGTGAAACCTCCTTTCGTTTATACTTAAATGACATTCAAGGCCTTTCAATAATTTGGTCCCCAATCAATGTTTCCAGTCTTACCTCTCACCTATCTCCCCATTGTAGCCAAGAACTCTTCAATATGCAGTAAACAAGCTGTACTTTTCCACATTTCCTTTGCTTACATTCTCTTCCTGGAATTCCCTTATCTACCTGGTGAATCTTAAAATCCAGCTCAAAAGTCATCTCTTCTTTGAAGCCTTCTTTTACTTCCTGAGGGAGAATTAGTGTTTTTTTTCTTTTTTAGTTTGTCATGATTTATTTCTGTGTTTAGCTCCCTCACTAGCTTGAACTGTATGAGGACAGGAAACGTGTTTATTATTCATACTGCGCCCCTGGCACTTAGCAGTGCACTTGGCATTCATTAGATGTTAAATAAACACTTTTTTTTTAACTTAATAAGTGAATGAGGACCAGAAGGTGATAGATATGGGGCCTACCTTGCCAATATATGTCCATTGGAGTACCTTATGGGATCTTTTTTTTGGTGGGGGGGCTTGGGGGTATTTATTAAGTGATGCTTTAGTCTCAGTCTCTGCCAGCAACTGGGGTGTGGGTTGACTCCACTCGCCCCAGGATTTCCCAGACTTGCTGTTTTAGTGGAGAGAGGCAGGAAGCCAACTATCCTCTAAGCCCCAGCTTGGGAAGCTAGGCTAGTACTGGGGTGGGGGCAGCAGAGCTGAGACCCTCCACCCCCACCCCCAGCCCCCAGCCTCCCAGCCTGAGGGGGAGGAGCTGAGGCAATTTTGGCCGCAGCCTCCCACACACAGCCCTGCCCTTGGTGCGCCATTCACTGCCCTGAGTTATTCATGATCTCTGCTCCCACATATTCACCTTGACACTCCAAAAGCCAGCCCCACACCCAGCCCCTTCAGGTCTTTAGTCCTGGGGAGAGCAAAAGGAGGGACAGGGGCCCTTTGACTGAGCAGCTTCAAGGGGCCTCTCCTTTCTGTTACCCACTGAATGCCAGCCCCTTGTCTTCAGCCCTCCCTTAGATAGGAAGGAGGGTGGTGGCCTCAGACTGCACCCCCTTTCTTCTTCTTCTCTTCCTGGCATCCCATTCTGTCCCAGCACAGCAGCCAAGAGCACAAAGCACAGCACCTGTGAGGCTGGTGGGCACAGGAGCCCGTGCTGGCACAGGCCAAACTGCCTGCAGCCCTAGGTGGGGCCTGCTCCTGCCCTAGAAGCTAGACAGAGGGAGACAGAAAGCAGAAGTGGGGCAATGGGATGTGCGGCCCCTGTGGCAGGAGGAGGAGCACACGAACCCTGACCCTGCTTCTTGGTGCAGGCCACTCCAGGCCTTGCTTCTGTAAGAGACTCTGTGGCTGGCTCCAGAGCTGCCCGGCCCCCATAAAGGGGGCTGAAAGGAGGATGGGTGGTCCTTGAGGAGGGGAAGGGTCTGCAGAGAATCGCTCAGACACCAGGTATTACCCAGCTATTCCCCCAAGACCTGGAGGGTCCAAACTCCTGGCCCCAACCACCTGCATCTTGGGTGAGGAAGAAGGGCCTCTTCTGCTGTTCCTTCCCCTCAGAGATCCAAGAACCCACTCCAGTGAAATGCAGGTACCCATGCCTGCCACCTGCCCCTGGAGACAGCAGGGGAGTTGAGGCAGGAAGGCTGGCCAGGGGCCCTTATGGGATCTTTTAGTAGAAGCTAGCCTTCTGAGACAACGCAGCCAAGCACAAGCCAGTAAATGTTGCAAGAGTGAAGGGAGAACTATACCTAAATGGCTGTTGATCTCAAGGCACTGAAAGCTAAGTTAAGAGGAATGTTATTTGCTTATTGGTTAGTGTGTTAGTCTGCTAGGGCTGCCATAACAAAGTACCACAGAGGTCTTAACAGAAATGAATTGTCTCACAATTCTGGAAGCTAGAAGTCTGAAATCAAAGTTGGTTTTTTCCTTCTGAGGGCTTTGAAGAAAGATCTGTTCCAGTTCTCTCTCCTGGGCTTGGAGATGGTGTTGTCTGTGTCTTCACATGATCTTCCCTCTGTATGTGTCAGTTTTTGAGTCCAAGTTTCCCCTTTCTACAAGAACATTAGTCATGTTGGATTAGGTCCCATCCTAAACACCTCATCTCAATACGTGTGCAACAATCCTATTTCCAAACAGGTTAAACTTCAACTCTGCAAATGCAGTGAAATATTTTACTAAAACAAACAAGTATTATTAATAAAAATAATTTTGCAGAAATTTCTCTTACTCTTTCACTTTATTTTGATTCTTTAAGCTGGTTTTGGAATGAGCAACTATTTGTGTAACCACTGACTGTTAGAGAGTATTTATCACTGAGGCAGTCCATACCTGGGAAATAATGTTTCTGTTCTGAGTGATCTCGCAATAGTAATTCACTTATCTGTGGCTGTATTTTCTTATCTGTAAAGTGAAAGTATTGAACTAAACAGTCTCTATCTCGAAAATCTCTAAATGTTATTTGAAGTTTTTTCTTTACAGTACAATGGGGTAGATGAGACAAACATCTGAAAATGTATGGAGAGTGTTTGCTAAATAACCTGTTAGTAGTTTAATGCAGAACAAACAGAATATATAGCTGTAAATAGGAGATATTTGAGGGAAATCACCATTTGAGCTTATTTCTATCGCCCCCATGATTTTATCTTTCTTTTTACAGGAAACTTTTCCAAGCCTGTTATTAATCAGTGACTTGTCCTGCTTTTCATCATATACAGTGATGATTTTTCTCATATAGAGTGGAGCTGTCCTCTCCAGTACCTGGAACAATGCCAGCCACATAGTAGATGCCCAATAAATATTTAGTGAAAGAGTGAATGGAAGCAAGAGGTGACATGATTCTGGGAACTGTGTGTAGTTTGGTTACTCTTGTGAGTAGATGTGAGGAAACAAGATCCTTTCACTCTCAATGTGTCTACACTGGCAGAAGAATTGCTAATATGTGTTTAGGGGTGTCTGTATTCACACTATGCCAACCCAGAGTAATAAATGGGTCCATACATGCTTGTGGATAAGAATGGCTTTAGAATTTCCCTTAGTAAGGATCATTACACAACAGTCCAAAGGACTGTTGTCACGTGGTCCTATTTGTGCTCTCAAATTCTTGCTCTTTAAAAATTTTTTTTTAAAGAAACGGTATTAATCCTAAGCAAAAAGAACAAAGCTGGAGGCATCACGCTACCTGACTTCGAACTATACTACAAGCCTACAGTAACAAAAACAGCATGGTATGGGTACCAAAACAGATATATACACCAATGGAACACAACAGAGGCCTCAGAAATAACACCACACATCTACAACCATCTGATCTTAGACAAACCTGATAAAAACAAGAAATGGGGAAAGGATTCCCTATTAAATAAATGGTGCTGGGAAAACTGGCTAGCCATATGTAGAAAGCTGAAACTGGATCCCTTCCTTACACCTTACACAAAAATTAACTCAAGATGGATTAAAGACTTAAATATCAGACCGAAAACCATAAAAACCCTAGAAGAAAGCCTAGGCAATGCCATTCAGGACATAGGCATGGGCAAGGACTTCATGACTACAACACCAAAAGCAATGGCAACAAAAGCCAAAATAGACAAAAGGGATCTAATTAAACTAAAGAGCTTCTGTACGGCAAAAGAATCTACCATCAGAGTGAACAGGCAACCTACAGAATGGGAGAAAATTTTTGCAATCTACCCATCTGACAAAGGGCTAATATCCAGAATCTACAAAGAACTTAAACAAATTTATAAGAAAAAAAATCAAACAACCCCATCAAAAAGTGGGCAAAGCATATGAACAGACACTTCTCAAAAGAAGACATTTCTGCAGCCAACAGACACATGAAAAAATGCTCATCATCACTGGCCATCAGAGAAATGCCAATCAAAACCACAATGAGATACCATTTCACACCAGTTAGAATGGCGATCATTAAAAAGTTGGGAAACAACAGATGTTGGAGAGGATGTGGAGAAATAGGAATGCTTTTACACTGTTGGTGGGAGTGTAAATGAGTTCAACCATTGTGGAAGACAGTGTGACGATTCCTCAAGGATCTAGAACTAGAAATATCATTTGACCCAGCCATCCCATTACTGGGTATATACCCAAAGGATTATAAATCATGCTACTTTAAAGACACATGCACCTGTATGTTTATTGTGGCACTATTCACAATTGCAAAGACTTGGAACCAACCCAAATGTCCATTAATGATAGACTGGATTAAGAAAATGTGGCACATGTACACCATGGAATATTATGCAGCCATAAAAACGATGAATTCATGTCCTTTGCAGGGACATGGATGAAGCTGGAAACCATCATTCTCAGCAAACTATCACAAGGACAGAAAACCAAACACTGCATGTTCTCACCCATAGGTGGGAATCAAACAATGAGAACACATGGACACAGGGTGGGGAACATCACACACCGGTGCCTGTCAGGGAGTAGGGGGCTGGGGGAGGGATAGCATTAGGAGAAATACCTAATGTAAATGACGAGTTGATGGGTGCAGCAAACCAACATAACACATGAATACCTATGTAACAAACCTGCACGTTGTGCACATGTACCCTAGAACTTAAAGTATAATAATAATTAAAAAGAAAAAAGAAAAAGAGAAACGAGGGTCTTGCTCTATTGCCCAGGTTGGACTCCTGGGCTGAAGTGATCCCTCTCCTTCTCAATAGCTGGGGCTACAGGAGTGCGTCACCACGCCCGCCTGGCTCAATTCCTGCTCCTTTTGGTCTATAAAGCGGACTGTGGCCCTGGGGTTCATCCGATTGAGTCACCAGTCACTGGAGCTTTACAGGAGAGAGTGGGAGAGGAGGCTCAGAGAGGTCACTCAGGACCCAAAGTGTGCCCAGACGGGCCCTAACTACGTGGCGTGACCTCAGGCGGGGCAAACAGATCAAGGACACAGGGTCCCCACCCACCCTGACCACTCCAGGGTATGCTTAGGTATCCCAAATCTTGCTCTCCGAAGAGATTCAGATAGCGAGAGACACCCTTAACTGTCTCCCGAGGCCGGGATTGGCCAGAGCGGAAGCGGAGACGCACTTCCTAGGGGCGCGTCTGGCACGCACTGCGCAGCCGCGGTGGGAGGAGGCACCGGCCGCGCGGCGGGAGGAGGTGCCGGCCGAGCACCGCAGACAGCGCCGGGAAGATGAGCACGGAAGGTGGTGGCCGTCGCTGCCAGGCACAAGTGTCCCGCCGCATCTCCTTCAGCGCGAGCCACCGATTGTACAGGTAGGGTGTGCACACAGGTACAGCGGCGGGCGGTGGGCGCCGGGCCCCGGAACGTCACCGGGGCGGGGCCGGCGGGCGTGCTGACGTCGGGCCCGGGAGGGGCGCGGGGGCTGCTGGGGCGACGCGCGCTGGTCGGCTTCGTGGGGCTTCGGACGGCCTCCAGCATCCTGATGGGGGCTGGAGTGTCCCCAGCCCTGGAGGGGTGGGGGAGCTTGATGGTTAACGGAGCCGACTGCGGAGGGCGATGGCCCACGTCTGGGTGCGGGGCCCACACCCGGTTCTGCGACTCGAAGAAACGTCTCTGCCCCTAGGAGTCCCTTGGTGTAGACCACAGGGTTGCTGTGAAACTCAGCAGTGTTAAACTCGCCTATGTTACACAGTACCTGGCGCGGCGTAGACACTCAGTAAATGTTAGCTAATCTTGTATGCCAGGAGCATTGGCCACCATATCTAATGTAATTACAAGGCAAATTTTAGCCCCTTTTTTACCAAAGACTGGATGAACCCAGTCCCTGGTGGTCTAGTGGCTAGGAGAAAAAAAAAAAAAAATGAGCCCAGACGTTCAGTTTCCGAAGCAGCATAGTTGGGATTTGAATCCCGATCATACATACTGCTTGCATGCACTGACGAGTTGATTTTGAGGAATTTTACCACGCACTAACCAGCTCCACCCTCTGGCCCTCCGTATCGTCGTCTGTGAAATGAGGATGACCATCGCTATCTAACAGGATTCATCCCTCCATTCGCTAAACCAGGTTTTGTTTCGTGCTTGTCAGGGCTTGTGCTAGGTAACGGATGCATCAGGGATCTTGTATGGGGTTTCCAATCTGGCCTATTTTGTGGAGGGTACACTGAGAAAATTTTGTGCAAAAGACTTTAGCACTCTAAATACAAGAAGTGGCTGAGCAGGAGAAAGTGGGGGTGTGTTATTCCATTTTGCATTGCCACAAAGGAATACTGAGACTGGTATTTTATAAAGAAAAGAGGTTTATTTGGTTCTGCAGGCTGTACAAGAAGCATGGCACCAGCATCTGCTTCTGTTGAGGCCTCAGGGACCTTCCACTCATGGTGGAAGGCGAAGGGCGAGCAAGCAGGCAACTCACAGGGCAAGTGAGGGAGCAAGAGAGAGGAGAGGAGGTGCCAGGCTTTTTTTAACAACCAGCTCGCCCATTGACTAATAGAGCGAGAACTCACTCATTGCTTCAGGGAGGGCACCAAGCCATTCATAAGGGATCCACTTCCATGAGCCAAACATCTCCCACTAGGCCCCATCTCCAACACTGGGGATCACATTTCAACATGACAATTGGAGGGGACAAACATCCAAACTACATTGGGGGGAATAATAAAGAGGATCTCAAAAAAAAGGGGTTGTATAATAAGCTTAAACACCTGAGGGTGGTAAGGTCTCATAGACGATGCGAAATTGAATGGATGGGTATAAGTATAAACATTAAGCAATTTGTTTTCTGTCTGAGACGACAGCCAAAGATTGTAATTTTAAAAATTCACCTGCTTGGAATATTCCTCAACAGATTGGTAAAGTTCTCATGAGGCAGTAGTTGAGACATAGTATAAAGCAAGATTGCTAAATAGGAGACTTACCAGGTCATGTAATTTTTTTAAATTATTTTTTCTGGATGAGTAGTTTAGCTTCTGAGAGAAATGAGATAGTAAGCCACTTTGCGGATCACCATCTATGTTTATCATTATATGCTGTTATTTCATTCAGCACTTGCCTGTTACATTGTAGGCACTCAGTAATGTTGAATTGAAAAGTGGAAGGCCCATGAGCAGATCAGTTGCTGTGGAACAAGGGGGTTGAAGTTAAGGTTTGTTTGTGCTAATTTGTATGGTACAATCTTCTAATTAGGGAATATGCCATGGTTTGTGACGTATACGTAAGTAATAAAATCAACATGATTTCTGACTCTCCCTTTGGTGAGCTAAAGTAATAAATTGGGAAACTTTTCAAAGATCAGTACAAATAATAAATATAAGGAACAGAGAAGGGGGTTTGAATGTGATACTTGTGTCATGCTGACTTTTTTTTTTTTTTTTGGTCAGTAAATTTCTAAGTGATGAAGAAAACTTGAAACTGTTTGGGAAATGCAACAATCCAAATGGCCATGGGCACAATTATAAAGGTGAGAGAAAAACTGATGACATTTCAGCCCTTCAATAAGGATGAAAGAGTATTCAGCAAATGTAGACATAAAGAATGGGAAAACTTACGGACACAGTGTGAATGCTTTGAGCCTTGAATGAGAAATTAAATGGGAGTTCAGAATGAAAGGATCTGTTGTCTTGGTTGGGTGTGTGTTAAGTTTTACCTTGCAATGTCAACTCTTACAAACAGTCCAAAACAATGAATGGTTTAAAGCATTTTTCTTTGTCCTAGAGTACACAACAAGTTTCTTTCTGATTAGGTATGGCCAAGGCTAATGTTAAAATTAGATTTTATTCTTTGAGTAAATAATGACTGACAAAAGGGGAATGTTGCCTAGGAATGTAATGTATGGCAGAAAAATAGGTTTGGTCTAAAGCTTTGCCAGCAGTGTTCGAAGAAAGTAGGTAATTTGTTCAAGGATAAGAGACTTGATTCTTTGAGGTACAGCCTGCCTTAAAAAACAGGTACATAAGTCGTAGAGTATAAAACAGTATGTGGTGTGGTGGCATAAAAAAAAACAGACAAGGTGTCAGGAGATTAGGATTACTGGTTTAGCTACAGCCTCTTCCTTAATCTATGGTATCTCAGTCTCAGTGTACTCACTTACATGTAATATCTAATGGTATTTGTACAGAACTAAAATACATAAATTCATAAAAGTTATTAATGTGTAAAGCACTGATAAAGTTTTTTTTTGTTGTTGTTGTTTTTTTTTTTGAGATGGAGTTCCACTCTTTTTGCCCAGGCTGGAATGGTGTGATCTCCCGTCACTACAACCTCCACCTCCCAGGTTCGAGCGATTCTCCAGCCTCAGCCTCCCGAGTAGCTGAGATTACAGGCGCCCGCCACTATGCCTGGCTAATTTTTGTATTTTTAGTAGAGATGGGGTTTCACCATGTTGGCCAGGCTGCTCTCAAACTCCAGACCTCAGGTGATCTGCCCGCCTCGGCCTCCCGAAGTGCTGGGATTACAGGCTTGAGCCACCACGCCTGGCCAAGATTTTTCAAATGCTTCTCACAAGCACTTTTTAATTTACAAAGCATTACTTTAGACTTTGTATACATTCATGTGAGTAAGGGGACAAGAATTTAAGGCCCAGTAGTATTGCTTGTTCAGAAAGGTACTGCTCAGTATTGGACCAGCTTGCTGTGTAGCTGGACACCTGAAAGACATTTTCTACTTCTACAGGCAGAGACTGAGCAGCATCTTGATGCTCCCTAGTGCATTAACATAAGCAGAATTTACACCCTTTTCAGCCTTGGCCGAGTGCCTCTGCTTAGCCAACATTCCTACTAAGCTCCTTTGTCTCGATTGTGTCTTGCTTTGGTTGCTAAAAAAAAAATCTTAACTAAAATAACAGATGTTTTGGGGTAAATATTTAAGTATAGCTTTTGGGGACAGATCTAATAATTTATGTTGCCAACTTGTGCTTGTATGTTGCTAACTTGTGCTTGGATGTTGATCTGTTGAAAGTCATGCTGTTTTTTTTGTATTTTGTTTTCTTTCCATAGTTGTGGTGACAGTACATGGAGAGGTATGTGCAGAAAATATTTGTGTGGTTTTTGCAGATTGCTGGGCTCTCTTTCAGCCAGTGTGGTGGATTCTGTGTTGAAAACTGTTCCAGTCAGTATTGCTTCATTGTTGGCCCTTGTATATGTGTGTGTGGTGAGCTGCCGCCATTCCAGGCCTCTCCTCTACCAAAGTGTTGTCTTTAATATGCTGTATGTGGACAGGTAGAAGGGCTATACAATGAAAAGGATGCTTGAAGTACATGGTGCTTCCATGCTGAGGTCAATGATTATCTCTGGGATGAAGGCAAATGTGCAAATGTGGGCACAGTCTCTGCACATTGTACTGCCTTTAATAATTTGCCAGCCGTTTAATATGGAGAGCCTATCACAGTAATATTCACCTTTGTTTATTCTTTAGATTGACCCTGCTACGGGAATGGTTATGAATCTGGCTGATCTCAAAAAATATATGGAGGTAATGGCATGTTGGGTGCTTATTATGTGCTATTCCCTAACTGTAATATTTGGTGGCCCCCTATCTACCTCCCCAACCAGTTATCTCCTAAGGTTCCATGACTTTGTGAATAGAACTGGATGTGGGTGTTGGGGAATAGTTGGAAGAACTGCTCGCATGGCCTCTAAAGGTGTTTTGGTGACTTAACGGAAATTAGTCACAGTTGTGTTACAGCGATGGGAGGAAATATAACATGCTCACCTTGTATTCCTTGTTGGAATATCCTGATTTCCTTCAGTTAACAAATTCTCCATTTCTTTTAAGACATAGCTTTCTCCTTGAGACTTACTGTCTTTCTTTTTTTTTTTTTTTTTAAATAGGCACAGAACCAATGCAAACTTTTCTTTTTGGTAGAGGTAGGGGTCTCACTATGTTGTTCAGGCTGGTCTCAGACACCTCCTGCCTTGACCTCCCAAAGTGCTGGAATTACAGGCATGAGCTACTGCTCCTGGCCTTCTCCTTGGAGCTTTCTCTTCCCTCTCTGAATATTCCTTGTACCTTTGATCATAGATTTAGACACCACACTGTGTTGTTCATTCTAGCTTTATTATAAACTCACCAGAGCAGTACCTCATAGAGATAACACACAAGGTGTTCAATGAAGAACTTAACTGATTGTGTCATTATAGAATTCTTGCACTGTAAGAGACTTTGGAGATTATTCAGACCAACTTCTTCAACCCATAGATTAAGATTGAGAGATGCTGAACAGTTAACTGACTTGCCCCAGGTCATATGGCTAGTCATTTGCAAAGCTGGGAGTAGATTTCTTTCCTTCCAGCTGTTTTATTATGCTGTCATTTCACTTGCAGCTTAGGTTTGTTCTGAGATTTGACATTTGCTTGATTAAAATGATGTTATTAGTAATGATTACTTCTTTCACATTACTTATTCATATATTCAACAAATTTCTCTACTTCGCATCAGTTTTTGAGCTAAGTGTACAAAGATGAATGAGATGTAGCCCACAGAGTGTATACATTACTTTTTCTAGGAGGTGAAGAATATTATTAAATAACTGTTGATTTAATAAATGAGTAGAAGAATGAGTGAATGAAGAAACAGCACTATGCTCAAAATACTTTAGGAAAGTTATACAGATAGGGCCAGCATGCATTTATGGGGCAGGGGTTGGGGGGCAGGCGGAGAGAGAGAGAGAGGGAGACAGAGACAGGAGAAGAGGAGGGGGAGGGGAGGACAGGGGAGGAGAGGGGAGGGGAAAGAAAGAAAAAGAAAAAGAGAAAAGAAAAGAAAAGAAAGAAAAGAGACAAGACAGCAACATAAAAGGCCTCAACATATGACTAAATACTGGAGGAGGGCTTCTCTATGCTGTTTTCTGCTTTTGTATGCCTGAAGGACACCACACACTTTCATCAGTAAAAGTGGCTTATCATGGCATGTAGAGTAAAGTTAGAGCTCTACCGTGGGGGGAGGATTGCTTGAGTCCAGGAGTTCAAGGCTGCAGTGAGCTATGATTATGCCACTTGCACTCCAGCCTGGATGACAGAGACCCTGTCTCTAAAAACAAAACAAAAGAAAACAAAAAGCCCTGCATAAGAGGCTTTAATGGAGAAATTGGGACTGGAACTGGGATTGAAGATGAAGCAAGGATGCCCGTTTTCTTGTTATTCATGTGGAACATCCCTTCATTGGATATATTTCAATAACTGTTTGATCTAGGACTTACTCTTTTTGTATGATTCTAGTTTTTCTCAAGAAATGATTGCTGTTACTGTTATTAATGTACCCTTCTTCAAACTACGTCCTATGGAAAATTACATTTTTTTTTCACAGATGCTTAGATTTTTTGCAATAGCTAAAAGCAAAAACCTAGAAAGAATGAGGCAATTTAATCCTTGCTGATGATGAGGAAAAACATTATGTTAATATACACGAGCATTAGGGAGTAATAGTCTTTACATATATATATTTTTCCTTCTATGAGCCCAAGATCATTCTTAAATTATTCCTCATAGCAAAAATTTAGAACTACTTACATAATTTCAGTCTAGGTCTGCTTTATAAAATGTAGTAGTCACTGGATCTTTGTCCTTATGATATTGTGGCATTGTTCCGTAGGTGTGACAGTGTTATGGAAAAATATTTGTGCTAACTGTTTGGACAGGATTCACAAAGTGTTAAACTGAATTCTGAATTACAATGGCTTGTGTTGCGAGAAAGCTCCAGGAATTCTCTGCTTTTTGGTTTCTCACCTCTTTTTATTCAGTAACAAGGATTCCTAATCATTACCGACAGCTGGGCCTGACTTTATTTTACAACTTGAAATTTTGTAAAGTTGCCTTGTAAGACTCAAATCTAGTACTTACAAATATTTAGTTAGTGGCTAAGTGATAAGGTGAGGTTTAGAGGCATAAGTGGAACAATTTGGAATTTGAGTCGTAAATGGAGTCAATGATATTTTCCCTTGGTTTTGTCTCTAGGAGGCGATTATGCAGCCCCTTGATCATAAGAATCTGGATATGGATGTGCCATACTTTGCAGATGTGGTGAGGTGGGTGGCACTGTATCTTGCCTTATGTGGATTGTAAAACAAGAATTGATTTGAATACTTTGATTGTTGTGTGATTTCTGAAGTTTTAATTTAATGAAATCTTTCGAAACTAGAATTTCTATTTTCTGTAAATATTAAACATGAAATTTTATTGTTTGCATTTTGAATTTTTTTTGTTTTTGTTTTTTTTTCTTATAGCACGACTGAAAATGTAGCTGTTTATATCTGGGACAACCTCCAGAAAGTTCTTCCTGTAGGAGTTCTTTATAAAGTAAAAGTATACGAAACTGACAATAATATTGTGGTTTATAAAGGAGAATAGCTATTGGGGTTAGCATTGCACAAAGCCCAGTTTCTTTCTGTGTTTGAAAAAGATTTTGATCCCCTTGGAATATTAAGAGGTCAACACGTGATTGTTGTACGTACACATTGTGCTCTGGAGTGCCTATTTATTGAAATCATTGTAAGACCTGTTATAAATTTAAGTCTATTTAAAACTAAACTTGTAATATACATCCTGAAAATCATTTAGAGAGTCTTTTATTTATAAATTAAAAATCACTTCATTTTCACAAAATGTTTTGGTGTGGGATTATTTGAAAGCAAAAGAAATCTAATTTTGTTTTCTCCATTACCTCATTTTAGTATTAATTTTTACTTGGTATAATATACATGGTTAAAATGCTTATGTGACTTCGAGTAGGTGAATCTTAAAGAAATAAAATTCAAGTGACCACAAAGTCTGGAGACAATATATATATGTATATTTAATAGATTGAACTCTCTTGATTACTACTTGTTGGGTGTGCTGAAGGCATAAGTGGATTCAGTGAAAATTAGACACACAAATCATGTGAGGCATCTGTTGTGGATACACGTACAAATATTGATGGAAATGCTGCTTTAGAGCACATCATTCATTACAATTTTGCACAGCGTATTGAACTATGAATTGCTAGTGAGGAACAACACATTAAACATATCATGGAATATCAGTAAATTATTCAGTATACTCCTCTGAATTTCTGAACCTGATGGGCACTTGAATAATTTCAACTCAGAAGACTGCAGAATAATCATATTTTAAACTCTAAAAAATAGTCAGCATAAAAAGGATCAACTACCATATAAAATATTTCCTGTATATAGTTTTTCCTAATTGATCCCATTTTGTTCTGATTATTAAACTTACTATATGCTTGGCATTCTTCTCTGGGATCTTTTCCTCGTGACTAAATCCACAAGAAAGTATTTGCTTACTTTGCACGGAAGACTGTTCTGTGTTCTTGTTTGTTTTCTAAATGTCTTAAACGCAGGGTTCTGATTTTCTCTCCACATAGCAACTAGTATACAATGAATTCCCAGAATGTTGTTGCCTGAAAATAGTAAAAGGACTTTTGCAGTGATTACTATTCTAGAAAAACTTGCAAAGAATAGTCTTTTCTAGTGATTGCAGAAATATAAAGTTTGACAGTAATGCAAATGGCCACTGAATTATATTTGAATGTATTTTAGTTATCAAACAATTTGTTCTCTATGTAGAATGTTTTGTATTGATTACTTGAAAGGCAGATAGCTGTTATTTATTAAGACACTTTATGTTTTAATTCACACAAATACCCTGCAAGGTAGGTATTCTCATTCTTTAGGTAAGATAATTAAAGTTGAGAGAGTTTAAACTATTTGCTTTAGATCATTCAGCAAATAAATTGCAAACTGGATGTTTAACATTCAGGGTCTTTCTGACTCCAAAACACAGACTCTGAAAAGGGACAATTTGAATATTTCCAGATTTTTTGAGAGTCTGATCTTACTTATTTGTTATTCAATTTAATTTTTTTTTTTTTTTTTGAGACCGAGTCTTGCTCTGTCACCAGGCTGGAGTGCAGTGGCACGATCTCGGCTCACTGCAACCTCCGCCTCCCAGGTTCAAGCAATTCCCCTGCCTCAGCCTCCTGAGTAGCTGAGGCAACAGGCATGCGCCACCATGCCCGGCTGATTTTTTGTATTATAGTAGAGATGGGGTTTCACTATGTTGGCCAGGATGGTCTCGATCTCCTGACCTCGTGATCCACCTGTCTCGGCCTCCCAAAGTGCTGGGATTACAGGTGTGAGCCACTGTGCCCGGCCAAAAATCTTATTTTTGACTGGATTCAGACTGAGAAGTACAGGCTTGCAGTGAGGACGGTCTGTGTCTCTTGGCAACTGTTCCTGGTGCTTTTCTTTAGCCTCCTTCATTCTCTTGGCCAAAAGTTTAGCATATTCTGGAGCCTCTTCCTTATTTTTCTTAATATACTGTTTCTTCAGAGTAATATGCTGGCATTTGTGCTGCAGGACACGTGGAGGAACAAGATGCTGAATCTTGGGTGCTTTGGTCCTAGGTTTCTTACCTTCTTTGTTTAAGTGCTTGCTTACGACATAGTGGCAGACATCATCTTCTTGAGAGAGATTGAAAAGTTTGCTCATTCTTCTAGATCTTGGACCCCAGGAGATGAGACACCATAGGATCAGCTCAGGAATATCCTTCTCTCCTTTTTTAACAATAACCAATTTGAGAACACTCAGATTGGCATTCACAATGCACGCCTGAACAGATTATTGTTTTCTTTCTCCAGTTCTCCCTGGTCTATAACAGGAATGCCCCTTACCCAGCAGCAGGCAGATATGGCCATGGGTCAAGACATCCTGCTTCATGAGGAAACCTTGTTCCCACCACTGATTCAGACTGCGTAACCCTTCCAGTGTTTACCCAGAGCATCAGCAGCAACTTCTGTGGCCATACACTTCTCATAAACAGCAAGGTTTGCTTTTTATCTTGAAATTTTACCCATTCAGTATTCGTTCCCTCTTTTCTCCTGAGTTCCAAACCACCTTTCTCCCTACCCCATCACTGAAGCATCTTGAAGCAGCCGATCGTCTCTGAGGTGCCATGAAAAAGAGGCCTGACTTCTGCTTTCATTTTTCATTTCTATTTTCATTTATTTATTTTTTGAGACAGCGTCTCACTCTGTTGCCCAGGCTAGAGTGCAGTGGTGCAATTTCACCTGACTGCAACCTCTGCTTCCTGGATTCAAGTGATTCTCGTGCCTCAGCCTCCTGAGTAGCTGGGACTAGAGGAGCACGCCACCACCCCTGGCTAATTTTTGTATTTTTTGGTAGAGACGGGATTTCACCATGTTGGCCAGGCTGGTCTTGAACTCCTGACCTCAAGTGATCCACCTACCTCGGCCTCCCAAAGTGCTGGGATTACAGGCGTGAGCCACTGTGCCCTGCCACATTTTTTTTAATGCAGAATTTTGCAGATCTGATACCATATTAGAAAACATTTTTCAGAGTAACATTAACACTCCAGGTACTTGTTCATGAGTTGCTTCAAGAGAACTTTTGTTCCTGTATGCCAAATGAGTAAATATTCTTAATGTAGGGAAGGAAAAAAATCATTATGGGGTGATGAGGTTTGGAAAAGCTTAGTGGAGGAATGGTACTTTCAGTGATGGGGTAGGGAGAGTGGTGGTTTGGAACTTAGGAGGAAAGAGGGAATGAATACTGAATGGGTAGAATTTCATTAGCACAGTTACTGGGGTGGGAATATACAAAATATATTTAGGTTATAGTGAATATATTGATCTTAGTAGAGTGGTAGTGAGGTGTGAGAGTGTAATGAGAAATGAACTTGGAAATACAGGTTGGGGACAGCCTGGAGGGCCTTGAATGTCAATCATTCTTTATCTTTTGAGGAATAGCAAGCTATTTGTTTTTTAAAGAAGATAACCAGGTGGACAAAGGAAAGTGAGGAAGCTATTTGCAAAGCTGTTGCAGGAATCTAGACGTGAAGTGATGGGTGCCTGGACCATGGGGGTGGCAGTGGAAATAGATGGAAGAAGGAGAATCGAGCTAATTGTGCAGTGCCCATTGTGGTGTCAGGCATTTTGCTAAATACTTCTTATATGACCTCATTTCATCCCCATAACCACCCTGCTGGGTAAATGTATTAGTTATCTACTGCTGCATAACAAATTACTCCCAAACATAGTGGCTTAAAACAGCACACATTTATTATCTCAGTTCTGTGCACCAGAAGGCCACCTCTGGCTCAGAGTCACTCATAAGACTGCAGTCACCTCAGGGCTTGACCAGGAAGGATTCGCCTCCCAGCTCATTCCCATACTTGGTGGTTGGACTGAGGCCTCAGTTCCTCCCTCTGTTTCTTGCTGTGTAGGCCTCTTCACAGAGCATCTCCCAACATGACGGCCTGCTTCAGCAGAGTGAGCAGGTAAGAGGGCAAGGGAGAGTGCCACCAAGATCGAAGGCACAGTCATTTGTAAGTGAAACACTTTTTCTGTATTTTGCTCCTTCGAAGCAAGTCACTCCATCCAGTCCATACTCACGGAGAGGGGATTATACATATATTGCTGATGTGCACATTTTGATGTGGAGATATCAGGTGATAAGACTGGAGAGGTAGGCAAGGAGTGTATATAATGCCCTTTTTGATGCCAGGGAAGTAAAGCACATTTCATTTCACAGGAGTGAAATATCAGAGCAGCAGCTGTTGTTTACAGTGGGAATTGTGGAGTTTGTGGGTGGTAGAGGAATATAGAAATCTTGGAAACACAACTCTTGAAATTAAAACCAATTCTAAGGTGAGAAGTTAAAAAATATCACCATATCTCTGTGAACATAATGACCAGAGCCGAACGATCATTTGTATTACCTCAATTGAGGTAGGAACTACCAGCGAGTTATAAAAATAGCCAGGGTGCTTTGATCAATTGCGTACACGTGGCCACTAATACATTAGACCTATGATAAAAGATCTTTTTGGCTTTTTAAACTCCAAACTTTTAAATTCCCTCTGGAATTGAAACTATCTTAAAGATGGGAAGCAGATTGTGCTCATTTTGCTTTTGTTATGTCTGGGATATTTCTAATCTCCCTTGCACGTATAAAAATCATTGTTAGTTTCACACAATTTAACTTTATAGCAAGGTTCTGCTGCAAGACACTTCTGGAAAGTGTCCCAGATAAACACCATTAAAATCTCCACATAGCTGCATAGAGAACTGCTGTCGCCACAAAAGTAAGGGAAGGTGGTTCTTGCACTGGAGGGTTTTCAAAGCAGCATTTCCGCTTTCAAGTAGCTCATCAGTTGGTTTGTTCTCTTCAAAAATGGACTCACCCATTTCCACCAGTGTTCTGCAACCATTGAGACAGAAAAATTTATATATATATATATATATTACATATATTTTGAGACGGAGTTTTGCTCTTGTCATGCAGGCTGGAGTGCAGTGGCGTGATCTTGGCTCACTGCAACCTCCGCTTCCCGGGTTCAAGCGAAGATTCTCCTGCCTCAGTCTCCCGAGTAGCTGGGATTACAGGCGCCCGCCACCACACCCAGCTAACTTTTGCATTTTTAGTAGAGATGGGGTTTCACCATGTTGGCCAGGCTGGTCTTGAACTCCTGACCTCAGGTGATCCACCCGCCTCGGCCTCCCGAAGTGCTGGGATTACAGGCATGAGCCACTGTGCCCGGCCAAGAATTAATAATTTTAAAAAAGAAATAGAACAGTGTTCTTCCTACCCACCTTTCTTTGTAGTTCTTGGCTAAAGAAGCACCTCCCAGGCTTGTAAGCCTTGTATTCTTGAAGAAGCCCAGCAGGACGCAGTGGCTCATGCCTGTAACCCTGTATATTTGGGAGGCCTAGGTGGGTGGATCACTTGAGCCCAGGAGTTTGAGACCAGCCTGGGCAACATGGCAAAACCCCGTCTCTATGAAAAACAAAAACAAAAACCCCAAAATTAGCCAGGCATGGTGGCATGCATCTGTAGTTCCAGCTATTCAGGAGGCTGAGGTGGGGGTATTGATTGAGCCTGGGAGATCAAGGCTGCAGTGAGCCATAATTGTTCCACTGCACTCCATCCGGGGCAACAGGGCAAGACTCTGTCTCAAAAAAAAAAAAAAAAAAAAAAGGCCAAGAAACAAGTACTGAGTACTTAAGCCCATATTTGCCCTTATCAAGCCAGTTTATTATTCAGTGAAAATTCTCAAGTTAGTATGATAATAATCTGAACCAAGTTTTCAAACCCTTTTCACTTTTCACAAGTATCTTCATAGATGCAAGCACTGTGGCTACAAACAACATGAAGAAATAAAGGGATTAGTGTGTCTTTTACCTATTGAAAATTTTACTTGACCACAGATAGAGCCACTGATGGGCGTCCTGTGGGCACCTCAAACTTAACATTTCCAAACATGAATTTCTGATTTCTCCTTCAAAACCTGTCCGTCTGCCAGTCTTCCTTAATAATGCCACAACCATCCATTCTTTTTTTTGAAGACAGATTCTCACTCTGTTGCCCAGACTGGAGTGCAGTGGCGTGATCTTGGCGCACTGAAGCCTCTGCCTCCCGGGTTCAAGTGATTCTCATGCCTCAGCCTCCTGAGTAGCTGGGATTACAGGCACCCGCCACCATACCCAGCTAGTTTTTGTAATTTTAGTAGAGACGGGGTTTCACCATGTTGGCCAGGTTGGTCTTGAACTCCTGGCCTCAAATGATCTGCCCGCCTCAGCCTCCCAAAGTGCTGGGATTATGGGCATGAGCCACTGCACCCGGCCCCATTCATTTTTTCAAATGAGAAACCTGGGAGTTCTTTTTGACCTACTCCTTCCCCTTCCCACCTCTTAAATCTAATCTATCAGAAGGTTCTGGTTCTACCTCCAACATGTATAATGGTTTTTGTCTGTCTCTCGTTTTTTAGTTTTCTTTTTTTTTTGGGCGGGGGGGAACTGAGTATTGCTCTGTCACCCAGGCTGGAGTGCAGTGGCGCGATCTTGACTCAGTGCAGCTTCCGCCTCCCAAATTCAAGTGATTCTCCTGCCTCACCCTTCCGAGTAGCTGGGATTACAGTTGTGTGCCACCATGCCTGGCTAATTTTTATATTTTTAGTAGAGACGGGGTTTCACCATGTTGGCTAGGCTGGTCTTGAACTCCTTACCTCAGGTGATCTGCCCGCCTTGGCCTCCCAATGTGCTGGGATTACAGGCGTGAGCCACCGCGTCTGGCCCTGTCTCTCATTTCTGATGTCACCACATGAGTCCAAACCGCCACTGTTTCTTGCTTGGATTACTGACATGGCCTCTTAACTGGTCTCTGCCTTCCCCTTTAGTTCTGTTCCACAATCCTATGGATCTTTCTAAAAGAGTAAATTAGATCTTGTCACTTCCCTCCCCCGTATCACCACTTGAAAGCTTCCTCCTGCTTTAGGAATATAATCCAAACTCCCCACACTATCTACCAAGCCTGATAGGATCCAGTCCCTGCCTGCTTCCCAGCCTCAAGCCCTTCACTGTTTTGGTTACATTAGCCTGCTCTGAAGTCCTCAGACGCACCAATTCCATTCCTGTCTCTAGAGCTCTGCATTTACTGCCCTTCTCCCTGAACTGCCGCTCCCCTAAATCCCCTGCAGAAAAACCTAAGCATTCTTCAGATCTCAGCTTACATGTCACCCTCTTGGAGAAGCCTTCCTCAGGCCAGCCGTATAGATAGAACCTTGTTGTATTCTAGGACAATACCATATACTCCTCTTTCTTGCAGTTTTAAAGTTTTGTATATTTGCTTCCTTTTGTCTTTTTCACTAGTTTACTGTCCATCCCAACCACGAGGGTGTCAGCTTCACAAGGGCTGAAGCCCTGTCTGTCTGGTTCATTCTTGTCTCCCCAGGACCTAGTGTAATGCCTGCCATACAACAGGTGCTGAATAATTATTTACAGGATGAATGAATGTGCCTGCCATCTCTAAAGAAGTGGTGAATCTAGTAATCTGGTTTGGTAAATTTTTTGAGATTTAATAGCTAGACTACAAGTGTATACCACCATGTCTGGTTAATTTATATTAGATAGATAGACAGATAGATAGATAGATAGATAGACAGATAGATAGATTTTTAGTAGAGACAAAGATGTTGCTATGTTGCCCAGGATAGTCTTGAACTCCTGGGCTCAAGTGATCCTCCTGCCTTGGCCTCCCAAAGTGCTGGGATTATAGGCATGAGCCACTGCATCTGGTCTAATGCCAAACTTCTTGAGCATCATTCAGATAGGTGTTATTCTTTATGCAGCTCAGCTTAGAGAACAACCACTACAATATAAAATAAAATTTCGTAAGTATTCCTTCAAAGCTGTTTATCTGCCTAACTTAATCTTCCTGGGAATTTTCCATTGCTATTTGTGGATACAATTTGTTTTAGTCTTCAACTACTGATTTAGGTAAAGATAAGCCAGAACTCTAAATCCCAGCCCTTTTGGTAAATGGCCATCCTCATGACCACACAAGGGGCCTCCCTTTTAGCAGGGTAAACAATAAAGGTTGCATGTATTTGTCTCTCTCCCAGCTGTTGGAGAATAGATTTGTCTTAGGCAGGGAGAGCCTCAGCTGATTTTGCAAAGAATGCTCTTTATCATTCTATCTGTTTGGCCGCGAGAGCAGGATTCCTTCTGGAATGTGGAACTGACCTCATTTGTGGTAACACTGAGGCAATATTTATTTTCTGGCAAATGTGAGCCTCCTAATTTGTTGCTGTAATAACCCTCAGTAATTCCCAGATTACTAGGCGGAGAGTCAAGGCTCCATTCTTGAAGGGGAAAATGGTGTTTGCAAAAGAAAAAAAATGCAACTTAACCAGATTGTGGGGTATAGCATATTCCACCCACATGTGAGAGCAGGTTGATGTCTGTGTGTTTCTGTAAAGGGGTCTCAGACCAGACCCAAAGACCGGGTTCTTGGACCTCACACAGGAAAGAATTCAGGGTGAATCACAGAGTCTGGTGAAGTTAAGATGGTTTATTAGAAACTACTCTTATTAAAGAGTAAGATGTCCTCAGAAAGCAAGAGGAGGAACACCCCTACCTCAAACATGATGCTTGCTTATATAGGATATTAGTGTAACTGAGTACTCCCGTTTGTCTAAGAAAAAGAGTTATTTTTTAAATTATTATTATTTGTTCTTTTTTCTTTCTGCTTTCCCCCTGCTCCCAACTTCCTACTTAGCTCTTCAGAAATGCAATTATAACCTTTTACCTCCCTTCACCAGCTACTCCCTACAGGGCAAGTTCATCTAACATGCCAAGTCCCCCTTTAAAAGCACCTGCTTTCTGCTCCAAAAGGGAAGTGGTACCCTGAAAGGCAGGAGCCTTTACGTCTTCCTCTAAGCTAGCTTTGGAATAAAAAGTCACTTTCTTTTTTCTTTTTCTTTTTCTTTTCTTTCTTTTTTTTTTGAAATGGAGTCTCGCTCTGTCGCCCAGGCTGGAGTGCAGTGGCGTGATCTCGGCTCACTGCAAGCTCCGCCTCCCGGGTTCACGCCATTCTCCTGCCTCAGCCTCCTGAGTAGCTGGGACTACAGGCACCCGCCACCACGTCCTGCTAATTTTTTGTATTTTTAGTAGAGATGGGGTTTCACCGTGTTAGCCAGGATGGTCTCGATCTCCTGACCTCATGATCCGCCCACCTCGGCCTCCAAAGTGCTGGGATTACAGGCATGAGCCACCGTGCCCAGCCAAAAGTCACTTTCTTTATACCAGATCTTGCTCTTGTTAACTGGACTCTGTAAGTGGCATGTGACTGAACCTGATTTTTGATTACATAAGGGCTAAGAATAATGTGCTTTATCGTATGTTTATTGCAGCACTATTTACAATAGCAAAGACTTGGAACCAACTCAAATGCCCATCAATGATAGACTGGATAAAAAAAATGTGGCACATATACACCATGGAATACTATGTGGCCATAAAAAAGAATGAGTTCATGTCCTTTGCGGGGACGTGGATGAAGCTGGAAACCATCATTCTCAGCAAACTAACACAGGAACAGAAAACCAAACACCACATGTTCTCACTCATAAGTGGGAGTTGAACAATGAGAACACATGGACAAAGGGAGGGGAACATCACACACTGGGGCCTGTCAGGGGGCAGGAGGAGGGACAGCATTAGGAGAAATACCTAATATAGATGCTGGGTTGATGGGTGCAGCAAACCACCATGACACATGTATACCTACGTAACAAACCACATTCTGTATGTGTATCCCAGAACTTAAAGTATAATTAAAAAAAAGTGTGCTTTATTAAAAAGACTTGGGGTCAATTTACGACAGGCTATTAGTATTGTTATTCTCTTGTGTAATTATTGATTTCAGCAAGAATTTATGAGTGTACTATGATTTTTAAAGCAAAACCTATTCTTAAACTAAGAATGCTTTTTGTCCCCTCCCCCATCCTGCCCTTTTTCTTTTGAGACAGAGTCTCACTATCTCCCAGGCTGGAATGCAGTGACACAATCACAGCTCACTTCAGCCTTGATCTCCTTGGGTTCAGGTGATCCTCCTGCCTCAGTCTCCCAGGTAGCTGGGACTCAAGTTCACACCACCACACCTAGCTAAATTTTTGCATTTTTTTTGGAAGAGATAGGGTAAAGTATCTTCTCTGAACATAATGTAATAAAACTAGAAATCAATAACAAGAGGAACCTTGGAAAATATGCATACACATGGAATTAAACAACATGCTCCTTGACCAAGGGGTCAATGAAGAAATTAAGAAGGAAATTTAAAAATTTCTTGAAGCAAATGAAAATGGAAATACAACATACCAAAATCTATAGGGTATGGCAAAAGCAGTACTAAGAGGGAAGTTTATAGCAAAAACACTTATAACAAAAAAGTAGAAATATTCCAAAGAAACAACCCAATAATGCACCTCAAGGAACTAGAAAAGCAAGAACAAACCAAACCCAAAATAGGTGGAAGGAAAGAAATAATAAAGATCAGAGAAGAAATAAGCGAAATTGAGCCAAAAAATACAGAAGATCAACAAAATGAGAAGTTGGTTTTTTGAAAAGATAAACAAAACTGATAAACCTTTAGCTAGACTAAGAAGAAACGTGAGAAGACCCAAATGAATAAAATCAGAAATGAAAAAAGGAGACATAACGACTGAGACTTCAGAAATACGAAGAATCATTAGAGACTATTATGAACAAGCATAAACTAATAAATTGGAAAACCTGGAAGAAATGAATAAATGAAGAAATGAAATTATACTTTTCATCTTCTATTCTATGTACAACATACCAAGAGTGAATTGTGAAGAAATAGAAAACCTCAACAAACCAATAGCTAGTAATGAGATCAAAGGTATAATAAAATGTCTTCCATCAAGGAAAAGCCTAGGACCTGATGGATTCACAGGAGAATTCAAACTAACATTTAAAGAAGAGCTAATATCAATCCTACTCAAACTCTTCAAAAAAAAAAAAAAAAACTGAAGAAGAGGGAATACTTCCAGACCCATAAGGTCAGCGTTACCCTGATACCAAAACTAGACAAGGACACACAACAAAAGAAAACTACAGACGAATATCACTGATGAACATACATGCAAAAATCCTCAACAAAACACTAGCAAAGTGAATCCTATAATACATCAAAGGATCATTGACTATGATCAAGTGGGACTCATCCCAGGGATGCTTCAAAAATGATTAAATTTACAGAAATAAACATGATGTACCATATTAGCAGAATCAATAACAAAAACCATATAATTTTTTCAATAGATGTCAAAAAGTATTTGATAAAATTCATCCCTTTATCATAAAAACCCTCATCAAAATGGATATAGAAGGAACATACCTCAAATTATTAAAGGCCATCTATGTCAAACTCATGGCTAACATCAGACCGAAAGGGGAAAATTTGAAGGCCTTTTCTCTAAAGACTGGTACAAGATAAGAATTGCCCACTTTTACCACTTTTATTCAACATGATACTGGAAGTCCTGGTCAGAGCAACTAGGCAAAGAAAGAATAAAAGGGCATCCAAATTGTAAAGGAAGAAGTCAAGTTAACCTTGTTTGAAGAGGACATGATCTTATTACTTAGAAAGACCTAAAAACTCCACCAAAAAACTGATAGAACATAAAACAAATTCAGTAAAGTTGCAGGTTACAAAATCAACATACAAAAATCAGTAGCATTTATATGTGCCAACAGTGAACAATCTGAAAAATCAAGAAAGTAATCCCATTTACAATAGCTGCAAAAAATATAAAATACCTAGGAATCAATCTAACCAAAGAAATAAAAGTTCTGTACAAGGAAATAAAATTCTGATGAAAGAAACAGAAGAGGACACCAAAAAGTGGAAATATATTCCATGCTCATGGATTGGAAGAATAATATTGTTAAAATGACAATACTACTACAAACTACTTACAGATTCAATGCAATCCCTATCAAAATACCGATGACATTCTTCACAAAAAGAGAAAAAAAAAAAACAAACCTAACATTTATATAGAACCACAAAAGACCCTGAATAGGCAAAGCAATCCTGAGCATAAAGAACAAAGCTGGGTTGGGCATAGTGGCTTATACCTGTAATCTCAGCACTTTGGGAGGCCAAAATGGGAGAACTGCATGAGGCCAGGAGTTCGAGCCTGCAGTGAGCTATGAGTGCACCACTGCACTCCAGCCTGGGCAACAGAGTGAGACCCTTCACACACACACACACACACACACACACACACACACACAAAACAGAGTGAGACCCTTCACACACACACACACACCACACACACAAACATACCCTGAAACACAAAAACCCCCAAACCAAAAAACAAAGCTGGAGGGATCACAATACCGGACTTCAAAACTTATTACAAAAGCATAGTAACCAAAACAGCGTGGTACTGGCATAAAAGCAGACACATAGACCAGTGGAACAGAATAGAGAACCCAGTTATAAATTCATGCATTTATAACCAACTCATCTTTGACAAAAGCACCAAAAACTTAGAATGGGAAAAGTCCAGTCTTTTCAAAAAAAATGGTGCTGAGAAAACAGCATAACTATGCAGAAGAATGAAACTAGACCCCCATCTCTCACTATACAAAAATATCAAATCAAAATGGATTAAAGAGTTGAACCTAACACCTGAAACTGTGAAACTCCTAGGAGAAAGCATTGGGCAAATACTTTGAGATGTTGGTCTGGGCAAAGATTTCTTGTATAAGACCTCAGAAGCACAGGCAACCAAAGCAAAAATAGACAATTGGGATTACATCAAGCTAAAAAGTTTCTGTACAGCAAAGGAAACAGTCAACAAAGTGAATAGACAATCCACAGAATGGGAGAATGGGAGAAAATATTTGCAAACTATTCACCTGATAAGGGATCAATAATAAGAATACATAAGGAGCTTAAACAACTCAATAGTAAAAAAAAAATCCAATTTAGTAATGGGCAAAAAATTTGAACAGACATTTCTCAAAAGGAGACATACGAATTGCCAACAGGTGTAAGAAAAAATGTTCAGTATCACTAATCATCAGAGACATGCAAATCAATATCATAATGTGATATCATCTCACCCCAGTTAAAATGGCTTGAATCAAAAAGACAGGCACTAACAGATGCTGGAAAGGATGTGGAGAAAGGGGAATCCTCATACACTGTTGGTGGGAATGTGAATTAGTATAGCCACTACGGAGAACAGTATGGAGGTTTGTCAAAAAACTGAAAATAGAACTACCATGTGCTCCAGCAATTCTACCACTAGGTACATATCCAAAAGAAAGGCAGCATGGTGCTCAATAAGTATTTATTGATAAATTAGCCTGAAGCAATGTGGGATAGCCATTACCTAGATCAGAAAGGTGTGGTTTTTATGGATTACACTGTGGTAAAATTCCTTTTATATATATTTTTGAGGAGAGAGGGTGGAAATGTTAACAAAAGCGGGAACTTTTGGAATACAAAAATTAGGATCTTATAGTACTTTCATAGCAACATTAATGAAGCATAAGGTAAATGCTTAGTAAATGATCATTCGTAGGCTTTTTCTCATCCTATAAAATTGCTCAGCCTTTTTGGGGAGCCACCTGTTGTTCTTGAATCAGAGCTGGTGTGGAGTCAACCTAGGAGTCAGCATCTTAGAAGAGATTAGGAGCATGCTACTTCTCTGAGCCCCCAAATTAGTAGATGGATAATCTTAGGAAAATTGGTTGTTTAGTTCCTTCTGGTGAGTATTTTTGGATGCTTGAAAAGAATCGTAGCCAACCCATCTCTTTGGCAGTTAAACAAGCATATATGACTAAGCAGATTGTGTATTTACATAGGACACGTATTACATTTCAGTTACAAACACCAGGGAGTGATAAATATCATCAAGGTGTCCTAAGTGGGGAGGGAAGAATAGAGTCGGAATTCTTACGAGGTGCACAATTTTAGGGATCAGCAAAGAATGTTGGCATCCTGGAATTTAGCATCATTATTAAAAGAAAACTTTGTTGCTTATTACAAGCTTATTACTGGACATACCATGTTTCCTTCTGGTTGTACATTGCGTTATATATATTATAAATAGGGTGTTGAGTCCAATCTCTCTCCTTCACTGCAAGACCCTGTTGCAGTGGTCCCTATACACAAATATATGTGTATATAGGTGTTGTTATCCCACATCCTTCAGCCAGTTAAGGGCAGGGCTGACTCTGAGGCATTGTGGGAATAACAACACTGCCTATATACACAAATACGTGTGTATATATGTGTGTGTATATATAGGTGTGTGTGTATATATATATGTATATATACACACACACACACACACACACACACACACACACACACACACATATATTTTGCCCATTTCTTAACAGAAATTACTATTAGGGGAAAAATGACCAGTTTTCACTTGAGGGAAATGAAAATTGAGATAGTTTTGCCCCAAAGTCTGGTCTTGAAAACACACATACACTCACCATTTGATTCGTTCTTTAATACCCACACACAAATAATACAATTAGACAACATTCTCTGTGTTTTAACTTACTCATTAGAGACTTATATTTGAATGGAACACATTCATTATTCTTGTTTAAAGTATAATTTATTTGTTGTGACAAAAATGTTTTTATAACATAGTTTTTTTCTATATTGGCTTCTCAGACATGGTTCGTTCCTGTTCTCTTGCCCTTCAAAATCTACTGGTGTGGACAAATGGGAAGCTGCCAGCAGCCTCAGAGCTATTTCTCCTTTCTCCTTTCTTTCTTGAGTCACATGAGTCACAGAAGTTCCTTGTAACCTGAATGGGTTTGGTTAGAAATCTGAGATCATCTTGAAAGTAAGGAAGGATTCTTCCCACAGAAACTCAGAGGTTGCAGGGGAATCATTTGGCAGTGAACAAAAGTTGAGATTGGCTGTGGAATTGGCTGCCAACCTGTTCAACCAATAGGGAGAACCTAGGTGACTAAGTTCCGGCCAGTTCTAAATATTTTCAAAAAGTGTAATATGTGTCCTGAAAGATCCAGATGAACATCTATGTGACCCAAGCCTGCCAATGAGTGCCTCCAGATCTTTGTTTTGGTCTGAAGCCGTGGCAGCAAAGTTGCACATTTGAGAATGTAAAGCCTTCATTTACACACATTCGGTTCCCAGCACTAGCTTGGAACTGAATGTAGGAGGATGCAGTGGAGGCAGAAACAATTGTTTCCCTGGCTTCCCTTTAGAAGAGAAGTGTGCTGGTGAGAAAAGCAAGCAGGATATAAATGGCCTCTGTGATGGGGCTGCTGAAGACTTGGTTGGCCAAGCCTTCGAGTCTGATACTCTTGGGTGTAATCATGAAGAAAGGCTTGAAGGCTGAGCTCTGGGGAATCTTGGCAGCTAAGGCTAAGGTTGACACTGGAAAGGTGGTTGAGGGTGCGGTTGGCACTGGAAAATGGCATCGGAACCTCCGTTGGGTGGTGGGTGGGCACTCGAGAAAGGAGGGTAATCTGATGGAATGCTAGAGCCAGATTCATGAGCAAAATTCAATCAACCCTTCTCCAGTGCCAAGTGTTTTCAGAGGAGGGGAAAAGCTGGGGGTTAAACACACAGGGTTAAGTAACAAAAATAAGGAAGAAACACTTTCTACCCTTAAGGTCTGCATAGTTCTATGAGATGAGGTGGAGACCTATTGAATTTATACAACTGCTGCATTTGTTGTTGGGGTGGGTAGTCTCCTCCTGAATGTAATCTTGTCTTTAATAGATTAGGTTAATCAGTGCAAATATGATCCAGAATGACACAATGTTATTTTCTTCTTGTGAATTTCAAGGGCTTGTAAGAACCAGATCCAATCCAGACCTGAGGACGGCCATCCCTGCTTTAAAGTTAATGGAAAGGTGCCCAGTCCAAAGCCCCGACTCTGTTTCTGTGATTTCTGAGGCACTGGTCAGTTTTATATGAAGGGACCTGATCACACATTGGTTCTCTGAGGTTAACTTGCAGAGAAGCACAGAAAGCTAGGCCCATAGTCCTGAGGGGTTGTCTGATCCTGGACAAACTGGAGGTTGGCGGGAATACCTCCAAGACTCTGAGTGGACTGTAGGGAGGTCTGTAAGGAAGAGGAAGAGACCAGATGTCTGTAATCCCAGCACTTTGGGAGGCTGAGGTGAGTGGATCACTTGAGGTCAGGGGTTCGAGACCAGCCTGGCCAACATGGTGAAACCCTGTCTCTACTAAAAATACAAAAATTAGCCCGGTGTGGTGGCAGGGGCCTGTAATCCCAGCTACTCAGGGGGCTGAGGCAGGAGAATCACTTGAACCCGGGAGGTGGAGGTTGCAGTGAACGGAGGTTGCGCTACTGCATTCCAGTCTGGGTGAGAAAGTGAGACTCTGTCTCAAAAATTAAAAAAAAAAAAAAAAAAAAAGGAAAAGGAAGAAGGGGAATGTCCAGGAGTCGACTCAGGCCTGTGGAGTCTTCTTCCCGCCTGGAGGGTGCCTTCCAGTAAGGTAGCATTGTCTAATCTTTAGCACTTCCCCAGGCCAAATGTTTCTCTGGCATCCCACTAACCCAGACAGTTGGAATGCAACTACTTTCTTTTTCTTTTTTTTTTAACTGGATTTTGTTAGCCTGGAGCTAACGAGTCCTGACTAGAAACAAACCTTTTTTTTTTTTTTTTTTTTTTTTTCCTTTTTGGCATTTATGTCAGGGAAGCAGGAGCCTAGGAGAGTCAGAGTGACACCATTTAAAAGTCAACTACATCTTGCAACTAGCAAGCACATTCCTTGCCAGTCACAGCCCATGGTCCTAAGATGTTTACAGTTGAGGAAACAGACTGAAGATACCAACAAGGACACACTCCTGTAACAGCGGAAAGTCCAGATGTCCCAATACCCTTGACAATATATGCTTTCAAGATAATTATAGTTACGCTTTGATGGACTTACACACTAAAATGTCAGGGATAGTTTTCTTTACATCAATAAAGTAATAAATTTTGTCATGCTGTCAGCCCACCCACACACAGGCACAGCTTAGTTTAGTCTTTACATAGACAAGGCCCCTATACAAGAAAAACTTAAAGACAGTGTGTTCCTCCACCTGCTTTCTGAGGACACCCTACTCTGTAATAGAGTAGCTTTCAGTAAACTATCTCTTTTCACTACAGGCTGCCACTCACCTTGAATTCCTTCCTGTGTGAGATCCAAAAACGCTCTATCGGGATCTGATATCAAGACCCCCCTTTTCCAGTAACATTTACACAAGGGTTCATCTTGGCAATGGCCTTGAGGAAAAAACTACTCTCTGTTTTCTTGCAGAGGGAAATCCACCAAGGAAATAGTTAAGACATTCATATAATAGTTTCATTAGGCATAATCACTTTACAATTTGTTGTTGAATATAATTCTCCCTTTGAACACATTTTGCAATGCGTAACTGGCGGGAAAATAGGCAGCATGCTAGGTGTCTTTCAGTGTCTGGGGGCTCGTGAGGACCACCTGTTGTTGGACAGTGAGAAAGGCTAATGTTTCTTGTTCTTGGTTGAATCTTGTATTTAAAAAAGTCATTCAAAAACAATGTATTTTTATAGTTTTGATGTAAGTCTAAGAAAAGTGGAAAAATATGATATGGAATAGGAGTCTTCTTTTGGCCATTTACTTTCTGTGTGGCCTTAGACAAGTTACCTATTTTTCTGAATCTCCTTTCTTGAACCTTTTTGTAAATTAAAAAAAAAAAAAAATTAGGCTGGGCGTGGTGGCTCACGCATGTAATCCCAGTGCTTTGGGAGGCTGAGGTGGGTGGATCGCTTGAGGTCAGGAGTTCAAGACCAGCCTGGCCAACATGGTGAAACCCCATTTCCACTAAAAATATAAAAATTAGCCAGGCATGGTGGCTCATTCCTGCAATCCCAGCTACTTGGGAGGCTGAGGCAGGAGAACCCGGGAGGCAGAAGTTGCAGTGAGCTGAGATCGCACTACTGCACTCCAGCCTGGGCAACAGAGCGAGACTCCATCTCAATTAAAAGAAAAATTAAATAGAGACAAAGTCTCACTGTGTTGCCCAGGTTGGTCTTGAGCTCCTGGGTTCAAGGGATCCTTCCGCCTTGGCCTCCCAAAGTGTTGGGATTACAGGTGTGAGCCACTGCACCCAGCCTTAAATTTGTTATATATAGCTCCTTAGAGGGAGGTAAGAGAAAAGAAAGGGAATGGGGAAGAAGATGGGCGAGGAACCTCAGGGAGGTGCGAAGCTGGGGGCGACAGCCTGTGAAAAGCTGTGGAAATTCCTAGTAGAGTGGTGGTGGCCACAGGCCACTGTAAGAACTAAAGACATTGCTATTTCTATGATATCAATCCTTCTTTGTGCAACTCCCCAGCCTCCACCCCCAATCCCTTTAAAACCCTTTGGTTAAAGTCTACTGTATCCATTAAGGCTTTGTGTGAGTGGGAATTATTTGTGGAAATTGAGGAAGATGTTTTCACATTGTGTCTATGTGGTATTGAACAGAAACAGCTCCTATGGAAGCGGCATTTGGAGCCACAGATGACCCTGAGAATATAAAGACCCTGGGAATTTGCAGAAATCTTGGGGGAGGGCTTTTGTTTTCTAAAGGACATGGGACAACGGGTTGGGCAAATATTCTATAGGTCTCAAGGTGCAGGGAGACTCAACTGATAGATAGCTGAGTGATGCGTGGTAAGAAGACCCTCTTTTCTAGGGAACCCACAAGGTAATTTTCCAGGCTGACTGAGTTCATTGCAAGACTTGCAAATGGGCTGCAAAGGAACTCACGTTTTTCTCTTAGCTTCAGAGTAGAAAGTATAGGCAGCGCTCTGATCTGGACAGTGAAAGCTCTGTGGAGGGCAAATCAATGAGAGATAATGCTGAGGACCTCATGCGGAATTCACAAGTTCAGCTCACATTTCGGACTTCCCCGCCGCTTAATTCCTTTTGTGCTTACTTTCTGTATGGCACAATGAGCAGATCATTAAATACTGGTCTGCTTTTGATTGATAAGATCCTCCACGATCTTGGTCAACTTCCACACAGCCTCTCCCATTCCAACGCCCCTACCAACATCACCACCCTGACTGCCCACAGGCTGGTACACATACCTCTGGTCTTTGTTCAAGCCAGTCCCTCTGCCTATAATACCTGTCCTGGTCACATCTGCTCATAGACTCAATGGTAACCTCTATGAAGTTGTTTCTCCCTATTGTCACTAAGCTAGGCATGATGCTCTGTTGCACTGACTTGCTAGGAGCCTCTGTCCCCATGGGAGGACCGACTTTATAAGGCAGGTTCTGTTGTCAACAGTGCCTGACATATCATAGGTGCTTTATGTTTGCACTGGTACCGCTTGGTCTGTTATCCTATCAATAAACCCATTATATGAGTCCCTTGTTCATACATGTGTTAGATCATTAATGAAAGGACACCTCATTTCAGTCACTGTGCCTGGTGCTGAGGGGGCAGTGGTTGAGCAAGACAGGCCTGGTTTTCATCCTCAGGGCACTTACAGTCTCTTCAGAGGGATAGATTTTAAACAGATTATCAATTACCTAGGTAAAGAATTGATCTGTGATGTACGCTGTGATGAAGGGGAAGAAATTCTGAGAGTGTACAACTGGGAGCTCATATTTGATTTGGGAGTTCAGGGAATGGTTTATTGAGGAATTAACCTCAGTCATTATTTCTACATAGGCCTTGCCTCCCTAACCTCGCCTCCCTAACCTCATTGTAACATTCCATGAGTAGGGACCTCTTCCCATCCCTTTTGTGCCCAGCCCACCATTGTGGAGTCCCCTGCTTTCTGCATTCCTCATAATATGTGGCTCCACTCCCCTTGACTCAGCCTCGCTGATCAAGGCCATGTAACATGGTATAAACAAGCAGGGAGGCCAGCGTGTTATCGCGGGTGTGCAAGTTGGGAGAGGTCTGGAGACCATGCTGTCAGTGGGATTGGGCCGTTTGTCTTGCGGATGGTCACTGTTTGGTCTTTCATCTCTTGTTGCATGGAATGTGGAGGCTTTAATGATGTGAGATGAAAAGAAAGCCCTTGCCCTAATTGGCCTTGGCTAGCTTCTAAGCAACTGCTGTCATTGGGAAGCTGGATTGTAGTAGCTCCCATTGGGTTCTACTCTTGCAGTCACTCTGTGGGCACAATAGTCCCTCCTCCAAAGCCAATTAGGTCCAACCAGGCCCAGTGCATGGAGGGAGAGGGCAGGGTGGTTTGACAGCATAGTCATCATTACCAGCTTCCATAGAGACATGGCTGTTCAAGCTGACACAGCCTGAGGGTCAGACCGGCCCTTTCAGTACAGAATGGAATCTGAAAGCCTTAAGTACTTCCCAACATGTGGTTCCTGAAGTAAACCTAATGACAGATCCTAGCTGGGAGGAAGATTTGTTGTTAAAGTCTAATGCGATTCCAGGTGACCTTACCTCAGAATCTGAGTGTGTCCATTTTGTGTGACACTAGCAAGCCAGTTTTATTACACAATCATCACACTTTCTGTTAGCGAGCCATTTCCAAAGTGAATCCATGTTTTAAAAAATGATTCTCCAGTTTGAACATAGGGAATATGAAACAAAGAGGGTGCTCAGTTCTTTCTGAGGATGTTGAGCATAAGTGGTGTGTGTGTGTGTGTGTGTGTGTGTGTGAAAAGGGGGTATGTGTGGGAATGTGGTCTGGTATGTGCGTGTGGTGTCTGTAAGGTGTGTAGTGTGTGTATGTGTGTGGTGTGTAGTGTGAGTAGCATGTGGTGTGTGGGGGTGGTGTGTGGTGTGTGTGTGGTATTTGTATGGTGTGTGTGGTGTATGTGTGGGGTGTGTGTGTGGTACCTCTATCGTGTGTGTATGGTATGTACGTGTGTGTGGTATGTACGTGTGTGTGGTGTGTGTGGTGTGAGTGGTGCATGTGGTATGTATGTGTGTGTGGCATGAGTGTGTGTGGTGTGTGTGGTATGTATGTGTGTGGTATGTGTGTGTGTGTGGTGTATATGTGATGTGCGTGTGGTATGTATGTGTGGCATGAGTGCGTATGGCATGTGTGTATGGTGTGTGTGGTATGAGTGTGTGTGGTGTGTGGTGTGTGCTGTGTGTGTGATGTGTATGTGGTATGTATGTGTGTGTGGTGTGTGTGGTATGTATGTGTGTGTTGTGAGTGTGTGTGTGGTGTGTGTGTGCTGTGTGTGTGGTGTGTGTGCTGCGTGTGGTACGCATCGTGTGTGTGTGGTGTGTGGTGCATGTGTGGTGTGTGTGGCATGTGGGGTGTATGTGTTGTGTGTGGTGTGTGTGTGGTATGTGTGTGTGGTGCATGTGGTATGTATGTGTGTGGTGTATGTGGTGTGTGTGGGGTATGTATGTGTGTGTGCTGTGAGCGTGTGTGTGGTGTGTGTGATATGTATGTGAGTGTGGTGTGTGTGTGATATGTGGTGTGTGGTATGTATGTGTGTGTGGTGTGTGAGCGTATGTGGTGTGTGTGGGGTGCGTGTGGTATGTGTGTGTGTGTGGTGTGTGTGGTATGTGTGGTGTGTGTGGTATGTATGTGTGGTGTATGTGTGTGAGGTGTGTGGGGTGCATGTGTGTGTGTGGTGTGTATGTGGTGTGAGTGTGTGTGTGGTATGTGGTGTGTGTGTGAATGTGTGTGTCTGCAAGCGCCTATAGATGGAAGGGATGGTAGAGCACTGTGAGACGGTAATGAAGTGCGACTGCTGAGTTCTCCATATCACGTCTGGATTGTATTTTAAGTCCTCCTAGCTTAGTGTAAAACTGCATAAACCCAATATGAAAATTTTAAAGCCCAAAGCAAAGCAAGCTAGGTTCTTACTGTATCTCCACTTCAGTTATGTTCTCAGGTTCAGGAGCTTGCCACTGTGCCTCTAAGACCGTCATGTATTGATCTTTCACGTAATACGTGGAGTTGCTGTAGCAATTTTTATCCGCTCTTTGCCAGAGGCCCGCTGAGTCACTGTTCTCGTCCAAGGTTTTCATGACCACAGCATAGACGCTGTCATTCACGGGAACAAATACTGGGAGGAAATGATGAAGAAGCAATCAGCCATCTGTTCCCTCTGAGCCAAGCTCGAGGGATGAGGGCAGTGAAATCAAAACAAAGCGTGAAACAAGAAAGTTACAAAGAATATGCACATCGAGTATATGGTCTCACTGTTGTAAAAGAAGTTGAAAGTCTGGAAGGAAATACATCAAGATATTAATTGTGGTGATTTCTTGGTAGTGGGATTACAGATGATTTTTATTTTCTTTCTAGTGCTTTTTGGTTGTTTTCCAAATTTTCTACAGTAAAAGGCAGACAAAAGAAGACCCATACTCAGCTCTGGTTTTGCTACACACGAGGGGTGAGATTCTGGGAGTGAATCTCTTTACCTCTCTGAGCCGGGGCCCATTTCTCAGATGAGAAGACAAGCCTGCTTGGTCCTCTTCTCAGGGGGAGTGTGGGGACGGAAGAGGCTGATGCACGTGGAAAGGTCAGGTGGGCCAAGTAAAAGCAAAACCCTTTTTGTGGTCCCAGAAATGCTGATTCTCTTGGTCTCTGTTGTTAGGGTGTGGGAAGGAGTGCCTTTGAGCCACAGGGGCCCTAACTCCTTAGAGAGTTACCCTCAGTAACTTGTTAATTCCACTTGTTAATTTCAGCCTTCGGATGTGTAATGGAGAGGGCATTTAAAGAAAATATCTGTCTCTCCATTTCTTCCCTTAGGAGTTCTCTTCTGAGTGAATTCCTCAATGCTAGAGTATTGTTCTTTCCTGGGCCCTTTCAGCCACGCAAAATTTCTTTAAGGCTTCTCCTTAACCAAGTGAAGCAAATTGATCATGCAACACAAAAGGATCAGACAGTCCTGGATCTGAATTCTGACTATAGCACTTAGGAGCAAGTCATTTCACCTCTGAGCCTCGGTTTCCTTATTGTTCATCATTCACTCCATAAATATTTCTTGCATGCCCGCTTTGCACCTGGCCTGGTTCTAGGTCTGGGGATAATGATGTTATCCTTCATTATCTGAGATCATGATACCTATCTTGAAAGGTCCCGGAGAATAAAGAGAAGAATGTGAAGATTTTAATACATGGGGAGTACTGGATAAATTGCAATTGTTATTATGTGACTATATGCACACAACAGTTCTGTGTTCTGGTTGTTAGTTTTGCCATTCACGGTTGTGTGATGCAGATCCCGCAGACCTCGACTTGCCCAGTGAGCACCTGACATCTGTTCTAGATCTGTGCGTCAGGTGCAGTAGAAGGTGAGCAGAGACAGTGTCATGCAGATAGTCGTCAGTGTCAGCTCTGCACGGGTGTGCCCTGTCCTGCTTTTCCCTTCCATTCTGGTTTAAATCCTCTTTCTTCCTTCCTAGGCACCTATATTTTCTGGATTTCTGGCCTTAGGTTCTTCTCCTTCAGGTGGCCTTGCAACGTGCTGCGGCCACACCAGTCTTCCTTATGCAACAGGTCCATCAGAACACACTCCTGTCCAAACCTTCAAAGGGTCCTTCTTTCTAGAGCATGTCAACATTTCTGCTTTTATATTTTTGCCTCTGGTCTGTTGATTACAGTATCCAACACATGTTTTTGGACTGTAAGAACCTAGCCTCAGCCTGCTGTTTGTATTCCCACTCTAAGGGCAGCCAGCCTTTCCCTTTTTCTGCAAATGCACCTGCCCCTGATCCTTGCTCACCTCTGGCTGCCTGCCTGAAAGCCTTCCTTCCCTCTCATCATACATCACATACCCTCTTCCACTCCAACAGCTTGCTTATGTCCCACCTCTGGACCAATTTATCCCTTTTTAACTCTCGTTCCTTTTTTTTTTTTTAAACTGTTGCATTCTTAATCATATTGTACTTTGTGCTTTGTGCTATGTGCTGTGGTTTCATCTGTGTTGGTATCTGGACAGCCCAGTGTTGGGCCTCTGGGGGGTCCTAAGTAACTACTCATTGGTTGATTTTAAAAGTCATGCATCCAATGTTGTATAGTGCCCTTAAGGCTTAAAGTTCAGCAAGAAAAGCAAGCAAATCACATCCCTCTTGCCCATAGAAGTTTTTTTTTTTAAAAAGGCAGATCCTTGCTCAGCACAGTCTTAATGTAAATGTCACTGTATTAAGGGTTTCTTTCACTGATATCAAAACAGACCCAGGAAACCTGTTCTAATATGTTGCTTGAGCTGCAGTTGTTTCTTGGGACCTGCCAAGCCACTTATACACAGTTTACCAATGTTGACATCACCCCAAAGTTTAAAAGAATTTCAAAACCAAAATAAGGAAAAGCGATTGGCCTGGGTGGCCATTTACTCAGAGTCCCCAGAAGTCCTGAGTTCTGGCAGTAACACCTGCAAGGCAATCGTGGAGCCTGCTGTGTAACCACGGGTGTGGGATCTGGCAATTTACATCTCCGTCGGCGAAGATTTTGACCCTTGACTTAAATCATTTGTATCATGAGTCAATTTGCCACAGAGCTTTTGCAGCACATTTCTGTTTTAAAATGGAATTGGATAAAGTTTGGGGGTACATGGCATAAGTAGGCATTCAAGGAGCCTTAGGTCTTCTCTTTTGCCGTTCCCTTTCCCTGCTCCACCTAACGTCTCTGTGACTGCTGTGATCCCCTTCACCCCAGTGGATCATGTTGACTCATCTTTCTCCTGTCTTTCTGCTTTCAGAAGGCTCCCATGTTTCCCCCTCCATAGCATCTTCATATGATAGATTTCTTTCTTTCTTTTTTTTTTTTTTTTTTTTGAGATAGAGTCTTGCTCTGTCACCTAGGCTGGAGTGCAGTGACGTGGTCTCGGCTCACTGCAACTTCCACCTCCTGGGCTCAAGCCATCCTCCCACCTCAGCCTCCTGAGTAGCTGGGATCACAGGCGCACATCATCACGTCTGGCTAATTTTTGTGTTTTTAGTAAAGACTACGTTTTGCCATGTTGCTCAGTCTGGTCTCGAACTCTTGAGCTCAAGCAATTTGCCTGCCTTGACCTCCCAAATTGCTGAGATTACAGGTGTGAGCCACCATGCTCAGTGATAGATTTCTCTTTCCTCCATTGCATTAGCAAAATCTTTCACCTGGAGAGGTATTATCTTAAATGCCAGAGGCTCGTGATCTCTTTTGCAGTGGTGCCTCTGACACCTGAGGCTCTCCTCCAGGTTGCACATATGTCCACCTGTGCTCATCTTGAATTACAAGATTATCCTCCCTGCCCTGTCAGGACAATATCCACTGCCTGAGGGAGTGGGACATAGCTGGCCCCATCACAACTGAAGCACTTAGTGTCAGTCCTCATTTAAAAGTAAGACAAAAGATAAGCAAGGTGAGCGCGTGAAGGCATGCCATGATTGTTCACCTGCTGAAGTCTGAGACCTAGACTATGAGTGTGGAGATCACCCTGGTGGTCTTTGCAAAAGTTAGACTTTTAAGAAAGGCAGAATAACACAGTAGATAAGAAGAAAGGTTCTGAAGCTGGACAGCTGGCTGGATAAAAAGCTGTACGAGTTTTGGTTGTGCTATTTAGATTCAAATCTTAGCTAAGTTACTTATTAGTGTAAATTTTTAACTTCTCTGTGCCTCAGTTCTTGTCTGTAAAATGATAACAACATCTACTTCTAAAACATGCCCAGCACATCGTAAGAAGGGTTAGCTCTCACTACTATAAGGAAGAGTATATAGTGGTTAAAGGCAGGGTCTCTGAAGCTGGAATGCTGGTTCATATCTTACCTTCACCATTTAAGTAGCTCCGGGACCTGAGCAAGAGTCACTTAGCATCTCTGTCTCTGTTTCTCATCTACAAAATGGGAATGATAATGATATCTCCCTAATAGGTCACTATTACATGTTAAACACCATAGGAAGTGTTATTATTATGAAATGAATTAGAAAGCATATTCCTTGACTTTTAGGTTTGGCTGATTCAAAAAGGGCTATATAAAAAATATCTACTGGACACCTCTAAGAAAAGCATTGGATTAAGAATGAACAGACTAAGATTCAAGAGCCAGTTCTATGACTTACTAGAAGGGAGACTCTGGGCAGGTCATTTAATTTCCCTTGGTCTCAGGCTTTTCATACATAAAGTGGGTTAGTAATACTTCCCCTGTGTTGTTTATTAGATTTTTTTCACCCACGGACTAAATGCAGTACACAATTATCCCCAGAGGCATCATATTGTCAAATAGATATGAAAAGATTACACACTGGAGGCTGGGTACAGTGGCTCACACCTGTAATTCCAGCACTTTGGGTGACTGAGGTGGGTGGATCACTTGAAGCCAGGAGTTCGAGACCAGCCTGGTCAACATGGAGAAGCCCCATCTCTACTAAAATACAAAAAATTAGCCAGGCGTGGTGGTGTGCACCTGTAATCCCAGCTACTTGGGAGGCTGAGGTACAAGAATTGCTTGAACCCAGGAGGCGGAGGTTGCAGTGAGCTGAAATTGTACCATTACACTCCAGCCTGGGTGACAAAGTGAGACTCTGTCTCCAGAAAAACAAAAACAAAAAGAGAAAAGATTATACACTGGAATGCAATGATTATCCCTTAAAATGATAAAACTGCCCATTTTATTTAAGTCAGAGAATCTACCCCAAGTGTGCTCTTGCTGGGACTCAGTGAATCTGGGGTTGGGGCTTTCTCGCTCCTGTGGCTTGAGTTCACAAGGAATTTGCAGAAATAGCCCCCCAGCCCACTCCCTTAATTCTCATTCTTTGTCTTCCTTCCCTTGCTTCCCATTTGGTTCAGAAGACACATGTTTTGTATAATTGAGAGTAGCGATAGAGGGGTGTGTTCTGAAATTCTGGTTAATTTCCCTCAGGGAACAAAGGACAGCAGAGAGCATGGCTTCTACTCACCAGAATAGACTGCATTGCTTTCGTAGATATGTGAACTGGCCTTGATGTCTAGGGTTATGGTGTAGTATTCATCAAAGGTGAAGCAGGTGCTACTGTACCTTATAAAGGTGGCAGAAGAAAGCTGCAGACTGAGGCACAGAAACATCCCCAGTGGCTGCAGCAGCATGTCATGGAAGACTGCCATGGTCTCAGTCTGTTTGGAAAGTGCTAGGCCTGGAATTGGGTGAAACTGACAACTCACCTCTTGTTTATATGCCAGGGCTTCTGGGTGAAGTCATACATGCAGATCTTCTCCCTGCCCCTTCTGAATATACATTGGATTCTGGAATTTGGCCCAAGACATCACCAGGAATGAATCACCAGTCACCATTACCTGTCACCGATGATTTTGCAAATTGCAGTTTTGCTCAAGAAAGGGAATGTCCTGAATATGGTTTTCTTTTACGCCTGTCATTTCAGCATCTGCTGTTTGAAGAAAGCCATTGAGAAGATGTGAATACCAGCAAGTGAAATTCAGAGTTGTGTAAAATGTAAAATAAACCCCTGAGGAATGAGATGTCTATAGGGGGTTTGAAAAGCTTGGACGAATCCCTGGGAATCTAAAAAGCCATGTGCATGTGCAGGGCTACACACATTCCCAGGAAAGACCTGAGGAGGCCCTAATTACTCACCTCTGGCCGACCTTGAGGCTCTGCACAAGTAAGAAGTAAAGGCTAAGGTAGAGCTGTAAACTGCCTATCTGATCACTGAAGGCATTCCCCAAAACACACATGCAGAAGTGCTTAGCAAAGACTGGGAGACTTGTTGGTTCCAGAGTTATTAGTTAAAGAAATTTTTTAAAAATCTATTTATTAGCTGGTCAATAAGCAAACAGAACAGAGACTTTGGTGGTTACACATGATAAAGAATACAGACTTCACATAATTAATTTAGGAAAGTCATAAAACAAACAGCAGCAACAACAACAATAAAAAAGAATAACAAACAGCAACAAAAACAAACTCAGGGAGGAGAAGGGAGTCTGGTGTCCAAAGTTGTCACATTTGTGTGTGTGTGTGTGTGTGTGTGTGTGTGTGTATGTATGTATTTATTTATTTTTTTGAGACACAGTCTCACTATTGCCCAGGCTGGAGTGAAGTGGTGCAATCATAGCTCACTGCAGCCTCAAATTCTTGGGCTTAAGTGATCCTCCTGCTGCAGCTTCCCAAGTAGCTGGGGCTATAGGCACGTGTCATCACACCTGGTTAATTTTTATAGTTTTTGTAGAGTCTTGCTATGTTGTCCAGACTGTTATTGAACTCCTGGGCATAAGCAATCCTCCTGCCTCAGCCTCCCAAAGTGCTGGGATTATGGGCATAAGTCACTTTGCTTGGCTTCATGTTTTTTAAATGTTCAGTTTTCAAGAAAAATTATAAGATATACAAATAAACAAGAAAGTATGGCTTATACAGAAGAAAAAAACATCCCAGGTAAACAGAAACTGTCCCTGAGGAAGCCCACACGCTGAACTTGACATAGACGTTAACTCAGCTTTATAAATACGTTCAAAGAACTAGAAAAAATCATGTCTAAAGAATTAAAGGAAAGTATGAGATTGATTTTGGTGATTGTCTCACCAAGTAAAGAATAGTAATAAAGAGATTAAAATGATAAAAAGAGCCAAATAGAAATTCTGCAATGGAAAAGTACAATAACTACGATTTTAAAAAGTCACCAGAAGAACTCAACAGCATATTTGAACTGGTAGAAGAAAGTATTGGTGAACTTGAAGATGGGTCAATTGAATACATTTAACAAAACAAGTGCAAGACTTGTATACGGAAAACTATAACAATACACTCAGGATAGTCAAAATGATCTTGAAAACAAACAAACAAAACTCACAAAGTTTGAGGACTCACACTTCCCAATTTTAAAATTTACTGTGTAGCTACAGTAATCAAGACAGTGTGGTACTGACATAAGGATAGACATATACATCAATGAAATAGAATTGAGATTTCAGAAACATACCCACACATTTATTATTAACTGGGTTTTGACAAGGGTAACAAGACAACTCAATGGGGAAATAAATGGTGCTGGGTCAACTGAATATGCACATGCAAAAGAATAAAGTTGGAGCCCTACTCGTACCATATACAAAATTAACTCAAGGTGAACCAAGGGCCTACATGTAAAACTATAAAACTCTTAGGAAAAAACATAGGTATAAATCTTCATAACCTTGGTTTAAGCAACAGTTATTAGACATGATGCCTGAGGCAAAAATAAGTAAAGGAAAAATAGATAAATTGGACTTCAAAACTAAAAGCTTTTGTTCTTTGAAGGCCACTATCAAGAAAGTGAAAAGGGCTGGGCACGGTGACTTACGCCTGTAATCCCAGCACTTTGGGAGGCCAAGGAGGGTGGATCACCTGAGGTCAGGAGTTCGAGACCAGCCTGGCCAACATGATGAAACCTCGTCTCTACTAAAAATACAAAAATTAGCCAGGCGTGGTGGTGTGTGCCTGTAATCCCAGCTACTCAGGAGGCTGAGGCAGGAGAATTGCTTGAACCCGGGAGGCAGAGGTTACGGTGAACCAAGATTGCACCACTTTACTCCAGCCTGGGCAACAGAGTGAGACTCCATCTAAAAAAAAAAAAAAAGTGAAAAGATAATCTACATCATATATCTGAAAAGGGCCTAGTTTCTAGAATATATAAAGATTACAACTCAATAACAAAAAGACAAATATCCCAATTTAAAAATGAGCAAAGATTTGAATACTTTCTCCAAAGAAATGTACAAATGGCCAATAGACATGTGAAAAGATGCTCGACATTATTAGTTATTAGGAAAATGCAAATCAAAACTTGAATGAGATACCTCTTTACAGCTAGAATTACTACTGTCAAAATGACAGGTAATAATAAGAGTTGGCATGGATATGGAGAAGTTGAACCCTCATTCATTTCTGGTGGAAATATAAAATGAGGTAGCCACTTTGGAAAACGGTTTGGCATTTCCTCAGAAAGCTAAACATAGAGTTACTACTATATGGTCCAGGAACTCCACTCATAGGTATATACCCAGGAGAATTAAAAATGTATGTCCACACAAAAACTTGTACATGAATGTTTATAGGAGCATTATTCATAATAGCTAAAAAGTGGGAACAATCCAAGTGTCCATCAACTTATGAATGGATAAACAAAATGTGGTATGTTCTTACAATGGACTATTGTTTAGCTATAAAAATAAATCAAGTACCGATACATGCGACAACATGGATGAACCTTGAAATGACTGTGCTCAGTGAAAAAAGCCAGACACAAAAGACCACATATTGTATGCTTTCATTTCTATGAAATGAAATGAAATATCCAGAAGAAGCAAATCCACAGAGACAGAAATATGAAAATCCACAGAGACAGAAATGTGAAATATTGAAAAAATGAAATATCCAGAAGAAGCGAATCCACAGAGACAGAAAGTGATTGCCAGGGACTAGGGATGGTGCGGGGAATGGGAAATGACTATGACTGCTCATTGATTTGGGGTTTCTTTTGGAGATGATGGAAATGTTCTGGAAGTAGATAGTGGTGATGGTTTCACAACCTTGTGAATATACTAAAAACTACCAAATTGAATTTGATGGTATGTGAATTATATCTCAATAAAATTTTTATTTACATAATATGCTGTGTAGGCAAGTTGGGGTAGCAGAAAGAATGTGACAGAACTTTAGTATTGGGTCCTGTTCAGAGTCCTTGCTTTGGGAGAGTTTTTAAACTATCTGAGCTTTAGTCTCCACTTCTAAAATTAAGGCAGTAATATCAGTCTTACATACTTTTATGTATATTAAATGAAAAGTGTATGTAAGCTGTTTTGAACTGGGTCTGGTGGTGTGCCCCTATAGTCTCAGCTACTTGAGAGGCTGGGATAGGAGAATTACTTGAGCTTAGGAGTTTGAGTCTAGCCTGAGCAACATATTGAGACCCCCATCTCAAAAAAGAAAACAAAACAAACCCCAAAACCATTTTAGGGAACAGGGTGGGCCTGACATATAGTATAAATTTTTAACAAATGTTAATTAGTTTCCTACCTTCCTTCCTTTCTTCTTCCCTTTCCTAAATTTATACAGATTAGGATGGTAGAAAAGAAAATACAGGAGTTCTGCTATTGATATGGGGATGATGGTCTAATCTCCTTATGAACTGGGGGACATGGGATTGGGGGGATGGGAAACGACTCAGAAGGGAACACTCTGATTTATGTGGAATTGTTCCATGCATTTTCTGCAAGATAGAGCTCAGCCCAAGAGAGGGCCTGTGTGAGGACCCTGGCATGTCCTCTAGGGAGGGGGGCGTGTCTACTGGCCTATAGCCCTACTGGCTATGGGGACAGCTGTTCATAAAACAAAATTGTTCTTTGAATCAAGCTGGAAAGGACTTGATTTTTCTTGGGGACAGGAGACCAAAAGAAAACAAGTTTTAAAATAAAATACACATGTTTGGGGCCTCCTTGTATTTCTCCACCCCCTTTTCTACAATTCTGGACTGCAGTTCCTGGAAATTCACCCTTTCAAAAAGCCCCATCAGTGATTCTTGGATGGAGCTTTTAGAACATGCATGTGTGTTCAAGTCACTGGAAGCATCTTGCTAGTACAGTTTCCGATTCAGTGCATCTGATATGGGGTCTGAGATTCCTCATTTCTAACAGGCTCTTGGGTGATACAAGGAAGTTGCTGATCCATGGACCACACCTTGAATAGCAAGCGTTTAGCAGCTGGTTTGAGTAAACCAGGTTAGAGTTGAATGCCGGACTAATCGTTAAAGTTGGAAAAGCTAGGTTCCGTGACTGCCCTGTGCACCCCAAGCCTGCCCGTCTGCCTACAGCTTATATGCAGAGGCTCCTCATGCTGTAGAAAGTCTGGTGGGTGCTTCAATGCCTTGTTGGTCTCCCTGGGAAGGAGAGCTGTCAGAGAGTAGAAAGCAGTTGGCCTTCCAAGGTCAAAGTGTAATGGGAGATTCTCTGAGATTCACCAGACACGACCACTGATGGATGCAGGGATCACTAGTCTGAGGAGCCCTGGGGTTTTTGATGTGTCTCCTGGGCATGTCAGAGGTGTGACAGATGCAATATGGAGAACGTGAGAAAGGGCACAGATGTTAGAGTCCAAGAGGCCTCCATTGGAATCTTCCTCCTCACAGTGTAACCTTGGACTGTACTTAACCTACCTGAGCCTCAGTTTTCTTATCCATATTATGGAGAGACTCCGACCAACCTTGCAGGATTGTGTTAAGGTTTAAAAGAGGTAATGCATGTAACATGCATGCCACAGAGTCAACCCTCTAAGAGGAAGTTTTTACCACCGATGGCAAGTGTCTGTGTTAACTCGAGGGACAAGGGCGTCCAGGGAGCTGGGGGTAGCTGGAGAAGTTACTCTCATTTGTTGACCCACAATGGATGTTCAAGTCCACACATGTTGATTTATGAGCTAATTGGGTTGTGCCTCTGGCTCTTTGGTTCAGCATTGTGGGTGTTATGCTTTTGAATAGCCCAAAGTGAGAGTCCCCATGCTTTAGGGATAGCCCGTGGTCAGCTTTTGAGAAGATGCATACCATTCTTCTCATTCCCCGAGGACTTACAAATTCTCAGAGAGGGGGAACACGCTGCTATGTATTACATTAAGAATTTTCAAGCAGGACTGGCCCTAAGAGATAATTTTAATCTAACTCCCTTATTATGTCTGAGAAAACTGAGCACAGAAAAATTAAACAACTTGCCCCAGGCTTAAGAACTACTTAGTGACAAAGTCAGGGCCAGATCCCGGCCTCCTTCCCACCAGCTGGGGATTCTCTCCACTGGACAGCTTACTATCTAGGGAATACATGTGTGCTCTGCTTAGCATTTCAGATTCAGACATATTCCAGATACAGCACATGTTAATTTTAATATGCCGTGTGTATATTTTGTTGTACGTGTGGGACACGTGCCTCATCTACTTACATTTGATAGAACTTGGAGAGAAGTTTATCACAGCAATAGTTAGTTGCTCTATCTTTGCTCAAGACTTTTTGTTGATCATATTTGTGTCTTCGTTTAATCCAAAATTGCATGTTGAGAGCACAGCTGGATCTGCACTGTGCTTTACTTGTGTTGCCTCGTTGGCCTACCGTGGTCAGTGGACTGGGGTTGGCTGGTTGAGCTGCTCCAGGTCACATGGCCTTCTGGGAAAATAACCCCTGCTTTATAGCAATTATTGCCAAACTCCAGGCTGGCAATGATCTTGATCAACTGTTTACCTGTTTTCATGGAATGACAGAGATGAGGGCAAAATTATGACAGTTTTTATAAAGAAAGAAATGTTGATTTGGTTTAAAGCCTGCCTTTTATTTTGATGTTATAGCTTTCTGATGTTTTGTTGTTCTTTCTTTTATGAAACTATAGTCATTGTAGATTATAGATGGTAGATTTTCCCCTCCTTCACCTATTTATTTACTTATTTTTTTATGTTTGCCTCGCACTAATAAACTTCTATTTTGCTCAAATTAGAGCAGTAATCTTCCATACATAAGTATCTTCCCTGCCCAATAATTTAAAGAAAAAATCCAAAATGATTAGTAAAGAAAAATATAAGAATTAACCGTCCCTTTAAATTTGTTTTAAATATTTTTAAGGTTTAAAAAGGGTTTAAAGTTTGTAATTCCTAGTAGGAAAATATTATCTGAATGAATACCCTAATGGCAAACCATGGTAAATGCTTCAGCTGCATTTGGGGGAGAGGGATATGGATTATCTTCAAAGCACCCCTGAGGTACGCTGGTTTGTATTATTGCAACATCCATAAGGTGATCTAGGTTGCTTTTCCTTCAGCACGGTCTTTATCAGAAGGACATTACTCTTGACCTCCAAATTTGGCTGACAATTTACTGATAAGATTCATAACCTTTGGGTTGCCCTGGTATTGTGACATATTTGCTGGGTTTTGAGCCACATCCTGGAAGAGGCCACCATAACTTTGGGATCCTGCACGGCTGCAAGAACCTCTGGATCACTAAGAATTTCATTGAGTCCAGTTATTCCGGCCATCCCAGGCATGCCCCCTCTCATTCCAAGCATTCCCCCAGGAAGTCCATCTGGAAAAGAGCCATACTGAGCTACTGACTGTCGTCTGGCTTCTTCCTCCCTCTGGGCTCTCTCTTGCTCTTCTCGAGCCTTCTTAACTCTTTCTATTCTTTCTTTGATCTCTCGCTCTTCACGTTTTTGCTCATACTTTCTCTGATGTTCCGCAATGTCTGTGCCCTAGGCTGAACTTCTTTCAGCATTGCACTAGCATCTTCATCATAATCCAATTTACAGGCAAGGGCAAGATCATGGGCTGCTCCTTCCCAGTGGCCTAGAAGTCTGTGTGCTTTACCTCGCCACTTGTAAGGCTGAGCTGAAATAAATTTCAACGGCTCTGTCACAGTCTCGGATGGCAGCATTTGGCTTCTGTAATTTGATGAAGACACTGGCCCTCTTGGCATACAAAATGGCCAACTGAGGATTCAGCTTGATGGCATCTGTGAATAAGTCAATGGCTTTCTGCAGTTCACCATCATTTAGGGCTTCAATAGCAGCCACTTTCTTATGATTTGCCTGATCCATCATCTCCTCTGTTATCTCTGCATTTTCATCTCCCATTTCTTGAGGGGCATCAGGGTCTGGTTCAATCACATCTTCATTATCAATTAATAGATTACTTTCCTCACTTGATGGTTCGTCTGCCTTTAAGTCTTCCTCCACCTTCTTACTATCAGGTTTTTCTTCCTTGGTATTTTCTTCTGATTTAACTTTCTGAGTAGCAGGTGATAGTTTACCCCCCATGCTCTCCACCCACTCCCTCAGGAAGTGCATTTCCTTGGTGTGCAGAACGCTCAGATCCTGCTTACACATTTTCACAAAAGCCCGAAGTGCATTCACTTTGTGGGGGTCCATGGTCGGGAGGCGGTGGACGAAGCTGAGGGGCCGTGGCCCGGTTCCAGGCCTAGGCACTGGCTCAGTGTGACTGCGCAGAAGGGGGCACCTATTTATTTTTTAAATGTCCTTATTTAACAAAATGAAAACGTAGCACCTATCTAGGTGCCTAAAATCCAAAGTTTTGAAACCAGAGATCTAAAAAGATTTAGTTTGCATCGTAACTTCCAGAAATGCCTTGCATTACTGTGGCAAAAAGCAGGAATTGCTAGCATTTAAGTAGGAGTAGGGAGGTTACGTCTCAAGAAGGGTGTTCAAGGACCCCTTTCTCACTGAGTAGGAGGTCAGATCTTTTAAGCTTCTCTTCCCAACATTAGAATCAGTCATCCCCCCAAAATTGGACATTTATTTCAGTCACTTTTAGGGAGAGATCAGTGTTGAGGGCACTTAGTGGTAGAGTGAGAGCAGGGGTTGGTGGGTGAGAAAGTGAAACTGGACAAGAGAAGTTGGGACTCAGAGCTTCCCAGTCCCCAAACAGAAGAGGAACTGGGAAGGTATTTCCAGCTGCGGAAGAGGAAGGTTTGGACACTCTCTTTACATGGCTAGTGTGGCTTCTTCCTTTGAGAGGAAAGAATTCTCTGCTTGAGAGGAAACCCACTGCAGGAACCTGAAGAGAACTAAGCCCACCTAGGTCAGTAACTGGAAACAAGTGGCTCTTCCTCTGTCCTGCATAGCTACACTTAGAAATTTCATGGAAAGGTGTGACATTTTATCAAGACATTTGGCTGCATTGCTCCTGCTGTTTAACCAGAGGATTCAGCAGCAAACAAAATAAGACAAAACAAAACAAAAAAACCAGGACGGTTTAATGAGTGGGACATGAATTGGAACAGGCAGGATGAACTGTGGGTTCCTGTGGTGGTCTGACAAGGATGTGACGAGGACACCTTTCCAGGGGCAAAGTCAAGGCCATGTGCTCTCACAGGAAATTCCCTTCGGTTAAGTTCCTGAAGAGTGTATTGATTTTCTGATACCCTGCCTTATTCAGGTAGGACTTAAAGCAGCTTACAGGAAAACAAGATTTAAAATGTAAGAAGTTAAGGATATAGGGAAAAGAAAGGTAGAGCAGAATGATAAGAGAAAGGTGGGGTTTGTGATCGTGGGAATTTCCGTGCTGGCATCTCCGTGTTGGTTCTGTTGTTGCAGGTACTGGGAGGAGGAGATGAACCCTGCTCCTGTGGAGGCTATGAGGTATTGATGTCGTGTACACATCCAAGGGGTGGTCTAATTATTTACAACTAGGCTCCTGAAAATCAGCCCTGAATCCAGCTTTCTACCTTCTCTTTTCAATATCATTTAATTAATTGAGTCACAGAAACAGCCTTTAATTCATTTAATTCCCTTACATTCTTCTAACTTCTGCCATATATCTCGTGATCTGTGATTTTTCCTTTTGCACTGATTTGATACTATGTAGTAGCAACTAAATATCGTTACTTATACCATAGCAGCTAATCTTTCTTATCAACAAAAACAAATAATGTCCACATTCCTGAAAACAATTAGGCTCTATTTCTAGCCTTGTGAACAAATGCAATTTTGTCACTTACATAATTTGTTATTGATAGAGTAACTTCAGAATTATTTGTAGTACTGCTTCCTGAGACATATAAAATCATATTAATGATTTTTAATAGCAATCAATAATAACATTTATTAAATACCCACGGTGCTTCGAATCTTTCAGTTGGTCAGTCAGCATTTATGTTCTTAATATCACTCCCAAAGCGTCATATAAACAACTTCTTTTTTTTTTTTTTGAGAGGGAGTCTCACTCTGTCACCCAGGCTGCAGTGCAATGGCACAATCTCAGCTCACTGCAACCTCCGCCTCCTGGGTTCAAGCGATTCTCCTGCCTCAGCCTCCCGAGTAGGTGGGATTATAGGCACCTGCCACCACACCGGGCTAATTTTTGTATTTTTAGTAGAGACGGGTTTTCACCATGTTGGCCAGGCTCATCTCAAACTCCTGACCTCAGGTGATCCGCCCGCCTCAGCCTCCCAAAGTGCTGGGATTACAGGCGTGAGCCACTGCACCCAGCCCATAAAAACAACTTCTAACCTCAGGAAGCCTACACTCCAATGGGAAACCAAGGGTGACCCCAGACCAATTTATGCGACTGCTTTATTTCCTTATCCACAAAGTGGGGAGAATGACAGTGCCCATCTCATAAGGCTGTTGGGAACTTTTAACGACATAATACTTGTGGAGCGTGATGGCTGGCATAGAGAAAGCACTGGATAACTGCTTGTTTTCCTTCTTCTTGTTATGATTGGAGAGATTCCGCGGAGGTGGTGCCTGGGAGCTGGCCACACCTCCCCCAGAGGGAATTTCCGAGTTTCACAGGTTTCTCTCCCTTCTGAGCAACGGCAGGTGAGTCAGGGTCGCTTGTGCTCCCCTCCAGCTCTGGGATGTATGCTGTCCAGCTGGTTACGAGTCTCCATGGCATCCGAGGAAAAGTGGAGCTGGCTGAAGGGAGGTGGAAAAGAAGGGCAACAAATTCCAGTTTCTTGTGAAACTTTGTAAACGTAAGGCTCTTATCTCAGTCTGCAGAGCAGAAACAGGGTGAGGGCCATGGATCTGAATGTCTCCACCTGTGCATAAAACATATGATTAGAGCTGAAGACCTAGAAGTCCCTTCCCCAGGCAGGGCATGAACTCTTCTGTTTCTAGAACCATTTAGGGAGGTGACAACTTGGCTTCGTCCCAGAGATTCAGGTGAGGACAGAACAGAGGGCAGGGTGTTCTTGCCCTGAGTTCCCCGCTAATGAGCTAATCCTGGCCCTTCACCTTTGTTTGGCATGAAGTTTACCAGAAAAGGGCATCCTGCCTTTATCCTTGGTTCTCTATACCCTCGCTACTTTTCCTGTGTTTTGTAAACACGGGATGGTGTATTTAGCTTTCTTTTGCTGGAATTATTTTCACCCCATGTCCTGTGTCTTCCTTGTCCAGAAGAAATCATCTTCTAGCCTAAGAGCTCCAGAGAAGGGTGTGCAGGGGACGGCCATGTTCTGATGCATGCATTCAGCTGTGTCGAACAGTCTTCCTGTTTTGCTACTGTCTGAGAATATTCTTTTCATTCTGTGGGCTCCTGGGCCTGGGCTTTCCTTGGCTTATCTCAGGAATCTGCCTCTTGGTCCCTTTCATTGGCTGCCTTCTATGTTTAGGTTTGTAGGGGAAGGCCCCTGGAAGGTGGGTGGGAGAAGAGGCACCTCTCAGGAGAGGCTGAGGCGCAAAGATGCTCTTGTCCACTCAAGTCCATATTTATTTATCTTCTAATATACTTTGTTTGTTAGTTTGTATGCTTGTTTGTTTTGAGGGTCTCCTTCTGTTACCCAGCCTAGAGTGCAGTGGTGCCATCATGGCTCACTGCAACCTCAATCTCCGAGCTCAATTGATCCGCTTGCCTCAGCCTCCTGAGTAGCCAGGACTACAGGTGAATGCCACCATGCCTGGCTAATTTTTTTTTTTTTTTTTTGTAGAGGGTTTTTTCCTGTTGCCCAGGCTGGTCTCAAACTCCTGGTCCCAAGTGATCCGCCTGCCTTAGCCTCCCAAAATGCTGGGATCACAGATGTGAGCCACCCTGCCTGGCCTTCTAATATAATTTGGATATTCCATGGATATTCCCACCTTGATCTACATTAGGAACTTCCTGGAGGCTTGTGCTCAAGAGAGGTAGTATCTGCTTGCTCAGCAAGCAGAGGCTGAGTAAGTGCAGGACTCTGAATATGGTTGTGCAGCAGAGTTGTGGGTATTTGTGGGGACGTTGACCTCAGGCCCAGCATTTAGATTTAGCTAGCAGACATGCCTGGGCAGCTAAACTGGCAATGTCAGACCAAACTGCCTGGCCTGATATTGCCAGGCAGTTTAGCGTATCAGGGCTCTGCTTAGAAGCCACAATGCCAAGGCCTCATGACCATATTCTTCCACCCTTGAGAATCTTGTCCACCTTCATATCCCTCCATTCCTCACGCATCATGTCCTGGGTGGGTGCCCTGACACCTCATTCTCACCTCCATCTCCTTGCTCACTCATGTTTTCCAGGTTGTACTTGAGAGAGCCTAGGCCTTAGCGGTAGAGTTGGTTTCAAGTTGCTGCCCTCCCATCCCCTGGAATGTAACTGGCTTTCTGGGACTTAGTTTTTTTCATTTGTAATGCCTGCCTTGTAGTCCCATTGTGAAAATTAATCAATAATTTGTTTTGAGGGTCCAATATGTGGCAGGCATTGTGGTAAGCTTTAGGGCAGGGGCATAAAGACCAGTTAAGATTTCTCCTTTTTAAAACTTTTATTTTTTTGTAGAGATGGAGTCTTGCTATGTTGCCCAGGCTGATCTTGAACTCTTGGCCTCAAGTAATCCTCCTACCTGGGCCTCCCAAAGGAATTACAGAATGAGCCACCATGCCTGGCTTATCCCTCTTTTTGAATAGCTTTTGGTTAGTGTTAAGAGGCAGGTTCATAAACATAATTTCAAAATAATGCGTAAATGCTAAGATAGAGGTAAGCCTTAGGAGTACAAAAGAAGGGAAAGAATGCTTTTTGGGTAAATGGTGGATGAGCTGGTTTTCTTTCTCTTTCTTTCTTTCTTTCTTTCTTTCTTTCTTTCTTTCTTTCTTTCTTTCTTTCTTTCCTTCTTCCTTCCTTCCTTCCTTCCTTCCTTCCTTCCTTCCTTCCTTCCTTTCTTTCCTTCCTTCCTTCCTTCCCCCCTCTCTCTCTCTCTTTCTTTCTTTCTTCTCTCTCTCTCTCTCTGGAGTTCAGTGGCGTGAATCATAGTTCACTGCAGTCTTAAACTTCTGGCCTCAAGCAATCCTCCTGCCTCAGCCTCCCAAAGCACTGAGATTACAGGTGTGAGTCACTGCAGCCATCCTGGATGAACTGTTTTGAAGGATAGGGGTAGGTTGGGGTGAATGTTCCTGGAAGAGAGAAGTGTGGAATTACAAAACAGTGTGATGTGAGCAGGGAACAATGAAAAGGTAATGTTCAAGAAAAAGAGTGACAGATGCTGTTGCTGGCAAGTAAATAGGGGCCAAGTCATGCTAGGTCTTATAGGTCATGCTAAGCATTTTGAATTCTATCTGTAGGCAACAGAGTTTTATTTTTATTTGTTTATTATTTTTATTTTTTTCACCCGGAGGTGAAACAATTTTATTTCACAGTTGCCTTTAAAACCTCAAAGATACTATTTTCTTCATATAAAAATATTAGTACTGGGGGGAGAGGCCAAGATGGCCAACTAGAAACATCTGTGGTCAGAGGCTCCCACTGGGAGGAACCAAAATGGCAAGTGAATCCTGCACCAGCAACCAGGGTATCCAGGTTCTCTCACTGGGACTGACTAAGCAGTTGATGTGACCCATGAAGAGTGAAGAAAAGCCGGGTGGTGCGACGGCCCACCTGGGAGCCACACGGGGAAAGGGCAGCTCCCACCCCAAGCCAAGGGAGGTGGTTAGTGATCATGCTACCCTGCTAGAAAACCGTACTTTTTCCACGGATCTGCGCAACCCACAGATCAGGAGATCCCACTTTTGAGCTACACTACCAGGGCCTTGGGTCCCAAGCACAGAGCTGTGCAGATTCTCAGCAGCCACTTGACTGGAGACTGCCTAAGACCCCAGTCAAGTGGCTGCTGAGAATCTGCACAGCTCTGTTAAGTTAACTCTGCACAGCTTTGTTAACAGCTCTGTTCTGTTAACTCTGCTAAGAGTTTCCAGGGGGGTGGGGGCAGCCATTATCACTGCAGCTGCCTGCTGCCTAAGATGACTGAGCTCCCCTGAGTTGGGGTGGTGGCCATCATTGCAGCTCATGTCTGCCATTTTTCCCCTGGTGGTTTCATCTAAGCTCATAAGGGAAAGGAATGAGTGGAAGATGTAGGGGAGCTCACTCAGCAGTGGAAGTTTTAAGTGGCAGAGAGGGAAGGTTTGCGATGGAGAGAATAGTGAGAACGGGAGGAGGAGGTTGGAGGAATGTTCTGTGGAGGACAAATGGTGAGACGGGCTTTCTCTGAGGACAATGGTTGTGGTGTGACTAGACTGGCTGGTCCCAAGGGTCCAAAGGGAAGCCACTAGCCTATTAGGGCTGGGCTGGAGCGTACAGGTTCTGGATCTGTAGGTCAGAGGTGGGGGGGTCCAGGAACATGCATTTTTTTTTTTTTGAGATAAGGTTACACTCTATGGCTCAGGATGGAGTGCGGTGATGCAATCACAGCTCACTGCATCCTCGACCTCCCCGGATTCAGGTGATCCTCCTGCCTCAACCTCCCTATAGCTGGGACTATAGGCATGCACCACCACACCTGGCCAGTTTTTGTATTTTTTGTAGAGATGGGATTTCATCATGTTGCCCAGGCTGGTCTTGAACTCCTGGGCTTAACTGACCCACCTGCCTTGGCCTCCCAAAGTTCTGGGATTACAGGCATGAGCCACCACACCCAGCCAGGAACATGCATTTTTAATAAGCAACCTGTGACAGTGATGCAGATGCTGAAGGCCCCACAAGATGCTTATTTAAAATGCATTTTCCTGGACCCCACTCCAGATTTAGGAGCCATAACTTTTTGTGTCATTTTAACCAGCTCCAAGGTGATTCTTATGTGCCCTCGAGTTTGAGCTCCCTGGCTGGAAGTCTTCGTGGTCTTGGGCACATAGTGTTAGGTGGCATTCACTGAGGTAATGTAGGTACAACACCTAGTACAGGGTCTGTCTGGTCAATGACAGTTATAATGCACACTGGGACCCTTGGTGACATTGGTGGCTTACAGGAGGGTATGCAGGTCCAGTTCATTCCGGTAAGAGACTGATTATTAGCCGATGCACACAGCATCCAGAGGATGGGGGAAATATTTCTTCACTTTCTTGGAATATTTCTACTCCTTCTTGGTCACACCTCTGGGGGGCTGTCTTGCTCTGGTCTCCCTTCCTCTTACGCAGTCCTCTTCATCTTTCATATCTGCTGGCCTTTCTAGGTCCTACTGCAGTTCTGAAGGGGAGGATCATCCTGGGAGGTCCATGTGTGCCCAGGGAGCTCAGGCCCTTCAGTATCTTTGGTGTAGACCGTGAACAAGACACACAGCAATGACTACCTCTCCTGGCACCTTCAACACTATTTTGTGAACAGTTTATCTCTTTTCTCTGTCTTTTTCTCTGTCTTACTGATGGCTCCTCAGAAGTGAGTAGAGGGGAAAAGGAAGGAAAGGGGTGATGGGATGAAGTCCTTTCTGCTCCCATTATCATTCAGATTGAGATTGAATCAGTCATGTAAATGAATGGGCAGATGGACATCCTGCATACCGACCTTATGTATTATTATTATTATTATTTATTTTTTTTTGTAAAGATGGGGTCTCCATATGTTGCCCAGGAGCAAAGACCATGACTTATTTGGGCTAATGTCAGTTCCTTTCTTCTCTAACTATTCACAGTTAAAGACATTGATGACCTCCTCCCATAAACCTAGGCTAGCTCTAATTTTTTTTTTTCTTTGAGACAGGGTCTTGCTCTGTAGCACTGTCTCAAAGCCTGAAGTGCAGTAGTGAAATCACAGGTCACTGCAGCCTTGAATTTCTGGGCCCAAGGGATGCACCTGCCTCGGCTTCTTAAAGCACTGGGATTGTACTTAGATTTTAAGTCGGGTTTAAATCCTACCTTTGGTAGCCAGTCCTTCCCATTTCCTCCAGGGCACATGAATCTGAAGCTCTTGAAATTCTAATCAGTGGCACAGTAGTCAGAGTTTGAATTAAGCAAATGTTTATTGAGCTGTGCTGGTTCTAGATGCTTTGGGCAGTCCACATAAAAGACCTCAGTGACTAGTAAATGGAAAACTCAGGAAATGTCAGTGGTGTTGAGACATCCCTTAGAGAAAGGAGAAAGGAGACCTAGGAGGGGCTGGTGTAAAACCTCTCTGAGCAAGGCGAGAGGGAGAGAGCCAGAGAGAGGGCTGGAAAAATCACAGCAAGTAAAAAAGAAAAATGAGAAGACAACTGCAAGTGAAATGAACTTGGTGAGCTTATGTGTGAATGGCCAGGTTTCTAAGCCAGGGGAATCAGATCAGGTGGCGGGTGATGATCTTATGACCTGTGGATCCTGGAAGGGCAGGGAGGAGAGGTGAACATCAGTAAGTGAGGAGAAAGAGTAAGCAAGCAAACAAACAAACAAGAAAACAAACAAAACCAAAACCCTTGAATCAGTCATGTAAATGAACAGTCAGATAAACATCCTGTGTACTGACATAACCAAGGGTCGCAGTGCATGCCCTAACTATCAGACTCTGACAGTTTCAGGGAGTGTGGCTGGTTATTGAATCCAACCAATAAATGAATGCTGTTAATGTTAACTTAATGTATATGCCTATGACCTTGTATCTGAGTACTGGCCCTGTGTTTCTGATCCCTGCAGGGGGTGGGCAGTAGGGAGTGGCTAGGGGATGTGGCAACCTGTCGCTAATTTACAACCCTCAATCATGAGGTAAGAATTGGAAAATCATTCCATCATTCCAGGATGTCCGTCCATCATTCCAGGGTGTCCATTTGACCACTGAGTAAGAGCCCATCTCTGCCCTCTGGAGCTCCCACGTGATCCAGGAAGAGAAGTATATGAACAAGCCACAATGGTTTGAGGTTTACTGAGCAGACCATAAAAGGAGGTGGAAGCTCCGTTCCATGAAAGAACAGATAAAGAGGAATTAGGCTCAAAACACCTTCTTGTGTTGGTTTTTTCCCTTTCTCAACTAGATTTTGGGTTCTTGGAGGATAAATGTTGTACCTTCTTTTGTCTCTCCTATGACACTTAGCATGTCTGGTATCTTGGAGCATACAGCAGGTGCTCAATAGTTGCTTGTGCTTACTCATTTGAATGCCTACAGGGCCTGTAACATGCCTTGCAGATGTTAGGTATTTGGTTTTTGTTAAATAAATGAAATTGATATTCTCTCCTTTTGATCCCATTTCTTCATTTTCCTCCTGTCTTCCAAGGATTTGTATATAGGTGCTTATTAAAATGAATCATAAAGTGGTTGATGACTTCAGAACAAAATTTAACTACATTAACAATCAAGACATTTCACCTGTAACATCAGCTAAGATGAATAAAAATGAGATCACTTCCAACATTAATGAGGTTGCAGGCAAATTGAACTTTCCTAAATTGTTAAAGGGAGAATAATTGTTTGAGTGTTTTGGAGGGCAATTTGACACTATTTGTCAATAGCCTTAAGAAAGTGCATACCCATCCTGGCTAACATGGTGAAACCTCGTTTCTACTAAAAATTCAAAAAATTAGCCGGGCACGGTGGTGGGCGTCTGTAGTCCCAGCTACTTGGGTGGCTGAGGCAGGAGAATGGTATGAACCCGGGAGGCGGAGGTTGCAGTGAGCCGAGACCGCGCTACTGCACTCCAGCCTGGGCAACAGAGCGAGACTCCGTCTCAAAATAAAAAAACAAAAAAAGAAAGTGCATACCCTTTGATCAGGATGTTCAACGTTTTTATCTTAAGGATGATTACTGCTGAGTGGAAAGAATTATGTGGAAGGAAGATAATCACAGCATTGTCTATGATAGTGAAAATTGAAAACATCTTAAATGCTAGCCAGTAAGGGATTATGTGATTAATACCTTGAACCACTTATAATAATGTGTTAGAAAAGTAACTGAAAAATGAGAACATGTTAAAAATAAGTAAAAAAAAAAAAAAGTCACAAGACAATGTAGACCATTCAGGAAGCTGGTATGGTAGGAATTCTGCTCTGTTCCTCACAGTTATGTGGCCTCAGGCAGGTTGCTTGACTTTTTGTTGCACAGAAATTTTCTTTTCAGTAAATTGGAGACATTGTGTCTCCCCTGCAGGTTGCTATAAAGATTGGTGAGATGTTTGTATAGCACTTGGTCCTGTGTCTGACAGGTAGTAGATGTTCAGTTAGCAGTGAATATTATTACCTGATTTCTGTAAAAAAAAAAAAGCACCCTCATATTTATATTAGCACAGTAAAAGAAAGGTCACTGGAAATTACAGCAAATGTTAGCAGTGTTGTCTCTAACTGGTGACATTGCAGTCATTTTTATTTCCTTCTTTGAGTTTTTCCCTTTTACTAATGAACATAGATTAATATTACAACCAGAAATTAAATACTGTACTTAGAAAAGAAAAGGTGCTAGGCTTGTATTAAAAATGAAAGAATTAAAGAGATGAGTTACTGATTCCTTTCTTTTAGAATGATAACCTTACCTGGGTTATCAAAGATAACCTTATCTTAGGGATGATCTGTTTAACATCATTTTACTGTTGGGGAAACAGAAGCTCTGAGAAGGAAAGTGACTTGTCTAAAGTAATAAATCAATTAATAGCAGGTTTCACATTCCTTGAACCAGTACTTTTTCAATCTACTAGTCTCTCTTTGAGGACACGGGGCTCAAGAGAGGGGCTGCTTTAGTCCCGGATAGGCCCCAAACCACTAGTGTCATCAGTAGAATGTCCCTTCCTGACTCTCCCAGGAAGCAACTTTTGCTTCTTTTCCCCTCCCAGGCAGTACAGTGCTAACCTAGGAGAAAAGGGTCATGGGGACCTGCACACGTGTTCCTGGTCCTCTCTGTGAGTGGACCCCAAGGGGTGCTCCTCAGCAGGCCAGCGGCATGTGCTATTTGGACATTCACCCTGTGTGGATGACAGCATTATGCTTCCTTTTTCTCTTATCAGCTTCAATGTATGCATGTATGTCATGCTGCTTCTGAATACTAATTTTGTCTGGATTGATTCATGTTCAGAGTGTTGGTGCTGCTGGCTGCTAGGCTTAGCATGAGGTTCTTCCTGTGTTTTGTAATTTTGGATTTGCAGGCTCATGTGGAATGGGAGGCTTTTGGATTTTTTCTTCTTTCTCTTCTGATTGTTCAACTGCACCTGTCTAGAGGTTTTGCAGTTGCTTCCTCCTGTCCCTCTGAACCCCAGGTCTAGAAACGCCTCATGAAGGTGGCTGGTGACAACAGATACTGGAGACAGCACAGTGGGTGGCTTGTCTCAGTTCCTGGAAGGGAGGCTTTGTCCTTCCCCTCCCCGGGCCCATGGCTCCCCAGGAATTTGTAACCCCAGGTAGCACTGGGCAGCCGTCCTGGAGCTTCAGCCTTGCTCACTGCTTTGGGTTTATCTTCCTTTTCTGATCCAAAGAGATATTCATACATATTTTTTTCAGCTCAACTATATCTTTTTTTTTTTTTTTAGAGACAAGTTCTCATTCTGTCCCAAGGCTGGAGTGCATTGGCACAATCATAGCTTACTGTAACCTTGAACTCTTGGGCTCAAGCGATCCTCCCTCCTCAGCTTCCCAAATAGCTAGGACTGCAGGTGCTTGCCACCACACCTGGCTATTTTTTTTTTTTTTTTTTTTTTTTTGTAGAGACGGGGCTTTGCTATGTTGCCTAGGCTGATCTCAAACTCCTGGCCTCAAGCAATCCTCCCACCTTGGCTTCCCAAAGCACTGGGATTACAGGTGTGAGCCACGGCAGTGGGCAGGAACTATATCTTTTGGTTTTCTCTTTTTATACTTTATGTACTATTGCAATGTGTTTGGAATAGCGGAGGTGCAACCAATCCAGATTCATTGTGCTATCTCGACCTAACAGGTGGTCTTTTGGTTGAGGGTGGGCACTTGGCTCTCAGGGATTGGCTCTGAAACCTCAGTGGTAAGGCGTCTTCCAGAGCAGCGGCGCCCCCTGGTGGCACGCGGTAGGATGGGCGGCAAAGAAGCACTCGGCGTGGGCGGGGCGGGTGGGGGTCGCAAGGCCACTTCTCTCCTTCCTGCAGGTTCTCAGAGATGGAAGGTGTCTTAGAGGCGGTGAGACCAACTGCCCACACAGTGTGGTCGCCCATCTATGCCACACCCAAAAATGGTCAGTGTCAGCTGGATCCACTCCACAATTTGGTCAGCTGTGTTTCCAAGGAGCCCTTCTTGTACTGAGTGGTTTCTCCTTGTAGCTCTCAGCCATGGGTCCTAGTTCCGCCATTTGAAGCCGCGCATAGCAAATGTGGCCCTTCTCCGTATTCTCTCAGATGTTTGAGGGCAGCATTAGACATTTCTTCTTCCGGCTCTCTTTCAGCCGGCCCCTCCAGACGATGGCCATTCCTGTTGCCTTGGTCCGCAGGAACGATGGGTTATGCATGAACTTTGTAGAACATGGCCTTGTCTTCACCAACGCGGAGGAGAGCCCGTTCGGTTCCAGAGAGGATGCTGCCTCATCTCGTCTCTAAAAGAGGAGGAAGGGGAGCAGGTCCCTTCACGTTCTCTGGTCTCAGCTGAGAACTCTCCCTGGAAGTAGCGGGCCGTGAAATGTTTCACAAGGTAGCATCTCCCTCTAGTGGCCACCATGGTCTATTTCAAGATGCTTTCCTCCCTTCCCCTGGCCCTCGCTTCTCAAGGTTTTTTTTTTTTTTTTTTTTCCCCCACCTCAAAAAGATCCACTGAGATGTGACAGGGTGAGCTGTAGATTGCAAAGTCCCCTATCTGGCCTTCTGACTAAAATGAACTGATTCTGCAATGGTGACTGGTGAGACAGAACTCAGATTCAATTTCTATGTTTCTCATGATTATCCTAAGCCAAAATTTGCAAATGGTTATACACATGTTAATTAGTATTATTCCCAGAAACTGTAAAATAATTGTTCTTCTTTTAGGTGGTTTCCTTATTGATTGGCTTTTTTTGTGTGTGTGACTTTCTCTGTCCATCTCTACTTGCTAATGGTTGAACTGAGGTGGTTTTTTTTTTTTTTTTTTTTTGAGACAGGGTCTCACTTTGTCATCCAGGCTGGAGTGCAGTGGTATGATCTTGGCTCATTGCAGCCTTGACCTCCTGGGATCCAGCGATCATCCCACCTCAGCCCCCAAAATAGCTGGGACTACAGGCATGTGCCACCACACCTGGGTAATTGTTTTGCATTTTTTGTAGAGATAGGGTTTCGCCATGTTGCCCAGGCTGGTCTGGAACTCCTGAACTCAAGCGATCTGCCCGCCTCGCCCTCCCAAAGTGCTGGGATTACAGGTGTGAGCCACCGTGCCCGGCCGGGTTCTTTAAGCGGCAATAACCAGATGCCTTCACACACCAGTACAAGTGAAGTTGGGGAGGTAGCTGGAAGGAGAAGGGAGCAACAAGGGAGCAAGAATGTCCACAGAGCCTGCATTTGGATCTGAGGTTACACTCCAGCAGGAGTCCTGGATCTTTGCTCTGGCTCTCCCCCAGTAAGGCGACCTGGCTTCTGTGAGCAGGTCCTCCATTCTCCGCTCGCCACTGGCAGCTCCCTTGCCTTGTTTTCTGCACCTGCCTCTTCCCTGCGCCACAGCTTCTGCTGATTCATAACTTTGGTTTACCCCTCACTCACTGTGGTCCCTTCAGCCTCTCTCCACTTGCTGCACTCCAGGACATTTCAGCCTTGGCTCCCGCCACCAACGGACTGATTTTCTTGACATTTTCCAGTTTTGCTTTCTGAGATAGAAATCTAATTGACACACCCTTCCCCTTTTTCAGGTGCTGGGCCACTTCAAAAGTCTCTAGCCAGCCAATGAATGAGCTGTTTGGGAGTCTGCTTCCTGTTGCAATTAGCTGGGCAGGGGAGAGTGTGCCATAAAACAGAACTGCCCTGCTGGGAAGTACCTGTGGCAGGGGATGAGGGCAGGCGGTTTCCTTTAAATGGGGATGTAGGTGCGGCACATTATAGAGCTATCCCATCTGGGAGCTCACATGTAGCAGCTGTGAGTTGGAACCCTTGTCTGGGAGCTGGGTGATTTGGTCTGCATTGAAGGGGGCTAGGAGCTCCCAACAGCATGGAAGTTTCAGGACATCTTGTGGTGGGATTCATCTTCTCCATTTGTCCTGCTGTGTTTCTCATTTTCATTGTATGATCAGTTTCAAGGAGAGGCACAAAGAATGGCTTGTGTGCCCCTGAGAGGGGCGTCATCAGGACTTACTTTGTGGACAGGTTGGTTGGGTGATGAGGTCCAATGTCATATTAAGGCAGAGGAACTAGGGAGTGGGGATGGCAGCCTACAGCTGGTTAACAGGGCAAATTTGGTTGAATTTGGAAAATGGTACCATTTCTTTCACACACCCCACTGACATCTTCTAGAAAACTGCTGTAGGAACTAGAAAAACCTGTGATGACCATGATGTGAAAGGAGCCCAACAGTGTTGTGCAATGCAAAACTTGCACCGCTGTTAGTAGCTGCCTTACCAGGATCAAGCTGCACACCACATCCATCTCAGCCTGCCTTGCATCTGCGAGTGTCCTGCAGAGATCTCAGGTGGCCACTCAATAGGAGTCCCTCACATGCCTTCCATTCAGAGGACACAGATGCATAGGTTTGGGGATATAGAAAACTTTGGGGGTAAAAGTGGGAGAAAATTAGCATTTCTTGAGTATTTATATATGCTAGGGGCTATGCTAACTATTTTACTTACATTGTTCATATTTTTGCATGAAAGCTGTGTTGTAACTATTACTACTTTCATTTTACAGCTAAGAAAACTAGGCACTGAGGTTCAGCTGCAGCTGCTGCTTTGGGCTGCACAAATTGCATATTTGTAATCAGGAAATGCTATTCACCTGTAATTCAAGTGACCATGTTGGTTACAAGGGGAGCCAGTATATCACTTGCCCAAGTCACATGGTGAAGGAGGAGCAGAGCTGGAATTCACACCCAGTCTGAATGACTCCAAAGCCCATGTTCTGTCTGCTACACAAGTCTTTTGAAGACCCCACAGGAGTAAAAAGTGACCAAACTTAGTTTTTTTTGTTTTTCTTTCTTAGAGAAAAGTTCCATTCCTGTATTCTCAAATCAAATGCAGAAAACATGGAATTTTATCCACAATGACAGCAACCTCTTAGAAGGAAAAGTGAGCATCTACTATGTGTGATACCTGTGACTGTCCCAGGTGTTGGGCTATAAATAAGACAAAGTCCAGCGAAGGCTACATGAGCTGGATTGTGACCAGAACAGCACCATTTGATGAAATTAATCTGGGAACTGGATTTAGTTTCCGAGTTAAAGGTTCTCCACCCCACAGAAATTTGGTTTTAGTTGGTCTGATGAGGGACTCAGCATTTCAATATTTCAAAGGTCCCTTGGTAATTCTAATGCACAGCTGGGATTGAAAGCCACAGATCTAGTCCAGCCCTTGATTGAGAAGCAGGTGTCAAGGTCACTCAGCTGGTTAGTGTAGCTGTTGAGTGTGGGCTGGTCCCTCATTGGATTTGCTGTTGTGCCTTGAAGGGCAGGGGAGGGGGATGCAAAAAGTGGGAAGAAAGAAGTGATTAAGCTGTTGGAACAAAGAGAAAGGCCCCATTTGTCTCTACTAGGTGATGTGGAGGGAGGCCCTGAGGACACTTTCTTATTCACTGGGAGTGCCCAGTACCTGCTCGGAACAACCAACTCATATTAAGTTGATTCTTAGAGGGTATTATCATCATAGTCATCCCTCAGTGTCCACAGGGGATTGATTCCAGGACATACTCCCTGCCTGCAGATACCAAAATCCACAGATGCTCAAGTCCCTGATATGAAATGGTGTGGTATTTGCATATAACCTACAATTCTCTCATATACTTTAAATCACCTCCAGACCACTTATAAAACCTGATGCAATGTAAAATGCTATGTAAATAGCTTTTTTAGTGGGTTTTTAATTTGTATTTTCTTTTTCTTTTTCGAGATAGAGTTTCACTCTTGTTGCCCAGGCTGGAGTGCAGTGGTGCGATCTTGGCTCACCGCAACCTCCGCCTCCCAGGTTCAAGCGATTCTCCTGCCTCAGCCTCCCTAGTAGCTGGGATTACAGACGTGCGCCACCACACCCAGCTAATTTTTGCATTTTTAGTAGAGACAGGGTTTCTCTATATTGGTCAGGCTGGTCTCAAACTCCCGACCCCAAGGTGATCCACCTGCCTTGGCCTCCCGAAGTGCTGGGATTACAGGCATGAGCCACCGTGCCTGGCCTGTGTTTTCTTATTGTTATATATATTTTTTGGTTTGTTTTGGAATATTTTCTATCTGCAGTTGGCTAAATCTTCAGATATGGAACCCCAGGATTGGAGGGCTGGCTGTCTTGTGAGCTGAAATCAGATGTGACTCCTGCCAGGAAATCGCCTGCTCTTGTTATTTGTTAGGGTGCGAGGCAAAGCTGTTGTAAGAAAAACATCCAAGAATACAGTGGTTTAAAAAATGTTGTGGATTACTTCTCTCCCTCATTTAGCAGTGTCTGGGGAGTAGGTGAGCTCATTGATTCCACAGGGTCACTCAGGAACCCAGCATCATCCCCCAAGACCCAGGGCCGTAGGCTAAGGGGCAGCCACATCTCCCTCGGATTCAGGCTCCAGGGCGTGAAGGTGTCAGCTATTTCTATGGTGGGAGATGACTGACCCCTGGCCCTGTGAAGCTGGTGGGCATGAGGTACGAGGCAGGTGGGTCAGGGGCTTTAGGCTGCTCTAGGCCCCACGCAGGTTCCTTCTGCCGCCTCCAATTCTCAAGGAAATTCAAGGGAGAAGTGTGGCACCGGGGAAGGATGGATCCCATAGTAAGGACTGAGAAGTGGGGGTCAGGGCAGGTCTTCCTTAGGCGCCAGAGCGGCAGTGGTGGTGAAAGCCGTGCCTTGCAGATGGTGAGCTTGTGGGTGCCATAGTGGCAGCCTGAGGTGGGGGCTGCAGCAGAGGGAATTCCGCTTCAGGGCTGGCTCCTGAGTCCCTGAGGCCATGCTGCCTCTCAGAGAAGGCTGCGGGACCTGCTGCCACAGCTGGTGAGAGCTTAGATGATCACAATTTGGGAACTGAATGTAAACGTGGTCTGACTTTGTGGTCTCCAGGGGTGAGATCTAGAACATTCTGGTAATGATTTCATAATCCTCCCCCACTCTCAGGGAGGCCCCTCACTCACTAATGGTGAAAACTCCTTCTGTTTAAAAATTCTTTTAAAGTTGTCAACTTTTGTCTCTGCTTTTGTGTTTGTGTCTGTTTGTCTATCCCTCTCTCCTTGTTCTCTCTTTTTTTTTGAGACAGAGTCTTGCTCTATCGCCAGGCTGGGGTGCAGTGGCGCGATCTCAGTTCACTGCAAGCTCTGCTTCCCGGGTTCAAGGGATTCTCCTGGCTCAGCCTCCCAAGTAGCTGGGATTAAAGGCATGTGCCACCACGCCTAGCTAATTTTTGTATATTTAGTAGAGACGGGGTTTCACTGTGTTGGCCAGGATGGTCTCAATCTCTTGACCTCGTGATCTGCCCACCTCCCAAAGTGCTGGGATTACAGGCGTGAGCCACCATGCTCAGCCTGTTCTCTGTCTCTTGTATCTCCCCATGACCTTCAGTGTTCAGACACTGGGTCACCTCTCATTTCCTAAATGTCTGTTCTCTTTCTTGCCTCTCCAAGTTCAGCTGCAGAGCAGCTGCATTCCTCAGTAGGCAGTGGGAGAGACTCTGTCTTTCTCCTGCGCTGCAGCCCGTCTCATCACAGGCTTCAGGTGGTCCCTTTGGGCTCCCACAGCAGTCAAGCTTCCTGCGCATGATTAAAGGGATGCTGGTGCTTCTGAAATAAAGCACCAGGGGCAGAGGCTGATGGCTCAAGCCCAATCCCCAGGTCTCCCAGAGCTGGCTTCCCTGGTAGGCAATCACAGACTTTGCAGGGAGGAGCCATCTCCTTTGTTCTTATGTGTTGCTTCTTTCTTGCTACCCAGGCTCATGTTAATTGCTTTTCTGACATTTTTTCTGGCAAGTGATTTTTGCTGCTGCTTGTGGAGGTGACATGGCAAGCCCACAAGGGAGCGATAACAATGACCTAATGCAGAGCCGAGGAGGCTGGGGCTCCTATACGGGGTAGAAGATAATGAAGTTGAGTCATGAACAATTTGTTCTAAATGGTCAGTGAGATAGGCTCAGAGCCTTCAGAAATGAGAGTAGCCTGTGGCCAAGGCTTTCCTGAGAAGTTGTTCCCTCGGCCTTTGTAGTTCTGGCAGACCACCCTTCCTGGTGCAGGGACCTCAGGATGTGGGAACCTGTGCACAGGGCTAGATGATTCCTAAGGTCTTCCAAGAGCTTGTGAATGTCGGCAGCACAGAGACTAGAACTATGATGATCCTATCTTCCCAGCTACCTGTCAGAACACGTAGTCTGGTAATCCAGCAACTCCATTAGCCCAGATATTTATTCCACTTACTCTGTGCCAGGCATGGTGTTAGCTGGAGACATGACAGTAAATGGGTCACAGTTCCTACCTCAGTTCAGCTCACAGCCCGGATGGGAGACAGACCCACACTTAGATAATTATAATGCAGCAGGGCGAGTACCAGGATCCAGTGATGTATGGGGGTTATTCTGAGCACAGAGGAGAGGTCTCAGGGGCCAGGACAGGCTTCCTGGAGGCAGCACCAACACTACTGAGTCTTGAATAAGCAGAAGTTATAGCTGGGCCAGGCCAAGGGGAGTATAGGGGTGAGGAGGGAAGAGCTGATTTCTTCTCCTGCCTGAACCACCTGTTTAAAAGCAACATGGGGAAACAAAGCCATATGAAGAGGGGAAGTTGACAAGCACAAGTCCCTTGACTCTACAGAACAAATTTTAATCTCCCTTTCTTTGTACGAGGGTCTCCAACTCAGTGTCCAGCCACCCAAGCTCTAGCCTGTGGGGACCCTTCATAACTCCTCCCAGGGGGTCAAGGCAACCCAGCATTTCCTGGGGGATGCAGATGAGTGTGGCCTAATAATTCTTGCTCCAATCAGCGACTGTCTAAAATGTGGGCAACCTGAGCACCCAGTGCCATCCAGAGCTCAGGGTAGGTGCTCATCATGTCCTTGATTGCAGCTGCATGTGTGTTTGCCTCTTACCTGTCATGATGATCAACAGGAGCTCGGCAGTTGTAATCAGCAACGAGAGTTACACATGTCATTAGGTTTACAGAGTAACATGGGCCAGGCCAGAAGATATGTCTGCAAGAGGTCTCCTTGGTATGGCCAGCTATGGCCAGAGGAATAATAAAGGCAAGGCCTTCCCAGGTGGGCACCTCTGCTATTTTCTACTGGAGGCAGGGGCTGAGTCCTCGAGTGGGGAAATGCCGATGTGGCCAGTTTCTCTAAGGACTCTGGGGCTCTGTTGGCCCCTTGGCTACATTTCTTGACTTTGCCATTGTTATTATTAGCTTTTCTAGGTGGATAATGGGATAATGGGAGGCAATGTGGTTAACATTTTTTTTAAAAAAAATAAATGTTGGCCGGGTGCGGTAGCTCATGCCTGTAATCCCAGCACTTTGGGAGGCCAAGGCCAGTGGATTACCTGAGGTCAGGAGTTTGAGACTAGCCTGGCCAGCATGATGAAACCCTGTATCTACTAAAAATACAAAAATTAGCCAATGTAGTGGCTCATGCCTGTAGTCCCAGCCACTTGGGAGGCTGAGGCAGGAGAATCGCTTGAACCCAGGAGGTGGAGGTTGCAGTGAGCCGAGGTTGTGCCACTGCACTTCAGCCTGGGTGACAAGGGTGAAACTCCGTCTTAAAAAAAAATGTATTGTGTGTATCGAAGGTATCCAACATGATGTTAATGTGATTTTATGAAAAGCAGCCTTTGCAGTCAAGTAGACATGAACTTGAATCTTAGCTCTGCCACTTCAGCTGTGCAGCTTTGAACACTTAACTTCTTTCAATGTGAGTTTCTCATCTATTAAATGGGGTTAATCATGTCTATTTGTATCTATTTCCAAAGAGTGTTGTGAAGATCCAAGGGGATAGCACGTGTAAAGCACATTCTTCTTACCTTTTATCTCCCTGAGCTGAGTGTAGAGGCTGCAGTCATTCATTGAACAATTGTTTATTGTCTACTTATTGCTAACCATTGTTGCGGGTTCTGCGGAAACAGTAATGAACAAAAGTCTCTGTTCTCATCAAGTTCACATTCTGGTGGGGAAGCTTGAAAATAAGTAAGTAAACTAAGCAGGATAACTTCAGATAGTGATAAAAGCTATACAGAAAAGGAAACAGGCCCATAGGATAGAAGTGATTTGGTGGGAGGCCTGAAGAGGCTTTAGGGAGCACAGTGGTCTTTGAACCAAGACCTGGAGGCCAAGAAGGAGCTGGGCCTGCGGAGACCTGAGGAAGAGCATTCCAGGCAGAGAGAAGAGCAAGGGCACAAAGTGCTGAGGTGGGAAAGCATTTGGCAAGAAAGAAGATGCTTGCAGGAGGAGCACTGTGAACCCTGGGGAGTGTGGGATGAGGAGAGGAGCAGGAGTGAGTTCCATGCATGTTCCCAAACTCTGTGCTGAGGTGTTCTTGGAGCTGCTGTGGATTCAGAGGGGCTCTTTGAGATATTTTAAAGGCCAAAGGCAACACTCAACTTTTGTTGGGCTCCATGCAAACTACTAAGTAGTGCAGGATAGCTTGAAGACTCAATATTAGATTGCCCTACAGTTTTTTTTTTTTTTCCTTGAGATGGTGTCTCACTCTGTTGCCCAGGCTGGAGTGCAGTGGTGTGATCTTGGCTCACTGCAACCTCCGCCTCCCAGGTTTAAGAGATTCTCCTGCCTCAGCCTCCTGAGTAGCTGAGAATACAGGCACATGCCACCACGCCCAGCTAATTTTTGTATTTTTAGTAGAGATGGGGTTTCTCTACTACTACCATGTTGGTTGAGCTGGTCTCGAACTCCTGACCTCAAGTGATTCACCTGCCTTGGCCTTTCAAAGTGCTGGGATTACAGGTGTGAGCCACCACGCCTAGCCTGCCCTACATGTTTTTTGATAAAACCATATTTTTCTGAAGCTACATTTTCAGTTTTTGTCATTTGCTGTGACATAAAACACGTACCATGGGAAAATCAATATAGAATAGGAAATGAGGGCGGCAGCGTCTAATCCAATTCCAAGGTCTGAGAAGTTGCGCAGTGCTCAACAAGCACACACATCCCGTTAGTGAGAAGTTGTGGCTAAGAATGAGATAAGTTTTTTTTTCTAGTTTATATGCAATATTTTTTCTAGTGGCTACTAGTTGTTAGGACAGAAATACTTCTTACTTGGGTCTAGCTACTTAATACACAGAACAGTCAGGTATTTCTTTAGGCCTAGGGTTACTGTGAAAAAAAGCATTGAGACATTAAGGGCATGATAAACAGACAAGGTTAGAAACTCCCGGGCTAGGTGATGAGCTGTCATGAAATCTTTCTCATTTCAAGCGCACAACTTCATATTGTTGCCTTTTCATAGACCCAGGGGTGTGTGTTTCTGTGCATTTGTGGATAACCTGAAAACGTCGTCTAGATTTTGTAACTGGGAGGGTCCCCAACCTGCCTGACCATTAGGATCACCTGGGGGAACTTTGCAAAAATAGTTCCCTGGCCTCTGCCCAGGGGATTCTAATTCAGTGGGTCTGACATTTGAATCTGAGTTCAAAGATCTCTGCTCCAACTCGCATTCTTTCAGGCAGCCAGGATGGCCCAAGTGGAGCCGGCCTGCCCAGATTTGGGGGTCCTAGTTGTTATACGTTGTGCCTGGGGCCAGGCTGTGTGGCTTTTTCGGATCCCCAAGACTGGGAAGGGGCGTGGAGCACGTGTCCGTTGGAACCCTGGGGGAGGTCGGTGCTGGAAGCGCTCATCTCCACCTCCAGTCTGGGTGCGCTGCGTGAGTGACCCGAAAGGAAGATGATTCTTGCCGTAGGAAGCCCCTGCCAGGACAGTCACCACCTCCCAGGCCCAGTGGACTCGGACCCGAGCGTCCTCCGGGAGGGTTTCTGGGGCGTGGCGGCTGAGCGCGGTTCGGGGAGACGCGGCCGGGAGGTGGCAGCAGCGGCCCTCTGGCAGACACGGTGCGTGCCGGGGGGCGGGGACGCGGGCGGCTCCGGGCGGGCGTGGTCCCTCTTGCGGGCGCCTGGGCTGGTCGGGCGGATCCCGGAGAGGGGGAGCCGCGGGGACGCAGCGACAGACTCGGGGTGCTGGCAGCGGCAGCCCACGCCTCCCAGGGATTGCAGGCCTGGGCGCCGGGGTTGGACCAGTCTCCCGGGCATGGCACGCCCTGGTTATTCTGTACCCGTGATTTGTGGCGGGGCAAGACGTTAAGTTGGGTGACACCGAGGTGAGCCACGGTCCTCGGCACCAGATGAGGAACCACTGTCTCAATAAGGTGTGACATGGAAAATGTGTGTGTCTTATGTGTGACTGAAAAATACCTCCTTTGCTGACGTCTAAAATTTCACTATTAGAGATGCATTCTTTTGTCCTAAAGATTATTCTCTATTCAAGGCCCTGGGAGGGAGCAGTGCATTAGAACTTGAACTCTTTAGGGTGAGAATGATTTAATCTTATCTTTGTCGGCGAGGGAAGGGTTAGCCCTCAGTGCTCAAGACACAAAGAGGACTGAAGGCGCATTAATTGGTACTTGCTAATCAAGCCTTAGAGACCAGAGCACTCCAGGGGAATTTTACTTTGGAGAGAAATCTCATTGGCCCTGGAGCAGCCCTGTATCCACTTTGTGAATGTTTTAGAGAGGGTTAATGGGGTACTAGCACAGTGTGATTAGTTCAGTTCATTGGATTATCATTTTGTAAAAGAGGCAGCATCTTTACTAGTACTCTAATAAATTATAAAATTATTATATCCATTTCTGTTCCTTGTACCTTCTTTCTTTGAATTAAGAAAATGGTGTGGTAAGGTACAGTGAACTTTTGAGCCAGAAATTCCTGGCTTGGAGACCCCTCTCTGCCATCTGTTGACTGGCTCTGTAATTCTGGAAAACACCCTTTCTAAACTTCAGTTTTCTCATCTGTAAAATGGGAAAAATGCTGCCTACTTGGATGGTGATTGTGAGCATTAAATTAAATTCTGGAGGGAAAATATCTGGTATTTGTGTACTGATTTCAGGTCTCAGTGCTGTGTGTGTAATGGTTACCGTGAGAGCTTCCCTGCAATCCGAATTTGTGTGTCTCATTCTCAGTGACACCAGTGATGCTGTTAAACAAGGACAATCCGGTTCATGGATTGTGACAACGCACGCTGACATCAAGCAGACCCTGCCGTCAGGTACAGAGGGCACCACAGTGACCAGGAACTGCTGTCCTTTCATACCAGGTTTTAGGAGGCTTTACCAGAAGGAATGGAAAATGCTGGTGGGCAGTAAGATTGAAACAGCATCTGAGGACTGGTTCTGCACAAAACCTTAAATTCTTCAAGGACTTTGACATTTGTTTATTCTTGTAACAAATTAAAACCTATCCTGTGTGTTGGTTAGAGATCTTCAAACTGTAAATACCTTGAGGCAGGAGTGAGGTTTTTATCTTTTAAAGGACAGGCCCCTACTCTCCTACGTAATGAGTTTCTAAAAATGGATGTGAGCACCAATCAATATTTCTCTGGTTGTTAAAGTCAAGAATAAAATGGTATTTTTAAGCTCGCAACTGTGTAGGATGAATTCTGTACACTTTTATTTCCCTCTGTTCTCCTTTCCTATTTGAAAGTTTATTAGTTTGTGGACTTGGGATCGGATTATTCATGCATTATTTTTTGATGTTGTATGTCTCTTGGTTCTTGGGTATTTTTGACACATATTCTGTCTTGTAACCATAGTTAAACAATTGTTTTAGACCAACTCTCTGTGTGTAATTGGCTTCAACACTCACTGCTAGTCCTTTGACGCTCTGTTTTTTTCCATTCTTGAGTAATTTTAAGTCATCACTTGGGCAGTTGAAATATATTTTAAAGTGATTTAAAGAATATGTGAGTGGCAGACATTCTGAACTCTTTTGGTTGTCTGTCCTCAAAAACTAAAACTTATTTGTGAGTAAAATTTTCATCTAAGTGTTTTCCATATAAAAACTCTGTCAGCTACTGCTCCATTGTAGTAGACACAAAAAAGTCAGCACAATTTTCATCCCTCCCTCCCTCCCTTCTCTTCCCCTTCCCCTTCTTGCCCTCCTTCCTTCCTTCCTTCTTTCCTTCCTTCCTTCCTTCCTTCCTTCCTTCCTTCCTTCCTTCCTTTTTCTTTTGTTTCTGAATGTACAAAGAAAACACTTAAAAATTTGCTTGTAATTTAAAAACTTGTCAGGATATTTCTGGATTTGAGTGTTTCTTGGTTACTTTTACCTGGAACCTGGTGAACTGAGTCCATTCCTCTGTTTGCCCTTTCTGTACTTTTTTGGAAAGTTTTCTTTAATTATATCTTCAATTATTGTTTCTCTTTTGATTGTTCTAGATTCTTCTTCAGAAACATAACTCTTAGGCTCAATCTCTATTCCTGGTCTTCCATAGCTATCGTCTTCTTTTTAAAGTACTGTATTTTATTGAATCTAAGCTAGTATTTGTTGTAAGAAGCACTATTATTATATGTACAACTAAGGAAGAAAAAATGCTGCCAATTAAACTGTGACATAATGCCATGATTACAGTCCTGTGAAATTGGTAAGTTGCTCACACCATTCTCTCTCTTATTTTGATAGACTTCATCTATTTTGAGGGACTTGGCAGTTGCTCCTGCCTTTGGTTGCATTGTTTGGCATGTGACAGGCAATTCTTTTTGCATGAGTCTCAGTTACAAAACATAACACAGTTTCTACTTAAGGATACCTTCTTTTCTTGGGTCCTGTCAAGCACTTAGTTTAAAAAAAAAAAAAGAATTGCAGTGGTTGGTCCAATAATAGACATTTGCTTCAGTAATATCAAATTACATCCTGCTGCTTGAATTCCATGCCTTTCTGCATACATAATAACTTCTCATTTCAATGCCAAACCATAGTGTAATCTTTTAAAAGACATTTTAAATGGCAATTAAACTCACATGTAATTGCAACAATGTATACAACTCAATTAAAGTGCTAACAACATGAACAACTGAGACCAAGTTCACCCATGCCCAGGTCTTGATGACCTCACCATGGCAGCTCCCTGGCCCAGGGTGATTATAAGATGCCAGTGATTGCAAGACTTGGCCTGATTTCAGAAGTGATGATGTGGCAACACAGACATCTTAGAATTAAGGAAATAGTTTTAATTCTTGGTGCTCTTTCTTGGCATTCTGAAAGTGTTCCTCCAGTTTGCCATCTAAGATATTCCTTAGTTTTCTGCCATGTCCATTTCACTCATTTACTCCTTCCTATATGACTTTTAATTATTGTTTAATAATTTAATTTTCTTGGGAATATCTTTCTCTTGTTACAACCAGTTTCCTTTATATCTTTTCTTGGACTCCATTGGCCAAATTCTCTTTCATAAGCCTGAAGCCCCTAATATTTACCCTGAGACTGTATTCTAGTTAGTAGAATGTGAATGGAGGTGATGTGTGTGACATATAGGACTTCCCCATAAGAGCCTTTAATGAGTTGTCCTCTGTTCTCTTTCCCCTCTTCCAGCTGAGTGCCATGAGAGGACAGTGACAACCTTGGGGCCTCATGGTGAAGGTGGCAGAAACTTTGTTAGCCTGGGTGCTCAGGGTGGACAGCTGCTCTTGCCAACCGGGAACATTTGCCTTGAGCTCTTTTGTAAGTGACAGATAAGCTTTTATTGTACTTCAGCCAAGATACAAACATTGGACGTATTTGTACAGCAGCTAAAGGTACTATAATAATACATATTCTGAAATCACTATGTACCCTAAAATATTTTAACAAAATTCTTGCAATATTTGTATGAGAACTGCTGGATTTTGCTTTCTTACCAAATTTGCTGTTGCTACTGAAAAAAGAGAATAACTTGGACAATGAAATGATCTCAAATGAGGTAATAAAATCATTACTGAATTTTAACAGTCCCATCATTTCTGCCAAAAAAAAGAAGCAGCTTTAGAATGCCATTCTTCTCCAGTGGGTGTGTGCTGGTCTGATTTGCTCGGACGTTTGCAGAGGGAAGAACACTTACAAGTAGTAAGGGGCTGAAGTCTGAGTGGATCATATCTGAATATTGTTTAATATTGTTTTAGATGACATATTTTTTAAAACTCCACTCTTCTAGCTAACTGCTTTCTCTTGATATCCTAAAAGTTTTGCTTCACTGTTTATTTTAAAAGAATCACAATTAGGTCTAACATAAACAAGGGAGCCGGCCCCCCATCACACTTTTGTAAGAACCTAAAATGTCATCTCACATGCCAGTCTTTGAAGCTTATCCTGATATCAGTTTAACTCAGCTTGTTTTCTGTATCTATATATCTATATGTATTTGTGTGTGTGTATATATATATGTATGTGTATATATATGTTTTTCAGTTTCAATTTCATAGGGCCATATTATGTTTTTATATTATAAATGCCAGTTTTAAAACATTTTCTTCTGGTTTCTATAGTAAGTTATCTTCAGAAGTGTGCTCTTTTTCTTAGTCTTCTGGGTGAGGCTCTGTTTCCCTTATTCTCTTATGGTGAATGCTGTTTTTCCATAGGCCTCCTGAGGGTTCCCTCCCCTATATCCCCAATTCCAGCCTGGCACATTGTTTACCTTTAAGCAAGTAGAGCTCCATGGAGCCTTGGTGCTTGCTTGCTAAAAGAGGAAGTGTAGACTGTGCAGATTGTCCTTGGCTTTGCTCACTGCCTTATTCCTAGGTCTGTAGCTGAAGGTCAGTTGTGGTGCACAGCTCCCCAGAATTGAAGGGCATTCATCTTGTGCGGCCCTGCTGAACTGGCATGGGATCTCTCCCTTCCTCTTCTGCCTATTCTCTAACAAACAGAACTGATGGGGGATGTGAAAATCTTACTCTCCAGCACAAACTACCTTTGTGCTTCCTATAAGGCATGCTGTGTGGAAAAAATGCCTTCCAAAACATGACGTGCCATTGCTAATCCTCTTCCCCTTCCTACTCTGTGGTTTCCCAGTAATTGCATTCTATGAATGGATGTAGATAGAGGGAGAGGGAATAGTTCTCCGGCTCCTCCAAAGAGTAGCAGTCATAATAGAGAGCCAGGTTTTCATTTGGCTTGGTCCTGGGTCTCTGAACTGGGGGTAGACAGTAGGAGAGAAAGAAAATGTCTATCATCTTTCGAGACAATGTGCTGTTCTGTTTTCTAAGGCGAAGCATGGACTGTTTGTCTCAATGCAGCTCAGCTTTAGCAGCTTTATTTAGTTAGTAGAGATTCCTTCTAGATTCTGGTAACAGGTTGTTAGTCTTCATTTTCATTATTGTTGTGAGTTTTTGTCATTTTTCTGTGTAATAAATAATTTAGGGAGAAGTTTGGAGACACTTTGTCAGGAACTTCTAGCCAAATGCCATTTTAAACTCTAAGTGGACCTGATTTTATTTTACTTAAAAAAATTAGGTCTGGGAATGAGTTCAGTTTATTTATTCGTCATGTTCTGCTTGCCTTAAACCACTTATGAAGTGTCCGCGGCCTCCAAGGTTGCCTTCCAATGCTTTTCTACATCTCATTGCTGCCTGCACCTTTGGAGGAGGCAGGGTGAGTGAGACCTTTTTTGGTAGCTTGTAGCCATGCCAAGCAGTCATCAGATGGTGGGTAATTTCTTTTACCTAGGGTCTCATTCACGGTTCTTTGGTTGTTAATAATAGAAACCAACTACAGCCAGTTGTGGGGTAGCGGGGTGCGGGAAGGGGAAAGAGTACATTGTGATACTGGGATATCTTACAAGATCCCAGGACAATTGGGCCTTTTAAGAGGTGGGACTGGGAGCTCTGAAGCTGTTAGGAGCCCATAGTCCTTGTTCATTCTCTTCCTCTGCATCCCTGTAAAAGAAACATTAATTGCAAACAAAGTCCTGTTCAGGGTGTACATGTGACTTTGCTCCTCACGTGCATGGCATAAAATGGATGCCCCATAGCTCCTGAGTTTTCCTCTTGTTTATCCAAGTAACCAGCTCAGATTGACTGGATGCCTCTAAGTCCTAATTTCAGACTCCCAGGGAGAGAGAGAACTGGATGGGCTTGGGTCACGTGACCACCCTAGTCCAGTCGATATGGATGTGTGTCTGTGTATGAGATGGTACAAGCATGACTACTGGCAGTTGTCAGAGAAAGGGGCTTATTTTGAACTCGGCAAGTCCCTGCCACCCTTGGCTTTTGGAATCAAACCCCCTAGACCCAATCCTAAGGGGAGCAGGAGTTCCTGGCCATGTGTTCCTTGGGCAGAGTGGAGCACTCGTCTTCCCACTGTGCTGTGGGGTCTTGGGGGGCTCTCGTGAAGAACTGTTGAGTAATTTATAAGACCGCACACCTGCATCTCCGGCTGACTCCCATTACATTTTCCTTGGCCTTGTTCCCACTCCCCTCTAATCAGAAAGACTCTTTAATGAGAGATCCACATTTTGCAAACTTCCTTTCTAGCAGAGACATTATTTGGAAACCAAAGTCTTCCTTCAGTTCCAAAGTGGGACCAGTCAAAGTGGATGTGGCCCTTCTGCCACCGTTACTTTTTTCTATGCAGGTAGAAATGGAAATAGGTTTTTCATAGATACATGCAATGGCATTCCGCTGAAGTTAGCAATGTAGGGAGAGCACTGGCCTAGGGGTCAGAAGTTCAGATTTTGTTCTTGACACTGCCTTTCATGTAAAACTTCAAGACTTTGAGCAATTTTACAAATCAACCCAAATCTCAGTTTTTAAATTAATAAAATGGGGATAATATTTTCTTTGTTTATCATCTTATCAAGTGCTTTAAATATGATCAAATTTCTATAAATAGAAGACATTCTTTATTACATGCCTTTGCATGGACTATTCATCACTTTCTAACAAAATTCCAATGGTTAATAGAGATTTGAGGTTTGACAGCAGCAGGAGAGGTGGGAACATAGAAAGAGTGATTAAATAATCCATCTAATCATATAAGGTAAGTTAGAGGCAGAGCTGGGGTTAAGCCTTAAACACAGGTCTTCTCCAGGTCCTGTTTTTTCCCAGCAGACCCTCCTGTCTCAGTTTGCAGTTGGCCCATCCTGATCTGACATAAAAGAAGAGACTCCATGTTGAGATCCAACCAGAGCGCTAGGCCCTGCCCACATGATAAATGTCTGTGTGTATCCTGAACAAGACTTTTAGTTAAAAGTGCTGACTGCTTTGTAAATCTCTACGCCTGGGAGATCAGACCTGTTGGCATTTTCTCCTCTTCCTCCAGTGTCTCACGTACCTTGGTGGGTGGAGGAGGAGGTGAGAAGAACTGCAGTAGGCAGGGACTCAGCAGAAGTAAGGCAGGTCTAGGGGGTGATTTTCTCATCTGTGCCTTCTGCGGACTTTGTGGGATGAAATAGGGTTAAACTAAATGACAAAACCTGAAGAAATGAGGCCTCACTTCCTTTGGTTTTGAAGCAGCAGAGGAAATGTGACAGGAAAAGCAAAAGGAGTAGGTACCACTGTTAGAGCACTTTATAGTTTACAAGGGCGTTCATGGGTGCTGGGCCACTGATCTTCACAAGCAACCCCGTGGGCCGGATTTTGTTATTGTTGCTGTAATCTGGACAAGGATCTGGATAACCAGTCCAGCCAAGATTAAGAACCACTGCTCTCTGCTTTCCCCAAATTCATGGCAGGGGATCAGTAACCTTCTGACTTATTGCTTCTCCAACTTTAATGTGCATAAGAAATACCCGTGGCTGTTGTTAAACATCAGATTCTGAACCAGGAGGTCTGGGAGGGCCTGAGATTCTGCATTTCTAATCAGCGACCAGGTGGTGCTGCTGGTCCTGGAACCACCTTTGAACAGTAAGGTAATCTGACCAATACACCTCCCTGATATTGACCACCTGCAGGGCTGGGTGTCACCTGACCCAGGATCCCCAGCTGTGCTCAGGTGGACTCTCCCCTTTCCACATGGCCCCCCTGCCTTTCTCCCCACCCTCTTTGTATTAGATTCTCCAAGGGTCCCATGACAGGCCTTCTGCAAGATGGGGAATGAGAACAGTTGGTAACTTGGCTCAGTCCAAATCTGAAATCTCAAAACCAGGAATGAGCAGGCAGGTGAGCCCACAGCGCAGCCCCAAGTCTAAGGCTGAAGACCTGAGAGCCCCCGGCAGGCTGATGGTGCAAGTCCCAGAGTCAGAGGCCAAAGGACTGGTGTCTGATGGCCAAGGGCAGGAGGAGAGAAAGCAAAGTATCCCATGTGGGAAAGGAGAGAGAGAGGGGATGGGGCGGCGGAGAGGAAACTCAGTAAGCTGAATATGCCCCCTCCTCTGCCTGCTTTGCTCTGGCCGTGCTGGCAGCCGACTGGATGGTGTCCTCCCCGTTGAGGGTGGGTCTTCCTCTCCCAGTCCACTAACTCCCAAGTTCACATCGTCTGAAAACACCCCCACAGACGCACCCAGAAACAATGCTTCACCAGCCACCTCGGCCTCTCTCAGTCCAGTCAAGTGGACAGCTGATATTCACACTCACACTCCCCAGCCATGCTGGTGTGGGACTCCGCCCGTTTGTGTGGTTGTACCCTGAGCCGCGGTGCCCCTTCCCTCCCACCACTGGATTTGCTCCTGTGGCTCCCAGACTGGGCTTCCTTCCAGCACTGCTTCTGGTGCCAGGGCCGGTGCCTTCCAGTTGCCCCATTTGTCGATGTCAGCCCAGTTCTAAGGTCTGCCAAGGCAGGAGGGAGGCTGTGCTGTGAAGACCAGAATGTCTGGTGTTTGGGATCAGAAGATTTGAGTCCTGCTGTGCTACTTCCTGGCTGTACGACCTTGAGCAAAAGTTACCTGACCTCCCTAAGCCTTAGTCTCCTCACATGTAAAGGGATGAAGATTGCTGCCTTATAGGTTTACTGTGAGATTAAATTAGATGATGTAGGTAAGGTACCCACATCAGAGACTGGTATGCTCAATAAGCAATCATTCTATTATCGAGGAGGTTGGAACTAAGCGTTTATTGAATATCCAGCATGTGCTGTACGTGGCACTAAGTGATTTGTAGACATCATCTCATTTGAGCCACAGAACAACCCTGCAAGGTACACATGATTTTCTCTATGGTACCGGTTAGGTAATTGAAATCAGAAAGGGTAATGACTCACCCAAGAATGCACAGCAAGCAGGCTCTAGGACCAGAACTTGCATTCCTATTTGTTGAACTTTGAAACCTTTTGCAGGTTTCTTTTCTTTTCTTTTTTTTTTTTTTTTTGAGATGGAGTCTCACTCTGACGGCTGGAGTGCAGTGGTGCCATCTCGGCTCACTGCAACCTCCACCTCCCAGGTTCAAGCGATTCTCCTGCCTCAGCCTCCAAAATAGCTGGGACTATAAGTGCATGCCACCACGCCTGGATAATTTTTGTATTTTTAGTAGAGATGGGGTTTTACTATGTTGGCCAGGCTGGTCTCGAACTCCTGACCTCAAGTGATCCACCTGCCTTGGCCTTCCAAAGTGCTGGGATTACAGGCATGTGGGCCCCTTTTGCAGGTTTCTTTGAGAGAGTTATTGCTGGTTTGACAGAGAAGAGGGGCTCAATGAACACCTGTCTTCTTAGATGTTTAGGGGAGGGAAAGCAGCACCCAGAGGGCTGAAAGGCAGCCTCGCTGCTCTCCATTTGCCGTTGGAGGACAGACTGGCAAACAGGAACAGGCAGGTTAGAGATGAACAGCCAGGTCAGAAAGTGACTTTGATGGGAGACACTAACAAATGCTGCCTGTCTAGCCCCTGCCCTGTGAGCGAGGGAATGTGGGGCCTGCAGGAACTATAGGCTTTTGCATCTTCCTCAAGAGCAAAAAGCAATTTTTTTTTTGTGCCCTAGTGGATCAAGAAGGAGCTGGTGGCAGCAGGGTGAGTAGAGTGGTTGGGGAATGAATGAGATTTCCCTGTGGTTGAGGCGTGGGATGGAACGGACACACCAGCAGGCTCCCACCGACTCTCCATGCAAAAGAGTCCTGAGGGGCCCAAGCTCACCCATCTCATCATCTGCCAGACCCAGGCACTGCCCATCATGAGTCTCTGCCTTTGCTGCCTGTGGCACTAGGTTGTTGATGTGTAATGTAAATCGTGCCTCCAGTAAAGCAGCCTGACAGCGGGGAGTATGCTGATGAGAACGTGAAAGTGGACTGGGGAGGCTGCAGGGAGCTGGCAGCTTGAAGTCCCAAATAATGGGCCGTGGAGCTTGTCTGGTCCCTTGCGGTGGACTCTTGCCCATCCCACGCCTTGCTCAGTGGGATGAGGAAACCACAGGGTGAGGGATGGAGACTGAGGCTAGAGACCTTAGATACGGCTGTCCCAGAGACTGGTTACTTAGCTCACTGTCCCCTCCAACCAGGCAAGCTGTGGCACAGTGCCCGACATGCTCCTTAGAACGGTGGCAGCATTGCCATGCGCTGCTGTGCAGTAGGAGGACAGTGACGCTTTTTGCACTGCCCTTTCACATCTCTTAGTGCAGGCATTAAGATGAATCCATTTCACGGAGGAAGAGACGGAGCTAAGAGAAACTCAGCCAAAGTCTCCTGGCTTCCCAGTGACGGTGTTGGCCCTGTCTTACCGGATGGGAAACAGCACTCCACCTTACTTTATACCAGCTCTTGTAGCTCTAAAGCTTGTAGTTGTCTATCTTGAAAAATTTGCAGATTTTACACAATTACAGGGGAAAAAAAGAATGGTGACGTATGCTGCTTTATTTATATAGCTAGATTCATACATTTGTGATAGTTCTATTATGTCTCACAGTTACCAAAATTCTTTTTATCTGAGAATGGGGAGTAAGGGCTTTGCAGAAGAAGAGTCCTCTCCCCTCATCCTTATAACTGCTAAATTGAGATCCTCTAATTCACTTAAAGCTTTATTTATTTTTAACTTTTCATTTTGAATTAATTTCAGTTTTTTAAAAAAAGTTGCAAAAATAGTACAAAGAATTTCCATACACTCTTTAACCCAGATTCCCCCAAATGTTACCATCTTATATAACTTAGAGTATGATGATCAAAATCAGGAAATTAACATTGATAAGATACTATGATATAATCTGTAGCCCTAATTCGAGTTTTGCCAGTTTTCCCAATACTGTCCTTTTCTCGTCCAGGATCCAGCCCAGGGCCACACATTGCCTTTGGCTCTCACGTCCCCTTAGTCTCCTATAATCTGCGATAGTTCTTTAATTTTTCCTTGTCTCTCATTACCTTGACATTTTTGAAAAATACTGCCCAGTTATCATCTAGAACGTCCTTAATTTGGGTTTATGTCATGTTTCTTTGAGATCTAAATCCAGGTCATACATTTTTGGCAAGAATATCACAGAAGTGATGTTGTGTCTTTCCCAGAGCATCATATTAAGGAGCACATCATCGATTTGTTTTATTATTGGTGATGACTTTGACTTCCTGTTTAAGGTGGGGACTGCCAGATTTCTCTACCATAAAGTTACTATTTTTACTTTAGTAAAGCATTTTGTGGAGAGATGCTTTCTAGATATCCTGTTTCTCATCATATTCTGCCCTCTGATTTTAGGATTCTTTAATAATTCAGCCTGAAATAATAATTTATTTTTATTTATTTATTTTTTTTGAGACAGGGTCTCACTTTGTCAAACAGGCTGGAGTGCAGCGGTGCAATCAGCTCACTGTAGCCTCGACCACCTGTGCTCAAGCAATCCTCTTACCTCAGCCCCCCAAGTAGCTGGGACAGCCAGGCCCACGCTTGGCTAATTTTTTTTTTTTTTTGTATTTTTTTTAGAGACAGAGTTTCATCATGTTGCCCAGGCTGGTCTCAAACTCCTGAGCTCAAGTGATCCACCCACCTTGGCCTCCTAGAGTGCTAGGATTATAGGCATGAGCCACCGTGCCTGGCCTGAAATAATTATTACTGTGGAATTTAATTCATATATAAATATAAAGACAAATATAGGTATAAAACAAAATTAACAGAACTTTGTAGGCATATTGGCAGGATTGTATCACTTCTTACATCTGGAACACTATTTGCTTGGTTCTCTTCATATTTTGGTCTCATTTAGTACAGTTTAGTCAGTTGTTAAGTACATAAAATGTTGAACACCACATCTTTGCCACTGTGTTTACTTTCAAGAGTGACAATATTTCAGCTGCTGCCTGATCGTTCCATCTGATTCATTCTTGTCTTTCAGAGCAAACAGCCCCACTGGAGCTCAGCACTGCCTTCTAAATTTGATCTGAACTTAAGCTCTGTCTCCTCTATTTAGGCTGAAGATATGTGGTATTGCTCTGTGTGCCCCAGCAATTCTAATTTCCACTCAGGACCAGGCTTTTCTTGGTGAATGACTCAGCATTTTACAATCTGACATTTTAAGAGAAGCACTTTGCTATTAAACTGAAGCCATATATTAAAGTTAAACCCCGAAGCAAGCATGGGTTCAACAAAGGTTAGACAAAGATAAGACAATTTGTCACACCTACCAGCCTGCAGTGCACAGCAGGAATGAAATGAGATTCCTAAACCCGAGCAGACTGGGCCCTTTCACTTCTAATTCTAATGTGAAGAAACTCTCCTCTGAGGTGACTGTCACTCTGGAATCCAACAGACCCTCTCTTGGCTGCATTGATAGACTTTGCAGAGGGGTTCTGTGCTCTAGATCTGAGGCCCTGGTTAGGACAGAGTATTTTAAGTGTGTTTAAAAGTTGAGCCAGGCGCGGTGGCTCATGCCTGTAATCCTAGCACTTTGGGAGGCTGAGGCGGGTGGATCACCTGAGGTCAGGAGTTTGAGACCAGCCTGGCCAACATGGTGAAACCCTGTCTCTACTAAAAAAACAAAAATTAGATGGGCGTGGTGGTGTGTGCCCATAATCCCAGCTACTCAGGAGGCTGAGACAGGAGAATTGCTTGAACCCGGGGGGCAGAGGTTGCAGTGAGCCGAGATCATGCCACTGCACTTCAACATGTGACAGAGTGAGACTCTGTCTCAAAAAACAAAAAAATGTTGAGCTTTGAAATTGGGAAAGTTATAAATTACAAGTGAGTTGTTAATGATTTTTGTTTTGTACTGAAGAAGAATTGATGAAATAGAAAAGAAAGTCTAAAGAAAGCCTTCCTATATGAGCATCGAGAGGGCAGGCTGTCCATCGAGTGATGGTTCTTCCCGCATCACGTATTTCAGGTGTACAGAATTGTTGATGTCTTCCCTGCCTGCAGAAATCCTGGCCAGGAGGGATGGCCATTTGAGTATATCCCTTTTTTGTCTGTGTTCTACCTATACAATAGTAGTGATCCAAGGCACTTTTCTTTGTTAGGCTTGCTATGTCTTGCTCTTCCTGAGTATGGGAGGAGAGGAAGAGGTAATCAGAAGGAGAAAAGGAGAGGAGAGGGACATGAATGCCAAACGGGGAGAAAGTAAGGGAAATGCAGCTATTTTCTGTCTCTGTCCCTTTCCAATATCCTACCATCTAATTCCTGATACTTTAGGTCCTCTAAATCCTCCAGTGAGGCCCTAGTGCCCCTGGAGATTCACGCCCACCTCTCCTAGCCCACTGCAAACTTGTTTGTCCCTTACCAAGCAGTCTTAAAGCCAACCCACAGCCCTCAGGTCCTCTCTTCCACAGGCTTGCCAGAGCTCTCTGCTCTTACCTAGAATCTGCATCATTTACTGATTCATCCAGCAATCATTTACTGATGCCTATTCTAAGCCAGTCTAGGGGTTGTGCTAAGTTCTGGATATATTAAAAAAAAAAAAACCTAGACATGATTCTTACCCTTGGGGCACTCCTGGTTTAGTGGGGGGATGAGTTTTTAAGTAGATAATCATAATGCAATAATAAGATAACATTCCCTAAGTACCATGTATCCTTTCAAAATCGCTCTACTCATTTGACGCTCATGATCACCCTAAGAAGCAGGTGCTGTTTTATATAGTTTGCTGCAGATGAGGCACAGAGAGGTTAAATAATTTACCTAAGGTCATACAGCTGATAAGTGGCAGAGCTGAGATTTGAACCCAGATGAGCTGGCTCCAGACGTCAGGCTTATGACTGGCGTGCTTTACTGCCTTGAAGTGGGTCAAGCATGGTAGTGGGTACCCCAAGTGTTACAGGCATATGGGGCAGGGCCTGGTGGAGGTGTTGGGGTGGTTGAGGGAGTTCTGGGTCTGGTGATGTGTAGGAGGTAGCTTGGTGGGGGCCTGGGCAGCTGAAGTTTCCTTCCCTCCCTTCTTTGTTTTTCCTGCCTTCAATATTTCCTGAGCATGTGTTATGTGCTGGGCAGGCTGCTAGGTACTGGGGACCAAGGATGGGCTTAATGTAGCCTGGGAGAGCCTTGTACATACCCTACTTGCCAGAGCCACGTGGTCGGTGTTCTACTAGCAGCATGGACATGAGTGGCTGCGGGAGCAGTGTGGAGGACTTCCTGGAAGAGGTGAGGAGCCCATCCTGTGGGAAGAAGGGGAAAGTTGTACTTGGTATGGCTGCTCCAAGATGCTTAAGTATAGATTTTTTATTTTTATTTTTTTGAGATGGAGTCTTGCTCTGTCACCCAGGTTGGAGTGCAGTGGCGTGATCTCGGCTCACTGCAACCTCCGCCTCCTGGTTTAAGCAATTCTCCCTGCCTCAGCCTCCCAAGTAGTTGGGATTACAGCTGCCTGCCACCACGCCCAGTTAATTTTTTGTATTTTTAGTAGAGATGGGGTTTTGCCACATTGGCCAGGCTGGTCTCAAACTCCTGACCTCAGGTGATCTGCCCATCTCAGCCTCCCAAACTGCTGGAATTACAGGCATGAGCCACCGTGCCCAGTCAAGTATAGATATTTAATCAAGTCAGTTGAGCTCTGAGTTCTTGTTAGTCAAGGTTGGTGAGAAGTCTAAAAACCAGTCATTACTTGGGGCACCCCCCTGACAAGGTTTTCCAGGAACCCCATAACAGATGTGGGTCTCAGTCTGTGGGTTCCACTCTGCAGGGATCTGAGACTGCTCTTGAAAGCTGCTCTTCCACCATCTGTCTAGCACTGTGGCACCTCCTGAACCCATCTTGCCTCACAGCCATGTCCAGACCAGCCTGGTCTCTTGGACAGCTTTGGGGGTGGCACCAGTCTCACCACACCTCTCTGTAGCTCCCAAGGCTTGGTGACTTCATTTCACTCAGCCCCATGCAGCCAGCAGCCTGTATAATCTGAGCCCTCACCGACAGGCTGCCCTGGAGCCCACCCTCCTTTCTCCTCATTTGAACTGAAATATAGAACCGTATTGACCACCCTCTGGTGACTGGGGAGCCTAGACCTTAGGAACAGTTCTTAATTCTTATGAGCGGGAAACATTCCTTTCCAGGGACTCTGGAGAAACAAGATATGAAGTAATTTCCCAGTAACTGTAACAAGAGCATTCCAGACAGAGCAGGCAGCGTGTGCGTCCCTGTGCTGGGTCTGTTGGGAGTCCTTGCGCAGGGGTATAGGCTGTCACTGGGGGATCAAGGGGAGAGGGTGGTTGGGGAAGCTGGTGGAGGCCTTGAAGGCCCAGCTGGTGGGAAAAAACCCAGCATTTACCCGAAGCAGGGCACTGATGTGACCAGATCTGGAGCTTAGGCAGATTGGGGTAACTCTGAGTGCATGTGTGTGTGTGTGTGCACGTGCGTGTGTGCACGCTCACGTATGTGCACGGCCATGTAACAAAACTCAACTGAGAATGACCTAACCTACTGTATGATTTCCTCCAGGGTGGGCCCTGGGATTGGTGTTGTCCTGGTCCCTTCTGGAGTGATGTGCTGTGTGGGACTACACAGCCCGCGGGCCTGCAGCAAGGTGCTTGTCCCGCTTCACCTTGGCTTTTATTCCAGGCAAAGCCGAGAGCAGGGTGGAGAGATGATAGCCCATGTCCCAAGGGATAGGTGAGCAGCAAAGACCAGTCAGAGCAGTGACAACGTTAATTTTGTATTTTCATCCTTGGGAAACCAAAAAGGATGGACCTTAGAAGACTCTTCTGTCCCGGCTCCTTAGCAGAAGTGAGGGAGAGATGAGACCAGAGATTTTTCATTTCCCCACCATCTCAGCCAGATCCAGTTGCTGAGCTGGATCTGGAGCTTCCTCTCTGCACCAAGAAGATGCCCAACTCCCCCTAGTCCTCAAATGACTGCAAAGTCAGGGGGACTGCAAGTGACTCCAGAGCTGGGTAATGAGATCAGAGGAAAAAGTGCCCAGCTGTGACATTAAGTGGGATTTATTTTCATCATCTCAGGTTCCCTATTGTATGGCATACTCCTTCACCACCTGCACATACAGCCATATTTTAGGATACAACTGCGAGGGTTTCAGGGCTCTCTGAGAAATAATGGCTCTGTGCTGTCACTGCATAGCTGTGCCCTTTCAAATATACAAAACAGGAAGGTGACCTGCTGATTCAGTGGAAGGCAATAAGCCACACATTCAATTAGAATGACATACATTTAATCACAATTGTCTAATGGTATTTGAGATTTCTTATTTAATCAGTAATGAGGCTATCCAGCAATTAATGTTGCTGGAATCGTGGCTGCCCTTACCAGCGCAGTGTTGATTTTAAACTAATCTTTCTATTTTATATTCTCTTTCTATTTCTGGAGTTAATAAAGGTGCTGTAATGAGTTGTATTAAAACATCAATTTCTTCTTTTGTTGCACCCACAAGTTTATCATGGTTTTTAATCAAAATACTGAGGTACTGTAGGAAAGGGTTTTCCACGTCAGGTTTTGCCTGGATGGAGAAGCCAAGGTGGGAGATGGTGCGTCTCACTTGTTTCTGACTCTCCCAGCTGTTTGGGCCCCCTCTGGAGAAGTTTGAGGACAGGGACAGCTTCATAGGTGACCTGTGAGGTTGATCAAGGCCCTGTGCTTAGAAGGGCCCTCAGCTTGGTTTGATGTTCTGCTATTGCTGTTTTGAAAGTCTGAATACCTTTTGAACAAGGGGCCCCTACATTTTCATTTTGCACTAAGCCCTCCAAATTGTGTGGCCAATGCTGTTTGAGGATCTGTGAGAATGGGTGTGTGTTGATGGTCAGAGGGCAGTGCACGAGAGGCTGCCCCCAGTGCCTCACCTTGAGTTGGTGCTATGGGACCCCAGGCTGCACAGGGCAACGTGTGGCGGGCAGAAGAGGCTGATAGGGACAGGTGAGATGAGATCTGTTTCTGGGTTTCCCACATGGCTTTTTCTGTCCCAAAAACTCTCTTTTTCTTGCAGTCCTACAGCTTAGGGTGTAGAAATATCAAACAAAAATAGATGTGAATGAAAGGGCATTTATAAAAATTCTTTTTTTGGTAGGGGAATTATGTTTTTCTCTGACATCTGTTTTTAAATAGTTATAACAATGGGTAACATTTATTGAGTACCTACCATGGCCTAGGCACTGTTCTAAGTGATTTACATATTTTATCTCATTTAATACTCACAACCATCCCATGAGATAGGCACAATGATTAATGCTAACTAAATTAAGGAAACTGAGTCAAGAGAGGTTAAGTATATTGCCCAAGGCCATACAGCCAAAGAATGACAGAACCAGGCTTACATCTAAACTTAGGTTCTGGCATGGTAGAGATGGGCTTTTGGAGAGAGGCAGATCTGAGTTTGTTGTTGCTTCTGCCATTGGTTATCTCTGTGACCTTGGGCAAGTCACTTAACCTCTTTGTGCTCCAGTTCCTCATTTGTAAAGTGGAGATAATAGAACTTATCACATAGGGCTAATTTGAAAATTAAACAAAATAGTACATGCATCTCATCTAGTCTGGTGCCTGACACAGTGACCAGCTACATGCATGTTGTTTCTCTGCCTCTTTACAAATGTATATTTCCAGCTCTCTTCCTGCAGAAGCCTTTCTCATCTGCCCTCATCTCACACTCCTCACTCATTTGCTCTACTATTTCCTTGAGAATCATATTCACACCATTATATTGATACATGCTTGTTTATATTAATTTATCAATAATTTGTTGAGCACAAGGAATAATATGAATTTAGCAGTGATTGTGCTCCAGCCATGAGCAAGGCTCTAGGTATTATACGATGTTTAAGGCACTGCCATGATTTTGAAGTGTCCTGGCCAATTGAAGGATGCAATTCATGCCTCCAGGGACTCAGAATCTACTTGGGAAGTGCAATCCATAACAAACATGTGAGATATGAAAATAACGAACAAAACATTTTATGGTTGTGTCAAAATGAGTGTATAGAGGAGAATAAGAATGTGTAAATTCATTCATTCATTTAAATATTTAGGTGTTTGTGTTAGGTACTGTGGCAGATGCTGGGAATATAATGATGAGTAAAACCCACAGGATCCCAGTCCTCATGGAGTTTATATTCTAGTAGAGATGACAGACACTGAATAAATGGAATGGATCCACATATAATTAGTTACAGTTGTAATAAGTGATAGGAAAGAAAAAGTGGGGGGTGGGTGCTTAGTACTCAGAAGATGGGGCAGATTGCTACAGCCCAGGGTAATTAGAGAGTAATTTGTGGGAGAGGTCCAATTGAAGAATGGTTGATGAGAATAACTGGAGAGGAAAGATGGGGTCCAAAGGTCAGGACATAGAAACAGTGTTCAGATGTTAATAATAATAGTTTATATCTGGATTACGCTTTCAAATTTCATGGTGATTTCACATACATGCTGCATTAGTCAGGATAGATTATGTCATGCTGCAGTAACAAACAATCCCAATAGACACAGGTTTGTATCTCGTTCATCTACTTGTGTGTGAGTCTGCCCTGCTCATCATAGTCACTCAGGGATGAGGTCCATCTCAACCTGTGCTTTTAGGATCACCTGGCAGGAGAAAGGGAATGGTGCAGTGGCTCTATCTTAGTTGTCTACCACTGTATAACACAGTACCATAAAACTTAGTGGCTTAAAACAATGTGTACTTATAATGTCACCATTTCTGTGGGTTAGGAATCCAGAGGTGCTTTAGCTGAGTGGTCTGGCTCAGGGTCTCTGATAAGACTGCAATCAAGGTGTCTGCTGAGGCATAGTCATCTCAAGGCTCAACAAGGCCAGGTCAGCTTCCAAGTTCATTCACATGGTTATTAGCAGGTGACCTTCTCCATTAGGGAAGCCATGTGGAAAGAGCCAGAGAGAGAGAGAGAGAATGTCAGCAAGATGGAAGTCACAGTCTTTTATTACCTAATCTTGGAGGTGACATTCCATCCTTTTTGCCATATTCTAGTCACCAGAAGCAATTGGCTGGGCCTCACTTACACTCTAGAGGAAGGGACCACACAAGTGTACACTTGCCAGGAAGTGAGTGTCACTGGGAACTGCTTTGGAAGGTGCCTAGCACAGGCTCTGTATGCTTCAACCTCCATCTAGCCCATTAAGGTGTGATACATGGCCACCCCTAACTTCAGGGGGGCAGGGAAGTGCAACCCTACCATGTGCATGGAGGCGGAACTGGTGTATTTGTGGGCAGCTCTGATGACAACATAGGGTCTGTGCAGGGTATTGTCAGGGAAAAGTTAGAAAGTCAAATTGGGGTTTATGAGATTAATTGGCTTGAAGGAAATAGGCAGTCGATGAGTATTTTTGAGCATGAGAGTAATTTTAACCATAATTCTTAAAATAATTATTAATTGGCTTTTTAAATGGAAAGGTAGACATATATGTGCAAGGTAAAAATTCATAGGGATATGTACTAAAAAGCAAGGTTCCTTTCCATCCCTAGCGCCTAACTCTTTCCCAGAATGGAACATTTTTTTCCTTCTCTTGTATATCTTGGAAACATTTAGGGATATCTAAATTATATATGTACATATTCCTACTCTCCTTTAAAATCAATTAGACATGTCTATTGTTTTGTATCTTACTTTTACACCTCACTGTATATCTTGGAGGTAATTTCACAGCACCTATAGGTCTATCTAATTGAAGCTTTTAGACAGATTTAAACTGGTGGCCGTGTGGAATAGAGCAAAAAGAATGGAGGAAGCTAGACCAATTGAGAGGCTCTTTCAACAATTCTGATTATTTTCATTCATTCATTCATTCATCAAACATTCATTTAGGTCTCTGCTGGGCTATGTGATATCAAGTCACATAAGAAATGATCCTTGTTTTCAAAGAGCTCAAGGGAGCTCAGACAAGTAAACAAATAAATCATTATACAGTGTGCTCAAGTATTGTAACTGGAATGAAGTGACAAGTATCTAGACTGGGATGTCTCCATGAGATAAAAAACATGAGTGTCTGGAATACTCTTTCTTTGGAAAAAAAATGGCAACGAGTAAGGTTTGATAAAGGGTTGCTCTGGGCCCTCCTGAGGGAGAGAATTGACATATCTTTTATTTGTTTTATATCTCTGCATCCTCTTTCCTCTTTCTCTTGCACACACTGACACGACATCTGATGCAGGCCAGTGTTGCCCAACAGGCTGAGGGAAAGACTAGGGAGAGCCTCACAATGGAACCAATGGTTTCTCTGTCGTTTCTCAACCTTTGTGGATAGAATCTCCACCCCTGCCTGGCTGTAGTACAAACAGTGAGCAAATTCTTGATTATGCAGGAAGGTGAGCCTCTGATTCATTTTTGATGTTCAATGTTATGAGGCAAGCTTCCTGGCCATCTGTTCAAAGGAGGAACATGGTATATATTTTGATTATTTTATTTTTATCTTAATCAAGTGGCAACTTTCCATCTTGACGTATCTTAACCTGAGCAGTTGTGGCTGGGAGGCAATGGGCTTGAACAGACTGAGGAGGGAGGGGGAAAGCTATGCCACTTGGCATAACGCTGATGTTAGATGCAGGAGCAAAGGCCTCTCAGCACAGCCCTTTCACCTGCCTAATTAGTGAAGAAATTGCAAGCCCTCCAATGGGCACTGAAATGCTCAGAGCGCCAGCCTCCTGGGGCTCATTACACAAATGAGGGCGGAAGACAGGAATGGTCAGGATCTGCTGGTTACAGCCTGGGGGCCGAGGGGAGCCTGGGCTGGGGACAAGAGGCACCTGGAACTGGAAAGTGGCGGCTTCTTGAAATGGTATAGGGACGCAGCCCACGTCTTAGTCCATTTACCGACATTAAGGGATTGAAGTTTTTCCAGCCAATGGCATTTGATGGAAATGTGCAATTATGTTCCAGGAGCTGGCTCTAGGACCTCACGGAGTGAGTGAGATGGAGTAGAGAGCTATAATCTAGCCATTTGTCTTAGTTTGGGTTTCCCTGAAAACTAAGCCTGAAACAAGGATTCAGGAGCAGTGAGTTTATTTGTGGAGTGATCCAAGGCAAGGGAGTGAGGGAGCAGAATGAGCCAGGCGGGGAAGGAGGAAAAGTCAGTCTTGAGTTGGCTGCCATGGCGGGCAACTGGGCCCAGTCCTGGTGAGGATCTGTCAGGAGTGTCTCCTTGGACACTTCACTCTGGAGGGGAGGTGGGTGCATTTATTCTCTGATTTCTAACCCATTCATTGAGGTTGCCTTCTGGGGTTGCCGTCAGACTGCCCTGCATGCTAAGATCCTGGAATTTCGGATAAAAAGCCCTGAGGGAAACAAATAGACCAGCAGGATGCTGGAGGTGGCCCCTGCACCATTCATGGGGACTGACTCTTGCAGCTGCAGCAGAAATCCTGGTGGCCTAAGGGGAAGTGGTGTGGGGGCACAAAACACATCCCAGTCACTCCTGGAGCCAGGAAGTGGGGAGGAGAGGGTTACTGCATGGTTATCAAGAGTGACGGTGCATGAGTTTGGTTGGGATAGGGGGCACCAATCTCAGTCCCCAAACTCAGATGGGTAAGAAATCTCCAATTCTGTCCTTGCCCATAAGTAAACCTAATTTTCACTCCATATTCCCATCATACTGTGCTAGTCGGAAATTTAATCTCATATGAGACTCTCCTCCCTGTGTGCCAATTTTCTTCCCAGCTCCATAGTTGGTTCTAGGTTTCTGTGAGCCACTGGAAGACTCTGGGCAGATATCTATAGAGAACAGACTATTATGCTTACATTGTGCATGACTTTTTTGTGTGTGTGAGGTGGTAATTCTTCTGGTTAACTAGTCAGGTCGAACAAACTGAGTATTTTCTTTTTCTCTTTTGCCGGTGTCTTTATTTTGCACACTTTGGGGGTCTTCTGTGAATTACTGTGCACAGAGAATGTCCCTTTGTAAGAAGATGGAATGGTTTTTGTGGCTGGTTACTGTCCCACTGTCCTTCCACCAGTGGCTTGGTCCCCTGTCATCTGGGAGCTCATCCTTGTAGCCATCTCTAAGTGACACAGTGGCCTCAGTGTGTGAATACTGATATCTAGATGCTGGCAGTGCCTGGAAGAAGTTGCTGTACGTTCCTTGTTAGTTTCATATAAACAGAACTATGGGTCTGTTTATTTTTTGACTACTCAGAAAGACCTTTTAAAATTTAATTAAAATTATTCTGTAAACTTGAATTTGTTTGATGTCTAGTTCTATAAGTTTTAACACATATATACCTTTGTGGAACCACACCAACACAATCAGGATACAGAGCTGTTTCATGACTCCCAAAAAAACTCCCTTATGCTCCTGCCCCACCTGTAACCCCTGGAAACCACTAATCTGTTCTCCATCACCATAATTTTGCCTTTTCAAGAATAAAATCTAAATCTTTGTATTTCAAATGTTGGCATAAAATCCAATAGTTAAAGTAGTTCTAGTCTTGTATTCACACACACACACACACACACACACACACACACGTTCTTATCTTCTGGTTTGTTGCAGCAAGGATTAGACAGCACTTGCATAGTAATGTGGGTTAAGGTGGCCCATGAAGACGCCATCGGAAGGACACCCTTGGAGAAGGCGACCCATTTTGCCAATCTCCGTTAACCTTATTGTATTTCAGAGCAAATAACCTCACCTTCTTTCTCTTACACTTATTCTTCTTTGGAGTGTTATAAGATGACTTCTTAGCACCATGATGTCTCAACAGCAAAAGAGGCCTTTTTTTGAATTTTATATTCAGACATTTGTGCATCCATCTTCCAGTTGCTTGCCAGCAAAATCAATCCCTGTTGATTGGAGGAATCTTAGCTTTCACATTTTTTATTGTATCCATGGGTTCAACCTTGAGAATAATAGTCTTTCTTGTTAGGGCTTTCATGAAAATGTGCATCTTGGCAGTGTGGGTCTACTGGAGATAGTGGATCTGAAAGGAAGATTCGGTTCTGATGAAATTTACTCAAATTTATCTGAAGCTGAATTGAAGCTGGGTTATTGCAGGAAAAAGGAATGAGAGGTCTAGTATCACAACTGGGGTTCTTACCTAAAGACTCAGAGGGAACAGTCATCACTGTAATGAGACCACCCTGACTTAGTCACCTGGACTGTTAGAGGAATCAGTTGAAGCTGTTCTGAATGAAGCAAGAGACTCTAAGAGAACCTCCTTCTCACCCAGTGCCCACAAATTCTGTGCTCAACCATTTCGATCTGTCTTTCTGCTCAGGGGCAGGCTTGGTGAACCTTCAGTTCTAGTGACTAGCTAGCGGTCAACACTTCCTCTCTATGCAGGGGGTGATCTTGTCCCTTCAGGTCCACCAGGGCAACTGGACTTTTGCTCCATACTAAATATCTTGGAGATCTTTTCATCTCAGCCCCTATAGATCAAATTCATCTCTTTGATGGTTGCATAGATATTGCATTGTGTGTATAACTTCAGTTTGTTTAACCAGACTCCTATTGCTGAATGCTTTAAGGCTCCCATAGTAGAATTACATTTTTATTGATTGACTTTTGAATGGGGGAACAGCCAGTGTTTAGAGGGGGACATAATGGAAACAGCAGGTCTTGGGCAACTTCTCCCATGTCACAATATTTTGAAGGGTGGCTTCATCTAAGAATCTTGAATGAAAATAATTCAGTAAATTATGAGCGAGAAATGAATTCTTCTAAATCTACTGGAGGCTAGAAACAGATTCATTGGTGTCCTTGAGATCAGAGAAGAGTATAGAGTCAATAACTTGAAAACTGGGTTCATTGAAACAACAGGGGCTGGTCCACAAACTTTCAAAGTTCATGTCTCAAATCAAAACCTTGGCCTCTAACACTCAAGCTGCTTGATGTGAAAAGCAGAGGTGGACAACAGCAAAAATTAACACTTCAGAAACCAACAATGCCGAGAGCAAATGGCCATTTAGTTTCTCCACCAAACTTCCCTAATCCAGTTTGATTGTTCTTGAATAGCACTGGCTTAACAGTTTGTAAAGTAAATACCCTTCCAGATTTTTGGGAACCGTTGCCTCCCAGTTATGTTTGACTTTGTTTTCCTCCCAACTGGTGGCCTCCTCCTGCCTCACTGAGAATTCAGCTATTCTGTTCTTTTACTATCAAAATTTGCTCTCAAAAAAGATGCAAAAACTCATTCACATTACAATTCAAGTTGATATCTAAGTGATATCAGGTAAGAAGAGAAACTGGCATATACACACATATACTATATGTGTGTGTGTGTGTATGTATATATATGTATATATGTTTTTAGCAGCATTTCTCTCTGTCACCCAGGCTGGAGTACAGTGTTGCAATCTTGGCTTACTGTAACTTCTGCCTCCTGGGCTCAAGCCATCCTCCCCCTTCAGCCTCCTGAGTCGCTGGGACTGCAGGTATGCACCACCATGCCTGGCTAATTTTTAAATTTTGTTTTGTTTTTGTTTTTTGGTAGAGATGGGGTTTTGCCATGTTACCCAGGCTGGTCTTGAACTTCTAGGCTCAAGTGATCCTCCTGCTTGGGCCTCCTAAAGTGCTGGGATTACAGGCATGAGCCACCATGCCTGGCCTGTATATATACTTTAATTTAGATTTTTATTATAGGACTTTTAAATATACACAAAAGTAGAGAGAAAAGTATAATGAACCCATACATACCCACCGGCTTCAACATTTATCAAGAGTCTATCATTTTTGCTTCCATTCTTCACTTATCTCCCCCTATACTTTTTTTTCTGGATTATTTTAAATGATTTCCCACAAATACAGGAAGGAATATTTAACGGGAATAAATGGGAAGCTTAGTAGGGCAGTGGCTGTAAGGGGGTGCAAAGCTGCAGGAAAGATTCCCAGATTGTGAAGCGATGCCTGCCATGAACATAGAGGAGGAGGCAGGGGCAAGCGCCACGCACCTCCCACGTGCCACCTGCTTTCAGCCGAAGGAATAAACTCTTACTCTAATATTTTAGGCATTTACAGCTGGCAGGTGAGAATATTTTGGAGGAAACAGGGCTTTTCATGCTCCGATCACTCCTGGTAGGCAATTGCTTCTTCCTCTACCATCCGCTTTGTATCACTTTTCCAACTACTTGATGTGGTTTGAACAGAGTGGCTGTGAGTGGCAGTGGCACACAAGGCTTGCTGTGGTGAGTCTCTGTGGAAGGGAACAAAGCCAGGCAAGGCTCCAGGTGACAGCCTGCCTGTCACTGTGTAAGAGGAGGGAACAGCAGAACCTGCCATTTGGAGGGCTCATGGGCTTCCAGCCTCCTGCAGGAGGGTCAGCAGCTGTCAGTGGTATCCAAACTGCACTTTCTGCACAAAATGAAGATGTCACAGGGACAGAAGGAAATGCCAGTCAATTGACCTTTGATTTGCTAGTTTATCCCAGCAGCAGTGTCAGGTTTGTCCTCAAAACTCTCTTCTGGCAAAGCCCACAGGTCCCAAGAACAGCTTTTATTCTGCGTGTGCTAGAAGCCAGGAGGAAGCTTTCTGTGTGTGTGTGTAGGGGGTGTGATGTGGGTGGGGAGAGGTGCTGGGGGGAGGTTTGAGGGCTTATGGGGCTGGGCACAGTGGCATCTTTGGAAACTGCTGCCATACATCTCTCACGTGTTAAGCTGTGTGTTCTAGAAGTGTCTGCAGGATTAGTTGGCTATTTGAGGAACAGGTGTTCTTGGGGTGGATTTGCCGGCATCGTTTAGATGGCAGGATGGTTCCGATTCACTGTTGAACCTGACATGATGGCAGGAGCCCAGAGGGGCCTCAGGAGGGTTCCCAGCCTGTGCAGATAGGTTCATCGCGTCCTGGCGGCACTCATATGCCACCCACACAATGTGAAGGGCCTTTAGGAGAGAGAAACTGTTTGTTCACAGTGAGGTCTGCTGTTGGCCACATGGGCCTTGCTCGAGTCTGGTTTGCTTTTTTTAGTGCTAGGGAACTCGTGAAGACTATTTTTTCTGGCTTGAGCTAAAGAGAGGCTACAAGCCCTCCATCTCAGCATTTTCTAAAGTGTACTCTGCTAAGTACTAATTCAGTGGAATTAGGGTGGGTAGGAGATGTTTGTGTGGGACAGCACTCCACCCATTCTGTGGATGGACAGTGGGTGGAAGAGTTCCATGATGAAGTCAGTTGGGAAATTGTGGACTGAACAGGCCTGTTTGCGGCAGGAATTCTCAGGACCTTTATCATACCAATGTGCATTGTGACTTTCTAAGAGAGGGCTATCATAGGCTGTGCTCCTACTGTTTGTTTAGCTATAGAGCCCTTGCTACAAGTGTTTCACCAAACCTACTTTGGGAAATAGAGTCTAACTTGAATGAAGATTCATCCTGCTGATTTTCCTAAGTCATCAACACCAAACGACTCACAATCTATACTTCTCTCAACTAACCCAGAAATAGTTTGATATTTATATTATTATAAGCTCTTACCCAAAGAGTGTTGAAACTTGATTTTATATTTCCTTTCTAGTTTATTAAAAATTCCAATTTGTGTCTGTGTAACTCAAAATGGGAGCCTGGAACCATGTTTACTCTTCTGATGACCCGGAAAGGCAGTCATCTGCAATTTACAGATGGGGACACAAAAGCTCCGAGAGGTTTAGTCATTGGCTCAGGGTCTTGCAGCTGGTAACAGAGATGTGGACGTGGGTTTTTCTAGCTTTTCTCTCAGCAGGTGAAGGAAGGGCAGGTTTTCCTTGCTTGGTGTCTGTCTTGCCCACAAGAATATAAACACTTTCCATGAGGGCAGGGACTTTGTTTTGTTCACTTCGGTGTCTCCAGTGCCCAGTGTTCCAGTGCACATGGTATGTGCTCTGAATATGTTTATTCAAGGAAGGAATTACTATCTTCTCATCTATGCAATAAAAATGCATTAAATGTCTCTTCTACGTCCCCAAGAATGCAGGTCTGAGAAAGTGCAGCTGAAAACACAAACTTGGTGAGGCCAAGTCAAACGATAAAGCCAAGCTGTTTTGGGGCACAGAGAAAAATGAGTTCACTTTGTGGGAGTGCTGGAGTGCTGTCTCTGAATCCTGACTTCTTTTAAAGTTAAAAGAAAGAAAAGAATATTAAGTACATGCGCCTGGGGAAAAATCATTAAAATAGTACAGAAAGGTATGAAATAAAACATAAGTCTTCCTCTTCACCTCCATTGCTAGTCCTGTTCTTCACTCAACTTTCTTGAGGGGAGAAAGCATTGGTGGTGGTTTTGTTCATAACTCAAATAATATGCTTATATTTGCATTTCTTGATTCATCAATATGAAGTAGTAGCTATTGACTCCTCTCTATGATAGATGAGGCATGTATCTCCCCAACTTCTGCCTGCCAATTTTTGTTATATTTTTATTCTTCTATGTATTTCCTCTATAATTTAAAACAAGGTGCCTAAACCATCATTCTTTGATTCATTAACTTAGTATGTCTTGTTTCTCTATCATGTAATGTAAGGAAATTAACTCCATGTTGCCTCCTTTCTCTTCCCCCCAATATTGGTCAGCGCTAACTTTACTTTTATGTTGTCAAAGTGTAGAACATTTACATTTCATATTGTACCCAAAACTAGACCCTTTCTTGCTTTGTTTATATGTAAGTTGATGCTGAAAATTGAAAATCAATACATGGCTTTAACAATAGTGTGATTTTGTAAAGATTATTTGCTGCAGAACCAGAAGAGTGTTTGTCTTTATGGAGGAGATGTAATCCTATGTCCAGATGTAATCTTTGCTCTTCAAAAGAGGTTGTTCCAAGCATCAAGGTAAACAGAATCTTGCTGTATGCTAACAATTCTTCAATATAATAACTCATTTTCAATCTGGAACACGAGTCTTATTCTGGAATTTATAATTGCGTGTGTCTGTTTTCTGGTTGACATGCCTTCACCATGTTACTAAGAATTTCCAACTTCTTAATCATTCTATTTGGAAAGTGGCCAATTTGGAACAGACTTTCTAGCTGTGTCATCCTGAACTTTTCTGATGCACTCCTTAGTTCTACCATTTGCTAGGTCCCATATCTTTCTTTCTTAGGTTTGAGGGACTGAATAAATAAATGGATAATAGCCAAACCATATTAAAAAACAAAACACTGACTCACAGGCTGCAGCAACCATCCCAGGAAACCAAAACATTATCTACAGTAACCAGCCCAAGAAGCCTGCTTATTATCTATAAGTCAGATGGATAGTAAGTCAGACCACTGTCTCCAGCACCCAGCCCAAGAGGCCTAACAATAACCTCAGAAACAATGGGCCTCCAACAGCCAGGACTTGATTAATATCTGACAGCATCCCTAATTTTTGTCTCTGCTTCCAATTTGGGACCAACCAGAGAGAGCTGTATATGCACCTGTAATCAATCCTATGGGATGCCGAGCTTCTAGTTAGTCCACCTGCAACCTCCCCATGCCAACAGCCTCCAGTCAGGGCATACCTGAAACCTTTCCTTTTTTCCACTATACAGCTTTCCCATTTTTCTGCTTGTTTTTGAGTCTCTGCCAAAATGCAATGGATGGTGGCTGACTCTCTTGCTAGAGCAAGCTCTGAATAAATAGCCTTTGCTTGTTCTCATTTGATTGGTGCTTGTTTATTTCCAAAGCTTCCTTTTTGTTTGTTTTCTTTTCTGGAGCATATCCTGAGGCAACTTTTTTTTTCAGGTAAAATTTCTGGGTCTTGGCAGGTCTGAAAATATCTTTATTTTTGTCCTCTTCCTTGGGTGGCTTCTGGGTTCAAAATAAGTTAACTCAAAATTTTGTAGGAATTACTTCACTGTCTCCTAGCATCCAGAATTGTCGTTGAGAAGATTATCAATCTTTTGTAGGTAAATTGCTTCCTGCAGTGGTTTTAGAAACTTTCCCTTTTCCATGTACTGAAACCGCATGAGGATATTTATGTCTAAGTATGAGTCTTTTGAGAATCATCCTGCTTAGTACTTGGTGGGCCTTTTGGCATAGAGACTTGAAATATTTATTTTATTCTTTTCTCCCTTCCTTTCTCTTGGTTCTTTCTCTCTGTCTCGACTTCTATGAGATAGATATAGGCTCTAATTAATCTTCTGTGTCTCTAATTTTTTCCCTCATATAATTTTTGTCTTTTTACTTTCCATGTTAGAATACTTTCTTGTATTTCTTCTTCAATAGTTATATATAACTATTCCAGTTCAAGACCAGCCTGTCCAACATAGTAAAACCCCGTCTCTAATAAAAATACAAAAATTAGCCAGGTGTGGTGGCGTGTGCTTGTACGCCTAGCTACTTGGGAAGCTGAGACAGGAGAATTGCTTGAACCTAGGATGTGGAGGTTACAGTGAGCTGAGATTGCACCACTGCACTCTGGCCTGGGTGAGAGAGTGAGACTGTGTCTCAAAAAAATTAAAAAAAAAATTATCATTTTGGTGGATTTTGGGGGTGATCTGCTTTGTCTACTCACCTTTCAATGAACTCAAGTGCATTTTTTGGTCAGACTCAGAGTGGAAATAGAACAAAGACTCTCGGATTGAAGGCAAATCAATTCATCGTATATTTTATTGCCATTACCCCAAAGCACCCTGCAAGCCACAAATAGAGAACATGGGGCAAAGAGGCAATGACAAGCGGGGCTGGAGGTCCTTTTGTCCTTTACTGTGTCTAAGTGATTTGGGTAGATGGCAGATCCTGAGGGAGTACACTTGTGGCCGGGGGAGATTTGCAGGGCTCTGCCACATTCTCACTGTTCTGAGGATGCTCAAATAATATTGCACAGAAACAGTGGAATTTGTTTGAAAGGGCACTCGGAGTTTATTTTGCTCTCTCCTAATTTCTTCCTCCAAGCAGAAGTCAGAGTTATAGTAACCTAGCTTTGGAATAACAAGTTATATGTTTCTCAGACAATTAAAAAATATGTTCATAAACAACTTTGCAGAGAAGGGGAAAAAACTGCAGAAAAGCTGGCTCAACCATTTTGTGAACTGATTAGAAAAAAGAAGACTCTGGCATTATTCCTTGTATATTGTGCATAGATTTCGAGGAGAGAGAGAAGTCATTGCCTGGCATCCAGTCTGGAGTGGCTGGGGTATTCTTCAGATCTACAATGACAAAAGCTAAGGGACAATGATGCTAAGATGTCAGACAGTGTCTGCACCTTGTTCCAGCAGGAGCCAGTGGTCCTCACACTGTGACAGGGCATTGGTTCTGCATGGATACCACATCTTTTCCTGTAGTGAGCCCAAGTACACGCCAGGGTCACACAGCCAGCAAGAGGCAGAGCTAGGATTCGTACCTAGGACTCTTTGATCTCACAGTGTGTGTCCTTTCTTCCACAGCATTGCCTTGCATCATTTATTTAAAGAATTAAGCATCCAAAAGGCAAGAATAATGTGCACATCAGCCATGAACATGGGTGGGAATAAACTGTAATGTGCCACTGTGGTTCAGGGAAAGGAGTGCTCGGTAGGGCTGAATGGAGTATGTCCTGTCCACATTCCACCCAAGCCGCAGGGACGCACAGGCCTGGCCTAGTGCCAATACTCAGTCAGCATGTGCTGTTGAATGAACAAGCTGGGGCAGCCAGAAGAAGTTTTGTGGAAAAGGCAGGACTTGAGCTGGGCTTTGAAGATACGTAGGTCTGGGAGGGCAGAGAGGGCAGAAAGAGCATCCCAGGTCCCGAGAAACAGGATAGAGCAGATTATGAAGGTGGGGGCAAAGAATGGGGTTGCAAACCCATGGCAGATCAACTGGAAGCAGCAGCAAAGGCCGAGTGACAGCAAGCCCTAAACATCAGTAACAGAGCCTGGAGAGGAAAGGATGAAGGCATTGATTCGTGGGAAAGTTGTGCTGTCTTTAAGTATGTAGCCACGAGGAAGATCCCTTGATTTCTGAAAATGAATGAAGTTAGCTAATCCAATGAAATAATAATAAGAGCTATTTTACTGTGTCCTTGCCATGACCACAGACTTTGCTCAGTGCTTTACGTACATTACCTGAGCTAATCCTAACCTCTCTTTGTGAGGTAGATTCATTATCCCTGTTTCAAAAGATGGAGAAATGGAGGCTTCGAGAAACTCAGAGAGGTGAAGAAACTTGCCCAAGTCACACAGCCAGCAAGGACAGAGCAAGAAGTTAAAGCCAGTTGTGTCTGTCTCTGAAGTTCTCTCTTAATGGCTAGGTTTGAGTGCTTCCCACAACAGGTACATTTGGCTGATACTGCAAAAATGACGGTCCCTGGGTTAACGGGAGGCATGTCTGGCTGCTAGGTCATCCGAGAGGCAGATTGGGGCAGGTTTCTAGGAAGTATAGGCTCGCCTTGCGGAGGACCAGGTTGGCACAGTTTGACTGCTGTGCACTAAGGCAGGGCACAGAGCTGATGCCCTCAAGGTCAATTCCAGCCACATTTCTCTGTGATTCTATGACTCAAAAGCTTGGAAACAACCTCAAAGGATTAAATAAATGAGGGAACAAAGTATTTGCTCTCCTCTATTAAGCCTTGGCTGGGAGTCTTTCTTCCACACTCCTCACATGCAAAATGCTGTTTGTGGGAGCAGATTAACATTTCAAACCACTTCCTGCAATTAGACGGGAACACCTGGTTTTGCAATAACTCTCATTTTCTGTGTGTGCTGAGAGGTTTTTGAAATTCCCATGCTCAGTGGATTACCCTAATGGCTGGTCACCAGCTGTTACGTTGGCATGTTGCACAACAATTTATTGCAGCTCCCCACAGGCATTTGGCAGAGGCCCCAGCAAAATCAGGTAGCAGGTTAATGCTGACGCCTTCACTTCCTCCTGTCACATGGGGCCCAGGATCCTCTTCAGTGATAAGTGGCTCAGGCTTAGGGGGAGAGTGTCAGGAGCTGGAGACCATGTAGGGCAGCAAGAAGAACCCTTCTTGCCTCAGCATCTGGGTTGATTAATCAAAGCCGAAGGTGTGGGCAGGGGGCAATTTGAGGATGGGAGTTTGAGAGATGTATCGTCTGTGAAACCGTACACTGCTCTGTGAAGCCTTAGCCACACATCATTATTTGTGGACTTTATACCAACATTATTGATGGAGACAGCAAGTTTTGGAGTCTTTTTAAACAGCAACAATCATCCCCTCGCCCCTGCAAACAAACAAACAAAAATCTAGGATCTAGGTAGAAAGATAGCAGACATTTATTGGTTTTCCTTGGATGTCCTAACATCAAGCTGTCTTCCCCATTGCGTGTAATATTGCTGGGAGGCAGGGCCCTGCCTCTGTCCTCAGAAACCAACTTGGGGGAGGTTCTCTGTGTCCTGGCTCCTGACCTCAGGACACAAGCATGGGACTTGAGCCAGTCCAATTACGCACTCCCACCCAGGACTTTGAATCTGACGCCAGGACTTCAAAGATGCAAACAGAAAGGTGAAAGAAAGGATAATTAGCATTCATCCATGGGTGTCATCACAGCATCTGGCGGTGGCAGTGCCCTGACAAATGTCTTTACTAAAGTGTGGCCGTATTACCTGCCCTCAGATGCTTGGCTCATGGCACTTTCCAGGACTGGAGATCAGTTTTAGAAGACAGTTGTTGAGTCTAAGAGCTCCTTAGAGTCATCCATGGCCATTGTCAAATAAACAAATCCGGACTTAGAATGGATTTTATGGGAAGGATTATTTCAAGGGGTGGGATAGGAAGGGACTATTGCAATAGAGAGAATGCTCTGACCATAATAGAGTCATTCCCCCTTCTCCAAGAGGGACGTGTTCCAAGACCCCCAGTGGAGTGTGAAACCGTGGATAGTAGCAAACCCTATATATTTAATGTTTTTTTTCCCTATACATACATATCTATGATAAATTTTAGCTTATAAATTAGGCAAGTAAGAGACTAACAATAGTAACTAACAATAAATAAATAAATAATAAAAATAAAAAATTATATCAATATACTGTAATAAAAGTTACGTGAATGTGATCTTTCTCTCAAAGTATCTTAGCGAATTGTACTCACTTTTTAAAAATTATACTTTAAGTTCTAGGGTACATGTGCACAACGTGCAGGTTTGTTACATAGGTATACATGTGCCATATTGGTTTGCTGCACCCATCAACTCGTCATTTACATTAGGTATTTCTCCTAATGCTATCCCTCCCCCAGGCCCCAGCCCCCCTGACAGGCCCCAGTGTGTGATGTTCCCTGCCCTGTGTCCATGTGTTTTCCTTGTTCAACTCCCACCTATGAATGAGAACATGTGGTGTTTGGTTTTCTGTCCTTGTGATAGTTTGCTTAGAAAGATGGTTTCCAGCTTTATCCATGTCCCTGCAAAGGACATGAACTCATCCGTTTTCATGGCTGCATAGTATTCCATGGTGTATATGTGCCACATTTTCTTAATCCAGTCTATCATTGATGGACATTTGGGTTGGTTCCAAGTCTTTGCTATTGTGAATAGTGCCACAATAAACATACATGTGCATGTGTCTTTATAGTAGCATGACTTATAATCCTTTGGGTATATACTCAGTAATGGGATGGCTGGGTCAAATGGTATTTCTAGTTCTAGATCCTTGAGGAATCACCACACTGTCTCTCACAATGGTTGAACTAATTTACACTCCCACCAACAGTGTAAAAGCATTCCTGTTTCTCCACATCCTCTC